>NC_000019.10:25234715-25560741 GCF_000001405.40 Homo sapiens
AGGCAGAAAAGGAAATATCTTCGTTTCAAAACTAGACAGAATCATTCTCAGAAACTGCTCTGCGATGTGTGCGTTCAACTCTCAGAGTTTAACTTTTCTTTTCATTCAGCAGTTTGGAAACACTCTGTTTGTAAACTCTGCAAGTGGATATTCAGACCTCTTTGAGGCCTTCGTTGGAAACGGGATTTCTTCATACTATGCTAGACAGAAGAATTCTCAGTAACTTCCTTGTGTTGAGTGTATTCAACTGACAGAGTTGAACTTTCATTTAGAGAGAGTAGTTTTGAAACACTGTTTTTGTGGAATTTGCAAGTGGAGATTTCAAGCGCTTTGGGGCCAAAGGCAGAAAAGGAAATATCTTCGTATAAAAACTAGACAGAATCGTTCTCAGAAACTGCTGCGTGATGTGTGCGTTCAACTCTCAGAGTTTAACTTTTCTTTTCATTCAGCGGTTTGGAAACACTCTGTTTGTAAAGTCTGCACGTGGACAGTTTGACCACTTAGAGGCCTTCGTTGGAAACGGGTTTTTTTCATGTAAGGCTAGACAGAAGAATTCCCAGTAACTTCCTTGTGTTGTGTGCATTCAACTCACAGAGTTAAACGTTCCCTTAGACAGAGCAGATTTGAAACACTCTATTTGTGCAATTTGCAAGTGTAGATTTCAAGCGCTTTAAGGTCAACGGCAGAAAAGGAAATATCTTCGTTTCAAAACTAGACAGAATCATTCCCACAAACTGCGTTGTGATGTGTTCGTTCAACTCACAGAGTTTAACCTTTCCGTTCATACAGCAGTTAGGAAACACTCTGTTTGTAAAGTCTGTAAGTGGATATTCTGACATCTTGTGGCCTTCGTTGGAAACGGGATTTCTTCATATTCTGCTAGACAGAAGAATTCTCAGTAACTTCCTTGTGTTGTGTGTATTCAACTCACAGAGTTGAACGAGCCTTTACACAGAGCAGACTTGAAACACTCTTTTTGTGGAATTTGCAAGTGGAGATTTCAGCCGCTTTGAGGTCAATGGTAGAATAGGATATATCTTCCTATAGAAACTAGACAGAATGATTCTCAGAAACTCCTTTGTGATGTGTGCGTTCAACTCACAGAGTTTAACCTTTCTTTTCATAGAGCAGTTAGGAAACACTCTGTTTGTAAAGTCTGCAATTGGATATTCAGACCTCTTTGAGGCCTTCGTTGGAAACGGGATTTCTTCATATTCCGCTAGACAGAAGAATTCTCAGTAACTTCCTTGTGTTGTGTGTATTCAACTCACAGAGTTGAACGATCCTTTACACAGAGCAGACTTGAAACACTCTTTTTGTGTAATTTGCAAGTGGAGATTTCAGCCGCTTTGAGGTCAATAGTAGAAAAGGAAATATCTTCGTAGAAAAACTAGACAGAATGATTCTCAGAAACTCCTTTGTGATGTGGGCGTTCAACTCACAGAGTTTAACCTTTCTTTTCATAGAGCCGTTAGGAAACACTCTGTTTGTAAAGTCTGCACGTGGATATTTGGACTTCTTTGAGGCCTTCGTTGGAAACGGGTTTTTTTCATGTAAGGCTAGACGGAAGAATTCCCAGTAACTTCCTTGTGTTGTGTACATTCAACTCACAGAGTTGAACGTTCCCTTAGACAGAGCAGATTTGAAACACTCTTTTTGTGCAATTGGCAAATGGAGATTTCAAGCGCTTTAAGTTCAAAGGCAGAAAAGGAAATATCTTCGTTTCAAAACTAGACAGAATCATTCCCACAAACTGCGTTATGATGTGTTCGTTCATCTCACAGAGTTTAACCTTTCTTTTCATAGAGCAGTTAGGAAACAGTCTGTTTGTAAATTCTGTAAGTGGATATTCTGACATCTTGTGGCCTTCGTTGGAAACGGGATTTCTTCATATTCTGCTAGACAGAAGAATTCTCAGGAACTTCCTTGTGTTGTGTGTATTCAACTCACAGAGTTGAACGATCCTTTACACAGAGCAGACTTGAAACACACTTTTTGTGGAATTTGAAAGTGGAGATTTCAGCCGCTTTGAGGTCAATGGTAGAATAGGAAATATCTTCTTATAGAAACTAGACAGAATGATTCTCAGAAACTCCTTTGTGATGTGTGCGTTCAACTCACAGAGTTTAACCTTTCGTTTCATAGAGCAGTTAGGAAACACTCTGTTTGTAAAGTCTGCAATTGGATATTAAGACCTCTTTGAGGCCTTCGTTGGAAACGGGATTTCTTCATATTCTGCTAGACAGAAGAATTCTCAGTAACTTCCTTGTGTTGTGTGTATTCAACTCACAGAGTTGAACGATCCTTTACACAGAGCAGTCTTGAAACACTCTTTTTGTGGAATTTGCAAGTGGAGATTTCTGCCGTTTTGAGGTCAATGATAGAATAGGAAATATCTTCCTATAGAAACTAGACAGAATCATTCTCAGAAACTGCTCTGCGATGTGTGCGTTCAACTCTCAGAGTTTAACTTTTCTTTTCATTCAGCAGTTTGGAAACACTCTGTTTGTAAAGTCTGCACGTGGATAACTTGACCACTTATAGGCCTTCGTTGGAAACGGGTTTTTTTCATGTAAGGCTAGACAGAAGAATTCCCAGTAACTTCCTTGTGTTGTGTACATTCAACTCACAGAGTTGAACGTTCCCTTAGACAGAGCAGATTTGAAACACTCTTTTTGTGCAATTGGCAAGTGGTGATTTCAGCCGCTTTGAGGTCAATGGTAGAAAAGGAAATATCTTCGTATAAAAACTAGACAGAATCATTCTCAGAAACTGCACTGCGATGTGTGCGTTCAACTCTCAGAGTTTAACTTTTCTTTTCATTCAGCAGTTTGGAAACACTCTGTTTGTAAAGTCTGCACGTGGATAATTTGACCACTTAGAGGCCTTCGTTGGAAACGGGTTTTTTTCATGTAAGGCTAGACAGAAGAATTCTCAGTAACTTCCTTGTGTTGTGTGTATTCAACTCACAGAGTTGAACGATCCTTTACACAGAGCAGACTTGTAACACTCTTTTTGTGGAATTTGCCAGTGGAGATTTCAGCCGCTTTGAAGTCAAAGGTAGAAAAGGAAATATCTTCCTATAAAAACTAGACAGAATGATTCTCAGAAACTTCTTTGTGATGTGTGCGTTCAACTCACAGAGTTTAACCTTTCTTTTCATAGAGCAGTTAGGAAACACTCTGTTTGTAAAATCTGCAAGTGGATATTCAGACCTCTTTGAGGCCTTCGTTGGAAACGGGATTTCTTCATACTATGCTAGACAGAAGAATTCCCAGTAACTTCCTTGTGTTGTGTGTGTTCAACTCACGGAGTTGAACTTTCATTTACACAGAGCAGATTTGAAACACTCTTTTTGTGGAATTTGCAAGTGGAGATTTCAAGCGCTTTGAGGCCAAAGGCAGAAAAGGAAATATCTTCGTTTGAAAACTAGACAGAATCATTCTCAGAAACTGCTCTGTGATGTGTGCGTTCAACTCTCAGAGTTTAACTTTTCTTTTCATTCAGCAGTTTGGAAACACTCTGTTTGTAAAGTCTGCACGTGGATAATTTGACCACTTAGAGGCCTTCGTTGGAAACGGTTTTTTTTAATGTAAGGCTAGACAGAAGAATTCCCAGTAACTTCCTTGTGTTGTGTGCATTCAACTCACAGAGTTGAACGTTCCCTTAGACAGAGCAGATTTGAAACACTCTATTTGTGCAATTTGCATGTGTAGATTTCAAGCGCTTTAAGGTCAATGGCAGAAAAGGAAATATCTTCGTTTCAAAACTAGACAGAATCATTCCCACAAACTGCGTTGTGATGTGTTCGTTCAACTCACAGAGTTTTACCTTTCTGTTCATAGAGCAGTTAGGAAACACTCTGTAAAGTCTGTAAGTGGATATTCTGACATCTTGTGGCCTTCGTTGGAAACGGGATTTCTTCATATTCTGCTAGACAGAAGAATTCTCAGTAACTTCCTTGTGTTGTGTGTATTCAACTCACAGAGTTGAACGATCCTTTACACAGAGCAGACTTGAAACACTCTGTTTGTGGAATTTGCAAGTGGAGATTTCAGCCGCTTTGATGTCAATGGTAGAAAAATGAAATATCTTCGTATAAAGACTAGACAGAATGATTCTCAGAAACTCTTTTGTGATGTGTGCGTTCAACTCACAGAGTTTAACCTTTCTGTTCATAGAGCCGTTAGGAAACACTCTGTTTGTAAAGTCTGCAAGTGGATATTCACACCTCCTTGAGACCTTCGTTGGAAACGGGATTTCTTCATATTCTGCTAGACAGAAGAATTCCCAGTAACTTCCTTGTGTTGTGTGTGTTCAACTCACAGAGTTGAACTTTCATTTACACAGAGCAGATTTGAAACACTCTTTTTGTGGAATTTGCAAGTGGAGATTTCAAGCGCTTTGAGGCCAAAGGCAGAAAAGGAAATATCTTCGTTTCAAAACTAGACTAGAATCATTCTCGGAAACTGCTCTGTGATGTGTGCGTTCAACTCTCAGAGTTTAACTTTTCTTTTCATTCAGCAGTTTGGAAACACTCTGTTTGTAAAGTCTGCACGTGGATATTTTGACCACCTAAAGGCCTTCGTTGGAAACGTGTTTTTTTCCTGTAAGGCTAGACAGAAGAATTCCCAGTAACTTCCTTGTGTTGTGTACATTCAACTCACAGAGTTGAACGTTCCCTTAGACAGAGCAGATTTGAAACACTCTTTTTGTGCAATTGGCAAGTGGTGATTTCAGCCGCTTTGAGGTCAATGGTATAAAAGGAAATATCTTCGTATTAAAACTAGACAGAATGATTCTCAGAAACTTCATTGGGATGTGTGCGTTCAACTCACAGAGTTTAACCTTTCTTTTCATAGAGCAGTTAGGAAACACTCTGTTTGTAAACTCTGCAAGTGGATATTCAGACCTCTTTGAGGCCTTCGTTGGAAACGGGATTTCTTCATACTGTGCTAGACAGAAGAATTCTCAGTAACTTCCTTGTGTTGTGTGCATTCAACTCACAGAGTTGAACGATCCTTTACACAGAGCAGATTAGAAACCCTCTTTTTGTGGAATTTGCAAGTGGAGATTTCAAGCACTTTGAGGTCAATGGTAGAAAAGGAAATATCTTCGTATAAAAACTAGACAGAATGATTCTCAGAAACTTCTTTGTGATGTGTGCGTTCAACTCACAGAGTTTAACCTTTCTTTTCATAGAGCAGTTAGGAAACACTCTGTTTGTAAACTCTGCAAGTGGATATTCAGACCTCTTTGAGGCCTTCGTTGGAAACGGGTTTTTTTCATATAAGGCTAGACAGAAGAGTTCTCAGTAACTTCCTTGTGTTGTGTGTATTCAACTGACAGAGTTGAACTTTCATTTAGAGAGAGCAGATTTGAAACACTGTTTTTGTGGAATTTGCAAGTGGAGATTTCAAGCGCTTTGGGGCCAAAGGCAGAAAAGGAAATATCTTCGTATAAAAACTAGACAGAATCATTCTCAGAAACTGCTGCGTGATGTGTGCGTTCAACTCTGAGAGTTTAACTTTTCTTTTCATTCAGCGGTTTGGAAACACTCTGTTTGTAAAGTCTGCACGTGGAAATTTTGACCACTTAGAGGCCTTCGTTGGAAACGGGATTTTTTCATGTAAGGCTAGACAGAAGAATTCTGAGTAACTTCCTTGTGTTGTGTGTATTCAACTGACAGAGTTGAACTTTCATTTAGAGAGAGCAGATTTGAAACACTGTTTTTGTGGAATTTGCAATTGGAGATTTCAAGCGCTTTGGGGCCAAAGGCAGAAAAGGAAATATCTTCGTATAAAAACTAGACAGAATCATTCTCAGAAACTGCTCTGCGATGTGTGCGTTCAACTCTCAGAGTTTAACTTTTCTTTTCATTCAGCAGTTTGGAAACACTCTGTTTGTAAAGTCTGCACGTGGATAATTTGACCACTTAGAGGCCTTCGTTGGAAACGGGTTTTTTTCATGTAAGGTTAGACAGAAGAATTCTCAGTAACTTTCCTTGTGTTGTGTGTATTCAACTCACACAGTTGAACGATCCTTTACACAGAGCAGACTTGTAACACTCTTTTTGTGGAATTTGCAAGTGGAGATTTCAGCCGCTTTGAAGTCAAAGGTAGAAAAGGAAATATCTTCCTATAAAAACTAGACAGAAATGATTCTCAGAAACTCCTTTGTGATGTGTGCGTTCAACTCACAGAGTTTAACCTTTCTTTTCATAGAGCAGTTAGGAAACACTCTGTTTGTAAAGTCTGCAAGTGGATATTCAGACCTCTTTGAGGCCTTCGTTGGAAACGGGATTTCTTCATACTATGCTAGACAGAAGAATTCTCAGTAATTTCCGCGTGTTGTGTGTATTCAACTCACAGAGTTGAACGATCCTTTACACAGAGCAGACTTGAAACACTCTTTTTGTGGAATTTGCAAGTGGAGATTTCAGCCGCTTTGAAGTCAAAGGTAGAAAAGGAAATATCTTCCTATAAAAACTAGACAGAATCATTCTCAGAAACTGCTGCGTGATGTGTGCGTTGAACTCTCAGAGTTTAACTTTTCTTTTCATTCAGCGGTTTGGAAACACTCTGTTTGTAAAGTCTGCACGTGGATATTTTGACCACTTAGAGGCCTTCGTTGGAAACCGGTTTTTTTCATGTAAGCCTAGACAGAAGAATTCCCAGTAACTTCCTTGTGTTGTGTGCATTCAACTCACAGAGTTGAACGTTCCCTTAGACAGAGCAGATTTGAAACACTCTATTTGTGCAATTTGCAAGTGTAGTTTTCAAGCTCTTTAAGGTCAACGGCAGAAAAGGAAATATCTTGGTTTCAAAACTAGACAGAATCATTCCCACAAACTGCGTTGTGATGTGTTCGTTCAACTCACAGAGTTTAACATTTCTGTTCATAGAGCAGTTAGGAACACTCTGTTTGTAAAGTCTGTAAGTGGATATTCTGACATCTTGTGGCCTTCGTTGGAAACGGGATTTCTTCATATTCTGCTAGACAGAAGAATTCTCAGTAACTTCCTTGTGTTGTGTGTATTCAATTCACAGTGTTGAACGATCCTTTACACAGAGCATACTTGAAACACTCTTCTTGTGGAATTTGCAAGTGGAGATTTCAGCCGATTTGAGGTCAATGGTAGAATAGGAAATATCTTCGTATAAAAACTAGACAGAATGATTCTCAGAAACTCCTTTGTGATCTGTGTGTTCAACTCACAGAGTTTAACCTTTCTTTTCATAGAGCAGTTAGGAAACACTCTGTTTCTAAAGTCTGCAAGTGGATATTCAGACCTCTTTGAGGCCTTCGTTGGAAACGGGTTTTTTTCATATAAGGCTAGACAGAAGAATTCTCAGTAACTTCATTGTGTTGTGTTTATTCAACTCACAGAGTTGAATGATCCTTTACACAGAGCAGACTTGAAACACTCTTTTTGTGGAATTTGCAAGTGGAGATTTCAGCCGCTTTGAGGTCAATGGTAGAAAAGTAAATATCTTCGTATAAAGACTAGACAGAATGATTCTCAGAAACTTCTTTGGGATGTGTGCGTTCAACTCACAGAGTTTAACCTTTCTTTTCATAGAGCAGTTAGGAAACACTCTGTTTGTAAACTCTGCAAGTGGATATTCAGACCTCTTTGAGGCCTTCGTTGGAAACGGGATTTCTTCATACTATGCTAGACAGAAGAATTCCCAGTAACTTCCTTGTGTTGTGTGTGTTCAACTCACAGATTTGAACTTTCATTTACACAGAGCAGATTTGAAACACTCTTTTTGTGGAATTTGCAAGTGGAGATTTCAATGGCTTTGAGGCCAAAGGCAGAAAAGGAAATATCTTCGTTTCAAAACTAGACAGAATCATTCTCAGAAACTGCTCTGCGATGTGTGCGTTCAACTCTCAGAGTTTAACTTTTCTTTTCATTCAGCAGTTTGGAAACACTCTGTTTTTAAAGTCTGCACGTGGATATTTTGACCACTTAGACGCCTTCGTTGGAAACTGGTTTTTTTCCAGTAAGGCTAGACAGAATAATTCTCAGTAACTTCCCTTGGGTTGTGTGTATTCAACTCACAGAGTTGAAGGATCCTTTACAGAGAGCAGGCTTGAAACACTCTTTTTGTCGAATTTGCAAGTGGAGATTTCAGCCGCTTTGTGGTCAATGGTAGAATAGGAAATATCTTCTTATAGAAACTAGACAGAATGATTCTGAGAAACTCCTTTGTGATGTGTGCGTTCAACTCACAGAGTTTAACCTTTCTTTTCATAGAGCAGTTAGGAAACACTCTGTTTCTAAAGTGTGCAAGTGGATATTCAGACCTCCTTGAGGCCTTCGTTGGAAACGGGATTTCTTCATATTATGCTAGACAGAAGAATTCCCAGTAACTTCCTTGTGTTGTGTGTGTTCAACTCACAGTGTTGAACTTTCATTTACACAGAGCAGATTGGAAACACTCTTTTTGTGGAATTTGCAAGTGGAGATTTCAAGCGCTTTGAGGCCAAAGGCAGAAAAGGAAATATCTTCGTATAAAAACTAGACAGAATGATTCTCAGAAACTTCTTTGTGATGTGTGCGTTCAACTCACAGAGTTTAACCTTTCTTTTCATAGAGCAGTTAGGAAACACTCTGTTTGTGAACTCTGCAAGTGGATATTCAGACCTGTTTGAGGCCTTCGTTGGAAACGGGATTTCTTCATACTATTCTAGACAGAAGAATTCTCAGAAACTCCCTTGTGTTGTGTGTATTCAACTGACAGAGTTGAACTTTCATTTAGACAGAGCAGATTTGAAACACTCTTTATGTGGAATTGGCAAGTGGAGATTTGAAGCGCTTTGAGACCAAAGGCAGAAAAGGAAATATCTTCGTTTCAAAACTAGACAGAATCATTCCCACAAACTGCGTTGTGATGTGTTCGTTCAACTCACAGGGTTTAACCTTTCTTTTCATAGAGCAGTTAGGAAACACTCTGTTTGTAAAGTCTGTAAGTGGATATTCTGACATCTTGTGGCCTTCTTTGGAAACGGGATTTCTTCATATTCTGCTAGACAGAAGAATTCTCAGTAACTTCCTTGTGTTGTGTGTATTCAACTGACAGAGTTGAAGGATCCTTTACAGAGAGCAGGCTTGAAACACTCTTTTTGTCGAATTTGCAAGTGGAGATTTCAGCCGCTTTGAGGTGAATGGTAGAATAGGAAATATCTTCTTATAGAAACTAGACAGAATGATTCTCAGAAACTCCTTTGTGATGTGTGCGTTCAACTCACAGAGTTTAACCTTTCTTTTCATAGAGCAGTTAGGAAACACTCTGTTTGTAAAGTCTGCACGTGGATATTTGGACTTCTTTGAGGCCTTCGTTGGAAACGGGTTTTTTTCATGTAAGGCTAGACGGAGGAATTCTCAGTAACTTCCTTGTGTTGTGTGTATTCAACTGACAGAGTTGAACTTTCATTTAGAGAGAGGAGATTTGAAACACTGTTTTTGTGGAATTTGCAAGTTTAGATTTCAAGCGCTTTGGGGCCAAAGGCAGAAAAGGAAATATCTTCGTATAAAAACTAGACAGAATCATTCTCAGAAACTGCTCTGCGATGTGTGCGTTCAACTCTCAGAGTTTAACTTTTCTTTTCATTCAGAAGTTTGGAAACACTCTGTTTGTAAAGTCTGCACGTGGATATTTTGACCATTTAGAGGCTTTCGTTGGAAACGGGTTTTTTTCTTGTAAGGCTAGACAGAAGAATTCTCAGTAACTTCATTGTGTTGTGTGTATTCAACTCACAGAGTTCAACGATCCTTTACACAGAGCAGACTTGAAACACTCTTTTTCTGGAATTTGCAAGTGGAGATTTCAGCCGCTTTGAGGTCAATGGTAGAAAAGAAATATCTTCCTATAAAAACTAGACAGAATGATTCTCAGAAACTCCTTTGTGATGTGTGCGTTCAACTCACAGAGGTTAACCTTTCTTTTCATAGAGCAGTTAGGAAACACTCTGTTTGTAAAGTCTGCAAGTGGAGATTCAGACCTGCTTGAGGCATTCGTTGGAAACGGGATTTCTTCATATTATGCTAGACAGAAGAATTCTCAGTAAGTTCCTTGTAGTGTGTGTATTCAACTCACAGAGTTGAACGATCCTTTACACAGAGCAGACTTGAAACACTCTTTTTGTGTAATTTGCAAGTGGAGATTTCAGCCGCTTTGAGGTCAATGGTAGAATAGGAAATATCTTCCTATAGAAACTAGACAGAATGATTCTCAGAAACTCCTTTGTGATGTGTGCGTTCAACTCACAGAGTTTAACCTTTCTTTTCATAGAGCAGTTGGGAAACACTCTGTTTGTATAGTGTGCAAGTGGATATTCAGACCTCTTTGAGGCCTTCGTTGGAAACGGGATTTCTTCATATTCTGCTAGACAGAAGAATTCCCAGTAACTTTCCTTGTGTTGTGTGTGTTCAACTCACAGAGTTGAACTTCCATTTACACAGAGCAGATTTGAAACACTCTTTTTGTGGAATTTGCAAGTGGAGATTTCAAGCGCTTTGAGGCCAAAGGCAGAAAAGGAAATATCTTCGTTTCAAAACTAGACAGAATCATTCTCAGAAACTGCTCTGCGATGTGTGCGTTCAACTCTCAGAGTTTAACCTTTCTTTTCATTCAGCAGTTTGGAAACACTCTGTTTGTAAAGTCTGCACGTGGATATTTTGACCATTTAGAGGCCTTCGTTGGAAACGGGTTTTTTTCTTGTAAGGCTAGACAGAAGAATTCCCAGTAACTTCCTTGTGTTGTGTACATTCAACTCACAGAGTTGAACGTTCCCTTAGACAGAGCAGATTTGAAACACTCTTTTTGTGCAATTGGCAAGTGGAGATTTCAAGCGCTTTAAGGTCAATGGCAGAAAAGGAAATATCTTCGTTTCAAAACTAGAGAGAATCATTCCCACAAACTGCGTTGTGATGTGTTCGTTCAACTCACAGAGTTTAACCTTTCTTTTCATAGAGCAGTTGGGAAACAGTCTGTTTGAAAATTCTGTAAGTGGATATTCTGACATCTTGTGGCCTTCGTTGGAAACGGGATTTCTTCATATTCTGCTAGACAGAAGAATTCTCAGTAACTTCCTTGTGTTGTGTGTATTCAACTCACAGAGTTGAACGATCCTTTACACAGAGCAGACTTGAAACACTCTTTTTGTGGAATTTGCAAGTGGAGATTTCAGCCGCTTTGAGGTCAATAGTAGAAAAGGAAATATCTTCGTAGAAAAACTAGACAAGAATGATTCTCAGAAACTCCTTTGTGATGTGTGCGTTCAACTCACAAAGTTCAACCTTTCTTTTCATAGAGCAGTTGGGAAACACTCTGTTTGTAAAGTCTGCAAGTGGATATTCAGACTTCTTTGAGGCCTTCGTTGGAAGCAGGGATTTCTTCATATTCTGCTAGACAGAAAAATTCTCAGTAACTTCCTTGTGTTGTGTGTATTCAACTCACAGAGTTGAACGATCCTTTACACAGAGCAGACTTGAAACACTCTTTTTGTCGAATTTGCAAGTGGAGATTTCAGCCGCTTTGAGGTCAATGGTAGAATAGGAAATATCTTCTTATAGAAACTAGACAGAACGATTCTCAGAAACTGCTTTGTGATGTGTGCGTTCAACTCACAGAGTTTAACCTTTCTTTTCATAGAGCAGTTAGGAAACACTCTGTTTGTAAAGTCTGCAAGTGGATATTCAGACCTCTTTGAAGCCTTCGTTGGAAACGGGATTGCTTCATATTCTGCTAGACAGAAGAATTCTCAGAAACTTCCTTGTGTTGTGTGTATTCAACTCACAGAGTTTAACGATCGTTTACACAGAACAGACTTGAGACACTCTTTTTGTGGAATTTGTAAGTGGAGATTTCAGCCACTTTGAGGTCAATGGTAGAAAAGGAAATATCTTCATATAAAAACTAGACAGAATAATTCTCAGAAACTGCTGCGTGATGTGTGCGTTCAACTCTCAGAGTTTAACTTTTCTTTTCATTCAGCGGTTTGGAAACACTCTGTTTGTAAAGTCTGCACGTGGTTATTTTGACCACTTAGAGGCCTTCGTTGGAAACGGGTTTTCTTCATGTAAGGCTAGACAGAAGAATTCCCAGTAACTTCCTTGTGTTGTGTACATTCAACTCACAGAGTTGAACGTTCCCTTAGACAGAGCAGATTTGAAACACTCTTTTTGTGCAATTGGCAAGTGGTGATTTCAGCCTCTTTGAGGTCAATGGTAGAAAAGGAAATATCTTCGTACAAAAACTAGACAGAATGATTCTCAGAAACTCCTTTGTGATGTGTGCGTTCCACTCACAGAGTTTAACCTTTCTTTTCATAGAGCAGTTAGGAAACACTCTGTTTGTAAAGTCTGCAAGTGGATATTCAGACCTCCTTGAGGCCTTCGTTGGAAACGGGATTTCTACATATTATGCTAGACAGAAGAATTCTCAGTAACTTCCTTGTGTTGTGTGTATTCAACTCACAGAGTTGAACGATCCTTTACACAGAGCAGACTTGAAACACTCTTTTTGTGAAATTTGCAAGTGGAGATTTCAGCCTCTTTGAGGTCAATGGTAGAATAGGAAATATCTTCCTATAGAAACTAGACAGAATGATTCTGAGAAACTCCTTTGTGATGTGTGCATTCAACTCACAGAGTTTAACCTTTCTTTTCATAGAGCAGTTAGGAAACACTCTGCTTGTAAAGTCTGCAAGTGGATACTCAGACCTCCTTGAGGCCTTCGTTGGAAACGGGATTTCTTCCTATTATGCTAGACAGAAGAATTCCCAGTAACTTCCTTGTGTTGTGTGTGTTCAACTCACAGAGTTGAACTTTGATTTACACAGAGCAGATTTGAAACACTCTTTTTGTGGAATTTGCAAGTGGAGATTTCAAGCGCTTTGAGGCCAAAGGCAGAAAAGGAAATATCTTCTGTATAAAAACTAGACTAGAATCATTCTCAGAAACTGCTGCGTGATGTGTGCGTTCAACTCTCAGAGTTTAACTTTTCTTTTCATTCAGCGGTTTGGAAACACCCTGTTTGTAAAGTCTGCACGTGGATATTTTGACCACTTAGAGGCCTTCGTTGGAAACGGGATTTTTTCATGTAAGGCTAGACAGAAGAATTCCCAGTAACTTCCTTGTGTTGTGTACATTCAACTCACAGAGTTGAACGTTCCCTTAGACAGAGCAGATTTGAAACACTCTTTTTGTGCAATTGGCAAATGGAGATTTCAAGCGCTTTAAGGTCAATGGCAGGAAAGGAAATATCTTCGTTTCAAAACTAGACAGAATGATTCTCAGAACCTTCTTTGTGATGTGTGCGTTCAACTCACAGAGTTTAACCTTTCTTTTCATAGAGCAGTTAGGAAACACTCTGTTTGTAAACTCTGCAAGTGGATATTCAGACCTCTTTGAGGCCTTCGTTGGAAACGGGATTTCTTCATACTATGCTAGACAGAAGAATTCTCAGTAACTTCCTTGTGTTGTGTGTATTCAACTCACAGAGTTGAACGATCCTTTACACAGAGCAGACTTGTAACACTCTTTTTGTGGAATTTGCAAGTGGAGATTTCAGCCGCTTTGAAGTCAAAGGTAGAAAAGGGAATATCTTCCTATAAAAACTAGACAGAATGATTCTCAGAAACTCCTTTGTGATGTGTGCGTTCAACTCACAGAGTTTAACTTTTCTTTTCATAGAGCAGTTAGGAAACACTCTGTTTGTAAAGTCTGCAAGTGGATATTCAGACCTCTTTGAGGCCTTCGTTTGAAATGGGATTTCTTCATATTATGCTAGACAGAAGAATTCTCAGTAACTTCCTTGTGTTGTGTGTATTCAACTGACAGAGTTGAACTTTCATTTAGAGAGAGCAGATTTGAAACACTGTTTTTGTGGAATTTGCAAGTGGAGATATCAAGCGCTTTGGGGCCAAAGGCAGAAAAGGAAATATCTTCGTATAAAAACTAGACAGAATCATTCTCAGAAACTGCTCTGTGATGTGTGCGTTCAACTCTCAGAGTTTAACTTTTCTTTTCATTCAGCAGTTTGGAAACACTCTGTTTGTAAAGTCTGCACGTGGATAATTTGACCACTTAGAGGCCTTCGTTGGAAACTGGTTTTTTTCATGTAAGGCTAGACAGAAAGAATTCCCAGTAACTTCCTTGTGTTGTGTACATTCAACTCACAGAGTTGAACGTTCCCTTAGACAGAGCAGATTTGAAACACTCTTTTTGTGCAATTGGCAAATGGAGATTTCAAGCGCTTTAAGTTCAATGGCAGAAAAGGAAATATCTTCGTTTCAAAACTAGACAGATCATTCCCACAAACTGCGTTGTGATGTGTTCGTTCAACTCACAGAGTTTAACCTTTCTTTTCGTAGAGCAGTTAGGAAACAGTCTGTTTGTAAATTCTGTAAGTGGATATTCTGACATCTTGTGGCCTTCGTTGGAAACGGGATTTCTTCATATTCTGCTAGACAGAAGAATTCTCAGAATCTTCCTTGTGTTGTGTGTATTCAACTCACAGAGTTGAACGATCCTTTACACAGAGCAGACTTGTAACACTCTTTTTGTGGAATTTGCAAGTGGAGATTTCTGCCGCTTTGAAGTCAAAGGTAGAAAAGGAAATATCTTCCTATAAAAACTAGACAGAATGATTCTCAGAAACTCCTTTGTGATGTGTGCGTTCAACTCACATAGTTTAACCTTTCTTTTCATAGAGCAGTTAGGAAACACTCTGTTTGTAAAGTCTGCAAGTGGATATTCAGACATCCTAGAGGCTTTCGTTGGAAACGGGATTTCTTCATATTCTGCTAGACAGAAGAATTCTCAGAAACTTCGTTGTGTTGTGTGTTTTCAACTCACAGAGTTCAACGATCCTTTACACAGAGTAGACTTGAAACACTCTTTTTGTGGAAGTGGCAGGGTGGAGATTTCAGCCGCTTTGAGGTCAATGGTAGAAAAGGAAATATCTTCGTATGAAAACTAGACAGAATGATTCTCAGAAACTCCTTTGTGATGTGTGCGTTCAACTCACAGAGTTTAACTTTTCTTTTCATACAGCAGTTAGGAAACACTCTGTTTGTAAAGTCTGCAAGTGGATATTCAGACCTCTTTGAGGCCTTCGTTGGAAACGGGATTTCTTCATATTATGCTAGACAGAAGAATTCTCAGTAACTTCCCTGTGTTGTGTGTATTCAACTCACAGAGTTGAACGATCCTTTACACAGAGCAGACTTGAAACACTCTTTTTGTGGAATTTACAAGTGGAGATTTCAGCCGATTTGAGGTCAATGGTAGAAAAGGAAATATCTTCCTATAGAAACTAGACAGAATGATTCTCAGAAACTCCTTTGTGATGTGTGCGTTCAACTCACAGAGTTTAACTTTCCTTTTCATAGAGCAGTTAGGAAACACTCTGTTTGTAAAGTCTTCATGTGGATATTCATTCCTCTTTGAGGCCTTCGTTGGAAACGGGATTTCTTCATATTCTGCTAGACAGAAGAATTCTCAGTAACTTCCTTGTGTTGTGTGTATTCAACTCACAGAGTTCAACGATCCTTTACACAGAGCAGACTTGAAACACTCTTTTTGTGGAATTTGCAAGTGGAGATTTCAGCCGCTTTGAAGTCAATGGTAGAAAAGGAAATATCTTCGTATAAAAACTAGACAGATAATCATTCCCACAAACTGCGTTGTGATGTGTTCGTTCAACTCACAGAGTTTAACCGTTCTTTTCATAGAGCAGTTAGGAAACACTCTGTTTGTAAATTCTGTAAGTGGATATTCTGACATCTTGTGGCCTTCGTTGGAAACGGGATTTCTTCATGTTCTGCTAGACAGAAGAATTCTCAGTAACTTCCTTGTGTTGTGTGTATTCAACTCACAGAGTTGAACAGTGGTTTACACAGAGCAGATTTGAAACACTCTTTTTGTGGAATTTGCAAGTGGAGATTTCAGCCGCTTTGAGGTCAATGGTAGAAAAGGAAATATCTTCGTATAAAAACTAGACAGAATGATTCTCATAAACTCCTTTGTGATGTGGGCGTTGAACTCACAGAGTTTAACCTTTCTTTTCATAGAGCAGTTAGGAACCACTCTGTTTGTAAAGTCTGCAAATGGATATTCAGACCTCTTTGAGGCCTTCTTTGGAAACGGGATTTGTTCATATTCTGCTAGACACAATAATTCTCAGTAACTTCCTTGTGTTGTGTGTATTCAACTCACAGAGTTGAACGATCCTTTATAGAGAGCAGACTTGAAACACTCTTTTTGTGGAATTTGCAAGTGGAGATTTCAGCCTCTTTGAGGTCAATGGTAGAATAGGAAATATCTTCCTATAGAAACTAGACAGAACGATTCTCAGAAACTCCTTTGTGATGTGTGCGTTCAACTCACAGAGTTTAACCTTTCTTTTCATAGAGCAGTTAGGAAACACTCTGTTTGTAAAGTCTGCACGTGGATATTCAGACGTCTTTGAGGCCTTCGTTAGAAACGGGATTTCTTCCTATTCTGCTAGACAGAAGAATTCTCAGTAACTTCCTTGTGTTGTGTGTATTCAACTCACAGAGTTGAACGATCCTTTACACAGAGCAGACTTGAAACACTCTTTTTGTGGAATTTGCAAGTGGAGATTTCAGCCGCTTTCAGGTCAAGAGAAGAAAAGGAAATATCTTCGTAGAAAAACTAGACAGAATGATTCTCAGAAACTCCTTTGTGATGTGTGCTTTCAAGTCACAGAGTTTAACCTTTCTTTTCATAGAGCAGTTAGGAAACACTCTGTTTGTAAAGTCTGCAAGTGGATATTCAGACGTCTTTGAGGCCTTCGTTGGAAACGGGATTTCTTCATATTCTGCTAGACAGAAGAATTCCCAGTAACTTCCTTGTGTTGTGTGTGTTCAACTCACAGAGTTGAACTTTCATTTACACAGAGCAGATTAGAAACACTCTTTTTGTGGAATTCGCAAGTGGAGATTTCAAGCGCTTTGAGGCCAAAGGCAGAAAAGGAAATATCTTCGTTTCAAAACTAGACAGAATCATTCTCAGAAACTGCTCTGCGATGTGTGCGTTCAACTCTCAGAGTTTAACTTTTCTTTTCATTCAGCAGTTTGGAAACACTCTGTTTGTAAAGTCTGCACGTGGATATTTTGACCACTTAGAGGCCTTCGTTGGAAACGGGTTTTATTCCTGTAAGGCTAGACAGAAGAATTCCCAGTAACTACCTTGTGTTGTGTGCATTCAACTCACAGAGTTGAACGTTCCCTTAGACAGAGCAGATTTGAAACACTCTATTTGTGCAATTTGCAAGTGTAGATTTCAAGCGCTTTAAGGTCAACGGCAGAAAAGGAAATATCTTCGTTTCAAAATTAGACAGAATCATTCCCACAAACTGCGTTGTGATGTGTTCGTTCAACTCACAGAGTTTAACCTTTCTGTTCATAGAGCAGTTAGGAAACACTCTGTTTGTAAAGTCTGTAACTGGATATTCTGACATCTTGTGGCCTTCGTTGGAAACGGGATTTCTTCATATTCTGCTAGACAGAAGAATTCTCAGTAACTTCCTTGTGTTGTGTGTATTCAACTCACAGAGTTGAACGACCCTTTACAGAGAGCAGACTTGAAACACTCTTTTTGTGGAATTTGCAAGTGGAGATTTCAGCCGCTTTGAGGTCAATGGTAGAAAAGGAAACTATCTTCGTATAAAGACTAGACAGAATGATTCTCAGAAACTGTTTTGTGATGTGTGCGTTCAACTCACAGAGTTCAACCTTTCTTTTCATAGAGCAGTTGGGAAACACTCTGTTTGTAAAGTCTGCAAGTGGATATTCAGACTTCTTTGAGGCCTTCGTTGGAAGCGGGATTTCTTCATATTCTGCTAGACAGAAGAATTCCCAGTAACTTCCTTGTGTTGTGTGTGTTCAACTCACAGAGTTGAACTTTGATTTACACAGAGCAGATTTGAAACACTCTTTTTGTGGAGTTTGCAAGTGGAGATTTCAAGCGCTTTGAGGCCAAAGGCAGAAAAGGAAATATCTTCGTATAAAAACTAGAGAGAATCATTCTCAGAAAGTGCTCTGCGATGTGTGCGTTCAACTCTCAGAGTTTAACTTTTCTTTTCATTCAGCAGTTTGGAAACACTCTGTTTGTAAAGTCTGCACGTGGATATTTTGACCACTTAGAGGCCTTCGTTGGAAACGGGTTTTTTTCTTGTAAGGCTAGACAGAAGAATTCCCAGTAACTTCCTTGTGTTGTGTGCATTCAACTCACAGAGTTGAACGTTCCCTTAGACAGAGCAGATTTGAAACACTCTATTTGTGTAATTTGCAAGTGTAGATTTCAAGCGCTTTAAGGTCAACGGCAGAAAAGGAAATATCTTCGTTTCAAAACTAGACAGAAATCATTCCCACAAACTGCGTTGTGATGTGTTCGTTCAACTCACAGTGTTTAACCTTTCTTTTCATAGAGCAGGTAGGAACCAGTCTGTTTGTAAATTCTGTAAGTGGATATTCTGACATCTTGTGGCCTTCGTTGGAAACGGGGTTTCTTCATATTTTGCTAGACAGAAGAATTCTCAGTAACTTCCTTGTGTTGTGTTTATTCAACTCACAGAGTTGAATGCTCCTTTACACAGAGCAGACTTGAAACACTCTTTTTGTGGAATTTGCAAGTGGAGATTTCAGAGGCTTTGAGGTCAATGGTAGAAAAGTAAATATCTTCGTATAAAGACTAGACAGAATGATTCTCAGAAACTCCTTTGTGATGTGTGCGTTCAAATCACAGAGTTTAACTTTTCTTTTCATAGAGCAGTTAGGAAACACTCTGTTTGTAAAGTGTGCAAGTGGATATTCAGACCTCTTTGAGGCCTTCGTTGGAAACGGGATTTCTTCATATTATGCTAGACAGAAGAATTCTCAGTAACTTCCCTTGTGTTGTGTGTATTCAACTCACAGAGTTGAACGATCCTTTACACAGAGCAGACTTGAAACACTCTTTTTGTGGAATTTGCAAGAGGAGATTTCAGCCGCTTTGAGGTCAATAGTAGAAAAGGAAACATCTTCGTAGAAAAACTAGACAGAATGATTCTCAGAAACTCCTTTGTGATGTGTGCGTTCAACTCACAGAGTTTAACTTTCCTTTTCATAGAGCAGTTAGGAAACACTCTGTTTGTAAAGTCTGCAAGTGGATATTCAGACCTCTTTGAGGCCTTCGTTGGAAACGGGATTTCTTCATATTCTGCTAGACAGAAGAATTCCCAGTAAGTTCCTTGTGTTGTGTGTGTTCAACTCACAGAGTTGAACTTTCATTTACACAGAGCAGATTTGAAACACTCTTTTTGTGGAATTTGCAAGTGGAGATTTCAAGCGCTTTGAGGCCAAAGGCAGAAAAGGAAATGTCTTCGTTTCAAAACTAGACAGAATCATTCTCAGAAACTGCTGCGTGATGTGTGCGTTCAACTCTCAGAGTTTAACTTTTCTTTTCATTCAGCGGTTTGGAAACACTCTGTTTGTAAAGTCTGCACGTGGATATTTTGACCCCTTAGAGGCCTTCGTTGGAAACGGGTTTTTTTCATGTAAGGCTAGACAGAAGAATTCTCAGTAAGTTCCTTGTGTTGAGTGTTTTCAACTCACAGAGTTGAACGATGCTTTACACAGAGTAGACTTGAAACACTCTTGTTGTGGAATTTGCAAGTGGAGATTTCAGCCGCTTTGAGGTCAATGGTAGAATAGGAAATATCTTCCTATAGAAACTAGACAGAATGATTCTCAGAAACTCCTTTGTGATGTGTGCATTCAACTCACAGAGTTTAACCTTTCTTTTCATAGAGCAGTTAGGAAACATTCTGTTTGTAAAGTCTGCAAGTGGATATTCAGACCTCTTTGAGGACTTCGTTGGAAACGGGATTTTTTCATATTATGCTAGACAGAAGAATTCTCAGTAACTTCCTTGTGTTGTGTGTATTCAACTCACAGAGTTGAACGATCCTTTACACAGAGCAGACTTGAAACACTCTTGTTGGGGAATTTGCAAGTGGAGATTTCAGCCGCTTTGAGGTCAATGGTAGAAAAGGAAATATCTTCCTATAAAAACTAGACAGAATGATTCTCAGAAACTCCTTTGTGATGTGTGCGTTCAACTCACAGAGTTTAACCTTTCTGTTCATAGAGCAGTTAGGAAACACTCTGTTTGTAAAGTCTGTAAGTGGATATTCAGACCTCCTTGAGGCCTTCGTTGGAAACGGGATTTCTTCATATTCTGCTAGACAGAAGAATTCCCAGTAACTTCCATGTGTTGTGTGTGTTCAACTCACAGAGTTGAAATTTCATTTACACAGAGCAGATTTGAAACACTCTTTTTGTGGAATTTGCAAATGGAGATTTCAAGCGCTTTGAGGCCAGAGGCAGAAAAGGAAATATCTTCGTATAAAAACTAGACAGAATCATTCTCAGAAACTGCTCTGCGATGTGTGCGTTCAACTCTCAGAGTTTAACTTTTCTTTTCATTCAGCAGTTTGGAAACACTCTGTTTGTAAAGTCTGCACGTGGATAATTTGACCACTTAGAGGTCTTCGTTGGAAACGGGTTTTTTTCATGTAAGGCTAGACAGAAGAATTCCCAGTAACTTCCTTGTGTTGTGTGCATTCAACTCACAGAGTTGAACGTTCCCTTAGACAGAGCAGATTTGAAACACTCTATTTGTGCAATTTACAAGTGTAGATTTCAAGCGCTTTAAGGTCAATGGCAGAAAAGGAAATATCTTCGTTTCAAAACTAGACAGAATGATTCTCATAAACTCCTTTGTGATGTGTGCGTTCAACACACAGAGTTTAACTTTTCTTTTCATAGAGCAGTTAGGAAACACTCTGTTTGTAAAGTCTGCAAGTGGATATTCAGACCTCTTTGAGGCCTTCGTTGGAAACGGGATTTCTTCATATTCTGCTAGACAGAAGAATTCTCAGTAACTTCCTTGTGTTGTGTGTATTCAACTCACAGAGTTGAACGATCCTTTACAGAGAGCAGACTTTAAACACTCTTTTTGTGGAATTTGCAAGTGGAGATTTCAGCCGCTTTGAGGTCAATGGTAGAAAAGGAAATATCTTCGTATAAAGACTAGACAGAATGATTCTCATAAACTCCTTTGTGATGTGTGCGTTCAACTCACAGAGTTTAACCTTTCTTTTCATAGAGCAGTTAGGAAACACTCTGTTTGTAAAGTCTGCAAGTGGATATTCAGACCTCCTTGAGGCCTTGGTTGGAAACGGGATTTCTTCATATTCTGCTTGACAGAAGAATTCTCAGTAACTTCCTTGTTTTGTGTGTATTCAACTCACAGAGTTGAACGATCCTTTACACAGAGCAGACTTGAAACACTCTTTTTGTGGAATTTGCAAGTGGAGATTTCAGCCGCGTTGAGGTCAATGGTAGAAAAGGAAATATCTTCGTATAAAAACTAGACAGAATGATTCTCAGAAACTCCTTTGTGATGTGTGCGTTCAACTCACAGAGTTTAACCTTTCTTTTCATAGAGCAGTTGGGAAACACTGTTTGTAAAGTCTGCAAGTGGATATTCAGACATCCTTGAGGCTTTCGTTGGAAACGGGATTTCTTCATATTCTGCTAGAAAGAAGAATTCTCAGTAACTTCCTTGTGTTGTGTGTATTCAACTCACAGAGTTGAACGATCCTTTACAGAGAGCAGACTTGAAACACTCTTTTTGTGGAATTTGCAAGTGGAGATTTCAGCCGCTTTGAGGTCAACGGTAGAAAAGGAAATATCTTCGTATAAAGACTAGACAGAATGATTCTCAGAAACTCCTTTGTGATGTGTGCGTTCAACACACAGAGTTTAACTTTTCTTTTCATAGAGCAGTTAGGAAATACTCTGTTTGTAAAGTCTGCAAGTGGATATTCAGACCTCTTTGAGGCCTTCGTTGGAAACGGAATTTCTTCATATTATGCTAGACAGAAGAATTCTCAGTAACTTCCTTGTGTTGTGTGTATTCAACTGACAGAGTTGAACTTTCTTTTAGAGAGAGCAGATTTGAAACACTGTTTTTGTGGAATTTGCAACTGGAGATTTCAAGCGCTTTGGGGCCAAAGGCAGAAAAGGAAATATCTTCGTATAAAAACTAGACAGAATCGTTCTCAGAAACTGCTCTGCGATGTGTGCGTTCAACTCTCAGAGTTTAACTTTTCTTTTCATTCAGCAGTTTGGAAACACTCTGTTTGTAAAGTCTGCACGTGGATAATTTGACCACTTAGAGGCCTTCGTTGGAAACGGGTTTTTTTCATGTAAGGCTAGACAGAATAATTCCCAGTAACTTCCTTGTGTTGTGTACATTCAACTCACAGAGTTGAACGTTCCCTTAGAGAGAGCAGATTTGAAACTCTCTTTTTGTGAAATTAGCAAGTGGAGATTTCAAGGGCTTTAAGGTCAATGGCAGAAAAGGAAATATCTTCGTTTCAAAACTAGACAGAATGATTCTCATAAACTCCTTTGTGATGTGTGCGTTCAACTCACAGAGTTTAACCTTTCTTTCCATAGAGCAGTTGGGAAACACTCTGTTTGTAATGTCTGCAAGTGGATATTCAGACTTCCTTGAGGCCTTCGTTGGAAACGGGATTTCTTCATATTCTGCTAGACAGAAGAATTCTCAGTAACTTCCTTGTGTTGTGTGTATTCAACTCACAGAGTTGAATGATCCTTTACACAGAGCAGACTTGAAACACTCTTTTTGTGGAATTTGCAAGTGGAGATTTCACCCGCTTTGAGGTCAACGGGAGAAAAGGAAACTATCTTCGTATAAAGACTAGACAGAATGATTCTCAGAAACTCCTTTGTGATGTGGGCGTTCAACTCACAGAGTTTAACCTTCCTTTTCATAGAGCAGTTAGGAAACACTCTGTTTGTAATGTCTACACGTGGATATTTGGATTTCTTTGAGGCCTTCGTTGGAAACGGGATTTTTTCATGTAAGGCTAGACGGAAGAATTCTCAGTAACTTCCTTGTGTTGTGTGTATTCAACTGACAGAGTTGAACTTTCATTTAGAGAGAGTAGATTTGAAACACTGTTTTTGTGGAATTTGCAAGTGGAGATTTCAAGCGCTTTGGGGCCAAAGGCAGAAAAGGAAATATCTTCGTATAAAAACTAGACAGAATCATTCTCAGAAACCGCTCTGTGATGTGTGCGTTCAACTCTCAGAGTTTAACTTTTCTTTCCATTCAGCAGTTTGGAAACACTCTGTTTGTAAAGTCTGCACGTGGATATTTTGACCACTTAGAGGTCTTCGTTGGAAACGGGTTTTTTTCATGTAAGGCTAGACAGAAGAATTCCCAGTAACTTCCCTTGTGTTGTGTGCATTCAACTCACAGAGATGAACGTTCCCTTAGACAGAGCAGATTTGAAACACTCTATTTGTGCAATTTGCAAGTGTAGATTTCAAGCGCTTTAAGGTCAATGGCAGAAAAGGAAATATCTTCGTTTCAAAACTAGACAGAATCATTCCCACAAACTGCGTTGTGATGTGTTCGTTCAACTCACAGAGTTTAAACTTTCTGTTCATAGAGCAGTTAGGAAACACTCTGTTTGTAAAGTCTGTAAGTGGATATTCCGACATCTTTTGGCCTTCTTTGGAAACGGGATTTCTTCATATTCTGCTAGACAGAAGAATTCTCAGTAACTTCCTTGTGTTGTGTTTATTCAACTCACAGAGTTGAATGATCCTTTACACAGAGCAGACTTGAAACACTCTTTTTGTGGAATTTGCAAGTGGAGATTTCAGCCGCTTTGTGGTCAATGGTAGAAAAGGAAATATCTTCCTATAAAGACTAGACAGAATGATTCTCAGAAACTCCTTTGTGATGTGTTCGTTCAACTCACAGAGTTTAACCTTTCTTTTCATAGAGGAGTTAGGAAACACTCTGTTTGTAAAGTCTGCAAGTGGATATTCAGACCTCTTTGAGGCCTTCGTTGGAAACGGGTTTTTTTCATATAAGGCTAGACAGAAGAATTCTCAGTAACTTCCCTTGTGTTGTGTGTATTCAACTGACAGAGTTGAACTTTCATTTAGAGAGAGCAGATTTGAAACTCTGTTTTTGTGGAATTTGCAAGTGGAGATTTCAAGCGCTTTGGGGCCAAAGGCAGAAAAGGAAATATCTTCGTATAAAAACTAGACAGAATCATTCTCAGAAACTGCTCTGCGATGTGTGCGTTCAACTCTCAGAGTTTAACTTTTCTTTTCATTCAGCAGTTTGGAAACACTCTGTTTGTAAAGTCTGCACGTGGATAATTTGACCACTTAGAGGCCTTCGTTGGAAACGGGTTTTTTTCATGTAAGGCTATACAGAAGAATTATAAGTAACTTCCTTGTGTTGTGTGTATTCAACTCACAGAGTTGAACGATCCTTTACACAGAGCAGACTTGAAACACTCTTTTTGTGGAATTTGCAAGTGGAGATTTCAGCCGCTGTGAGGTCAATGGTAGAATAGGACATATCTTCCTATAGAAACTAGACAGAATGATTCTCAGAAACTCCTTTGTGATGTGTGCGTTCAACTCACACAGTTTAACCTTTCTTTTCATAGAGCAGTTAGGAAACACTCTGTTTGTAAAGTCTGCAAGTGGATATACAGACCTCCTTGAGGCATTCGTTGGAAACGGGATTTCTTCATATTATGCTAGACAGAAGAATTCTCAGTAACTTCCTTGTGTTGTGTGTATTCAACTGACAGAGTTGAACTTTCATTTAGAGAGAGCAGATTTGAAACACTGTTTTTGTGGAATTTGCAAGTGGAGATTTCAAGCGCTTTGGGGCCAAAGGCAGAAAAGGAAATATCATCGTATAAAAACTAGACAGAATCATTCTCAGAAACTGCTGAGTGATGTGTGCGTTCAACTCTCAGAGTTTAACTTTTCTTTTCATTCAGCGGTTTGGAAACACTCTGTTTGTAAAGTCTGCACGTGGATATTTTGACCACTTAGAGGCCTTCGTTGGAAACGGGTTTTTTTCATGTAAGGCTAGACAGAAGAATTCCCAGTAACTTCCTTGTGTTGTGTACATTCAACTCACAGAGTTGAACGTTCCCTTAGACAGAGCAGATTTGAAACAGTCTTTTTGTGCAATTGGCAAGTGGTGATTTCAGCCGCTTTGTGGTCAATGGTATAAAAGGAAATATCTTCGTATAAAAACTAGACAGAATCATTCCCACAAACTGCGTTGGGATGTGTTCGTTCAACTCACAGAGTTTAACCTTTCTGTTCATAGAGCAGTTAGGAAACACTCTGTTTGTAAAGTCTGTAAGTGGATATTCTGACATCTTGTGGCCTTCGTTGGAAACGGGATTTCTTCATATTCTGCTAGACAGAAGAATTCTCAGTAACTTCCTTGTGTTGTGTGTATTCAACTCACAGAGTTGAACGATCCTTTACACAGAGCAGACTTGAAACACTCTTTTTGTGGAATTTGCAAGTGGAGATTTCAGCCGCGTTGAGGTCAATGGTAGAAAAGGAAATAACTTCGTATAAAAACTAGACAGAATGATTCTCAGAAACTCCTTTGTGATGTGTGCGTTCAACTCACAGAGTTTAACTTTTCTTTTCATAGAGCAGTTAGGAAACACTCTGTTTGTAAAGTCTGCAAGTGGATATTCAGACCTCCTTGAGGCCTTCGTTGGAAACAGGATTTCTTCATATTCTGCTAGACAGAAGAATTCTCAGTAACTTCCTTGTGTTGTGTGTATTCAACTGACAGAGTTGAACTTTCATTTAGAGAGAGCAGATTTGAAACACTGTTTTTGTGGAATTTGCAAGTGGAGATTTCAAGCGCTTTGGGGCCAAGGACAGAAAAGGAAATATCTTCGTATAAAAACTAGACAGAATCATTCTCAGAAACTGCTGCGTGATGTGTGCGTTCAACTCTCAGAGTTTAACTTTTCTTTTCATTCAGCGGTTTGGAAACACTCTGTTTGTAAAGTCTGCACGTGGATATTTTGACCACTTAGTGGCCTTCGTTGGAAACGGGTTTTTTTTCATGTAAGGCTAGACAGAAGAATTCCCAGTAACTTCCTTGTGTTGTGTACATTCAACTCACAGAGTTGAACGTTCCCTTAGACAGAGCAGATTTGAAACACTCTTTTTGAGAAATTGGCAAGTGGAGATTTCAAGCGCTTTAAGGTCAATGGCAGAAAAGGAAATATCTTCGTTTCAAAACTAGACAGAATCATTCCCACAAACTGCGTTGTGATGTGTTCGTTCAACTCACAGAGTTTAACCGTTCTTTTCATAGAGCAGTTAGGAAACACTCTGTTTGTAAATTCTGTAAGTGGATATTCTGACATCTTGTGGCCTTCGTTGGAAACGGGATTTCTTCATGTTCTGCTAGACAGAAGAATTCTCAGTAACTTCCTTTTATTGTGTGTATTCAACTCACAGAGTTGAACGATCCTTTACACAGAGCAGACTTGAAACACTCTTTTTGTGGAATTTGCAAGTGGAGATTTCAGCCGCTTTGAGGTCAATGGTAGAAAAGGAAATATCTTCGTATAAAAATTAGACAGAATGATTCTCAGAAACTCCTTTGTGATGTGTGCGTTCAACTCACAGAGTTTAACCTTTCTTTTCATAGAGCAGTTAGGAAACACTCTGTTTGTAAAGTCTGCAAGTGGATATTCAGACCTCTTTGAGGCCTTCGTTGGAAACGGGTTTTTTTCATATAAGGGTAGACAAAAGAATTACCACTAACATCCTTGTGTTGTGTGTGTTCAACTCACAGAGTTGAACTTTCATTTACACAGAGCAGATTTGAAAGACTCTTTTTGTGGAATTTGCAAATGGAGATTTCAAGCGCTTTGAGGCCAAAGACAGAAAAGGAAATATCTTCGTTTCAAAACTAGACAGAATCATTCTCAGAAACTGCTCTGCGATGTGTGCGTTCAACTCTCAGAGTTTAACTTTTCTTTTCATTCAGCAGTTTGGAAACACTCTGTTTGTAAAGTCTGCACGTGGATAACTTGACCACTTAGAGGCCTTCGTTGGAAACGGGTTTTATTCACGTAAGGCTAGACAGAAGATTTCCCAGTAAATTCCTTGTGTTGTGTACATTCAACTCACAGAGTTGAACGTTCCCTTAGACAGAGCAGATTTGAAACACTCTTTTTGTGCAATTGGGAAGTGGAGATTTCAAGCGCTTTAAGGTCAATGGCAGAAAAGGAAATATCTTCGTTTCAAAACTACACAGAATCATTCCCACAAACTGCGTTGTGATGTGTTCGTTCATCTCACAGAGTTTAACCTTTCTTTTCATAGAGCAGTTAGGAAACAGTCTGTTTGTAAATTCTGTAAGTGGATATCCTGACATCTTGTGGCCTTCGTTGGAAACGGGATTTCTTCATATTCTGCTAGACAGAAGAATTCTCAGAAACTTCCTTGTGTTGTGTGTATTCAACTCACAGAGTTGAACGATAGTTTACACAGAGCAGACTTGAAACACTCTTTTTGTGGAATTTGCAAGTGGAGATTTCAGCCGCTTTGAGGTCAATGTTAGAAAAGGAAATATCTTCGTATAAAAACTAGACAGAATGATTCTCAGAAACTTCTTTGTGATGTGTGCGTTCAACTCACAGAGTTTAACCTTTCTGTTCATAGAGCAGTTAGGAAACACTCTGTTTGTAAACTCTGCAAGTGGATATTCAGACCTCCTTTGAGGCCTTCGTTGGAAACGGGATTTCTCCATACTGTGCTAGACAGAAGAATTCCCAGTAACTTCCTTCTGTTGTGTGTGTTCAACTCACAGAGTTGAACTTTCATTTACACAGAGCAGATTTGAAACACTCTTTTTGTGGAATTTGCAAATGGAGATTTCAAGCGCTTTGAGGCCAAAGGCAGAAAAGGAAATATCTTCGTTTCAAAACTAGACAGAATCATTCTCAGAAACTGCTCTGCGATGTGTGCGTTCAACTCTCAGAGTTTAACTTTTCTTTTCATTCAGCAGTTTGGAAACACTCTGTTTGTAAAGTCTGCACGTGGATAATTTGACCACTTAGAGGCCTTCGTTGGAAACGGGGTTTTTTCATGTAAGGCTAGACAGAAGAATTCTCAGTAACTTCCTTGTGTTGTGTGTACTCAACTCACAGAGTTGAACGATCCTTTACACAGAGAGGACTTGAAACACTCTTTTTGTGGAATTTGCAAGTGGAGATTTCAGCCGCGTTGAGGTCAATGGTAGAAAAGGAAATATCTTCGTATAAAAACTAGACACAATGATTCTCAGAAACGCCTTTGTGATGTGTGTGTTCAACTCACAGAGTTTAACCTTTCTTTTCATAGAGCAGTTAGGAAACACTCTGTTGGTAAAGTCTGCAAGTGGATATTCAGACCTCTTTGAGGCCTTCGTTGGAAACGGGTTTTTTTCATATAAGGCTAGACAGAAGAATTCTCAGTAACTTTCCTTGTGTTGTGTGTATTCAACTGACAGAGTTGAACTTTCATTTAGAGAGAGCAGATTTGAAACACTGTTTTTGTGGAATTTGCAAGTGGAGATTTCAGCCGCTTTGAGGTCAATAGTAGAAAAGGAAATATCTTCGTAGAAAAACTAGACAGAATGATTCTCAGAAACTTCTTTGTGATGTGTGCGTTCAACTCACAGAGTTTAACCTTTCTTTTCATAGAGCAGTTAGGAAACACTCTGTTTGTAAACTCTGCAAGTGGATATTCAGACCTCTTTGAGGCCTTCGTTGGAAACAGGATTTCTTCATACTATGCTAGACAGAAGAATTCTCAGTAACTTCCTTGTGTTGTGTGTATTAAACTCACAGAGTTGAACGATCCTTTACACAGAGCAGACTTGAAACACTCTTTTTTTGGAATTTGCAAGTGGAGATTTCAGCCGCTTTGAGGTCAATGGTAGAATAGGAAATATCTTCCTATAGAAACTAGACAGAATGATTCTCAGAAACTTCTTTGTGATGTGTGCGTTCAACTCACAGAGTTTAACCTTTCTTTACATAGAGCAGTTAGGAAACACTCTGTTTGTAAACTCTGCAATTGGATATTCAGACCTCTTTGAGGCCTTCGTTGGAAACGGGATTTCTTCATACTATGTTAGACAGAAGAATTCCCAGTAACTTTCCTTGTGTTGTGTGTATTCAACTCACAGAGTTGAACTTTCATTTACACAGAGCAGATTGGAAACACTCTTTTTGTGGAATTTGCAAGTGGAGATTTCAAGCGCTTTGAGGCCAAATGCAGAAAAGGAAATATCTTCGTATAAAAACTAGACAGAATCATTCTCAGAAACTGCTCTGCGATGTGTGCGTTCAACTCTCAGAGTTTAACTTTTCTTTTCATTCAGCAGTTTGGAAACACTCTGTTTGTAACGTCTGCACGTGGATATTTTGACCACTTAGAGGCCTTCGTTGGAAACGGGTTTTTTTCATATAAGGCTAGACAGAAGAATTCCCAGTAACTTCCTTGTGTTGTGTACATTCAATTCACAGATTTGAAGGTTCCCTTAGACACAGCAGATTTGAAACACTCTTTTTGTGCAATTGGCAAGTGGAGATTTCAAGCGCTTTAAGGTCAATGGCAGAAAAGGGAATATCGTCGTTTCAAAACTAGACAGAATCATTCCCACAAACTGCGTTGTGATGTGTTCGTTCAACTCACAGAGTTTAACCTTTCTCTTCATAGAGCAGTTAGGAAACACTCTGTAAAGTCTGTAAGTGGATATTCTGACATCTTGTGGCCTTCGTTGGAAACGGGATTTCTTCATATTCTGCTAGACAGAAGAATTCCCAGTAACTTCCTTGTGTTGTGTGTATTCAACTCACAGAGTTGAACGATCCTTTACACAGAGCAGACTTGTAACACTCTTTTTCTGGAATTTGCAAGTGGAGATTTCAGCCGCTTTGAAGTCAAAGGTAGAAAAGGAAATATCTTCCTATAAAAACTAGACAGAATGATTCTCAGAAACTCCTTTGTGATGTGTGTGTTCAACTCACAGAGTTTAACCTTTCTTTTCATAGAGCAGTTAGGAAACACTCTGTTTGTAAAGTCTGCAAGTGGATATTCAGACCTCTTTGAGACCTTCGTTGGAAACGGGATTTTTTCATATAAGGCTAGACAGAAGAATTCCCAGTAACTTCCTTGTGTTGTGTGTGTTCAACTCACAGAGTTGAACTTTCATTTACACAGAGCAGATTTGAAACACTCTTTTTGTGGAATTTGCAAATGGAGATTTCAAGCGCATTGAGGCCAAAGGCAGAAAAGGAAATATCTTCGTATAAAAACTAGACAGAATCATTCTCAGAAACTGCTGCGTGATGCGTGCGTTCAACTCTCAAAGTTTAACTTTTCTTTTCATTCAGCGGTTTGGAAACACTCTGTTTGTAAAGTCTGCACGTGGATATTTTGACCACTTAGAGGCCTTCGTTGGAAACGGGTTTTTTTCATGTAAGGCTAGACAGAAGAATTCCCAGTAACTTCCTTGTGTTGTGTACATTCAACTCACAGAGTTGAACGTTCCCTTAGACAGAGCAGATTTGAAACACTCTTTTTGTGCAATTGGCAAGTGGTGATTTCAGCCTCTTTGAGGTCAATGGTAGAAAAGGAAATATCTTCGTATAAAAACTAGACAGAATCATTCCCACAAACTGCGTTGTTATGTGTTCGTTCAACTCACAGAGTTTAACCTTTCTTTTCATAGAGCAGTTAGGAAACAGTCTGTTTGTAAATTCTGTAAGTGGATATTCTGACATCTTGTGGCCTTCGTTGGAAACGGGATTTCTTCATATTCTGCTAGACAGAATAATTCTCAGTAACTTCCTTGTGTTGTGTGTATTCAACTCACAGAGTTGAACGATGCTTTACACAGAGCAGACTTGAAACATTCTTTTTGTGGAATTTGCAACTGGAGATTTCAGCCGCTTTGAGGTCAATGGTAGAATAGGAAACATCTTCCTATAGAAACTAGACAGAATGATTCTCAGAAACTCCTTTGTGATGTGTGTGTTCAACTCACAGAGTTTAACCTTTCTTTTCATAGAGCAGTTAGGAAACACTCTGTTTGTAAAGTCTGCAAGTGGATATTCAGACCTCTTTGAGGCCTTCGTTGGAAACGGGTTTTTTCATATAAGGCTAGACAGAAGAATTCCCAGTAACTTCCTTGTGTTGTGTGTGTTCAACTCACAGAGTTGAACTTTCATTTACACAGAGCAGATTTGAAACACTCTTTTTGTGGAATTTGCAGGTGGAGATTTCAAGCGCTTTGAGGCCAAAGGCAGAAAAGGAAATATCTTCATATAAAAACTAGACAGAATCATTCTCAGAAACTGCTCTGCGATGTGTGCGTTCAACTCTCAGAGTTTAACTTTTCTTTTCATTCAGCAGTTTGGAAACAATCTGTTTGTAAAGTCTGCACGTGGATAACTTGACCACTTAGAGGACTTCGTTGGAAACGGGTTTTTTTCCTGTAAGGCTAGACAGAAGAATTCCCAGTAACTTCCTTGTGTTGTGTACATTCAACTCACAGAGTTGAACGTTCCCTTAGACAGAGCAGATTTGAAACACTCTTTTTGTGCAATTGGCAAATGGAGATTTCAAGCGCTTTAAGGTCAATGGCAGAAAAGGAAATATTCTTCGTTTCAAAACTAGACAGAATCATTCCCACAAACTGCGTTGTGATGTGTTCGTTCAACTCACAGAGTTTAACCTTTCTGTTCATAGAGCAGTTAGGAAACACACTGTTTGTAAAGTCTGTAAGTGGATATTCTGACATCTTGTGGCCTTCGTTGGAAACGGGATTTCTTCATATTCTGCTAGACAGAAAGAATTCTCAGTAACTTCCTTGTGTTGTGTGTATTCAACTCACAGAGTTGAACGATCCTTTACACAGAGCAGACTTGAAACACTCTTTTTGTGGAATTTGCAAGTGGAGATTTCAGCCGCTTTGAGGTCAATGGTAGAATAGGAAATATCTTCCTATAGAAACTAGACAGATGATTCTCAGAAACTCCTTTGTGATGTGTGCGTTCAACTCACAGAGTTTAACCTTTCTTTTCATAGAGCAGTTAGGAAACACTCTGTTTGTAAAGTCTGCAGGTGGATATTCAGACATCCTTGAGGCTTTCGTTGGAAACGGGATTTCTTCATATTCTGCTAGAAAGAAGAATTCTCAGTAACTTCATTGTGTTGTGTGTATTCAACTCACAGAGTTCAACGATCCTTTACACAGAGCAGACTTGAAACACTCTTTTTGTGGAATTTGCAAGTGGAGATTTCAGCCGCTTTGAGGTCAATGGTAGAAAAGGAAATATCTTCCTATAAAAACTAGACAGAATGATTCTCAGAAACTCCTATGTGATGTGTTCGTTCAGCTCACAGAGTTTAACCTTTCTTTTCATAGAGCAGTTAGGAAACACTCTGTTTGTAAAGTCTGCAAGTGGATATTTAGACCTCTTTGAGGCCTTCGTTCGAAACGGGATTTCTTCATATTCTGCTAGAGAGAAGAATTCTCAGTAACTTCCCTTGTGTTGTGTGTATTCAACTCACAGAGTTGAACGATCCTTTACACAGAGCAGACTTGAAACACTCTTTTTGCGGAATTTGTAAGTGGAGATTTCAGCCGCTTTGAGGTCAATGGTAGAAAAGGAATTATCTTCGTATAAAAACTAGACAGAATGATTCTCAGAAACTCCTTTGTGATGTGTGCGTTCAACTCACAGAGTTTAACCTTTCTTTTCATAGAGCAGTTAGGAAACACTCTGTTTGTACAGTCTGCAAGTGGATATTCAGACATCCTTGAGGCTTTCGTTGGAAACGGGATTTCTTCATATTCTGCTAGAAAGAAGAATTCTCAGTAACTTCCTTGTGTTGTGTGTATTCAACTGACAGAGTTGAACTTTCATTTAGAGAGAGCAGATTTGAAACACTGTTTTTGTGGAATTTGCAAGTGGAGATTTCAAGCGCTTTGGGGCCAAAGGCAGAAAAGGAAATATCTTCGTATAAAGACTAGACAGAATGATTCTCAGAAACTTCATTGTGATGTGTGCGTTCAACTCACAGAGTTTAACCGTTCTTTTCATAGAGCAGTTAGGAAACACTCTGTTTGTAAACTCTGCAAGTGGATATTCAGACCTCTTTGAGGCCTTCGTTGGAAACGGTATTTCTTCATACTGTGCTAGACAGAAGAATACTCAGTAACTTCCTTGTGTTGTGTGTATTCAACTCACAGAGTTGAACGATGGTTTACACAGAGCAGATTTGAAACACTCTTTTTGTGGAATTAGCAATTGGAGATTTCAGCCGCTTTGAGGTCAATGGTAGAAAAGGAAATATCTTCGTATAAAAACTAGACAGAATGATTCTCAGAAACTCCTTTGTGATGTGTGCGTTCAACTCACAGAGTTTAACCTTTCTTTTCATAGAGCAGTTAGGAAACACTCTGTTTGTAAAGTCTGCAAGTGGATATTCAGACCTCTTTGAGGCCTTCGTTGGAAACGGGTTTTTTTCATATAAGTCTAGACAGAAGAATTCCCAGTAACTTCCTTGTGTTGTGTGTGTTCAAATCACAGAGTTGAACTTTCATTTACACAGAGCAGATTTGAAACACTCTTTTTGTGGAATTTGCAAGTGGAGATTTCAAGCGCTTTGGGGCCAAAGGCAGAAAAGGAAATATCTTCGTTTCAAAACTAGACAGAATCATTCTCAGAAACTGCTGCGTGATGTGTGCGTTCAACTCTCAGAGTTTAACTTTTCTTTTCATTCAGCGGTTTGGAAACACTCTGTTTGTAAAGTCTGCACGTGGAAATTTTGACCACTCAGAGGCCTTCGTTGGAAACGGGTTTTTTTCATGTAAGGCTAGACAGAAGAATTCCAAGTAACTTCCTTGTGTTGTGTGCATTCAACTCACAGAGTTGAACGTTCCCTTAGACAGAGCAGATTTGAAACACTCTATTTGTGCAATTTGCAAGTGTAGATTTCAAGCGCTTTAAGGTCAATGGCAGAAAAGGAAATATCTTCGTTTCAAAACTAGACAGAATCATTCCCACAAACTGCGTTGTGATGTGTTCGTTCAACTCACAGAGTTTAACCTTTCTGTTCATAGAGCAGTTAGGAAACACTCTGTTTGTAAAGTCTGAAAGTGCATATTCTGACATCTTGTGGCCTTCGTTGGAAACGGGATTTCTTCATATTCTGCTAGATAGAAGAATTCTCAGTAACTTCCTTGTGTTGTGTGTATTCAACTCACAGAGTTGAACGATCCCTTTACACAGAGCAGACTTGAAACACTCTTTTTGTGGAATTTGCAAGTGGAGATTTCAGCCGCTTTGAGGTCAATAGTCGAAAAGGAAATATCTTCGTAGAAAAACTAGACAGAACGATTCTCAGAAACTCCTTTGTGATGTGTGCGTTCAACTCACAGAGTTTAACCTTTCTTTTCATAGAGCAGTTAGGAAACACTCTGTTTGTAAAGTCTGCAAGTGGATATTCAGACCTCTTTGAGGCCTTCATTGGAAACGGGATTTCTTCATATTCTGCTAGACAGAAGAATTCCCAGTAACTTCCTTGTGTTGTGTGTGTTCAACTCACAGAGTTGAACTTTGATTTACACAGAGCAGATTTGAAACACTCTTTTTGTGGAATTTGCAAGTGGAGATTTCAAGCGCTGTGAGGCCAAAGGCAGAAAAGGAAATATCTTCGTATAAAAACTAGACAGAATCATTCTCAGAAACTGCTCTGCGATGTGTGCGTTGAACTCTCAGAGTTTAACTTTTCTTTTCATTCAGCAGTTTGGAAACACTCTGTTTGTAAAGTCTGCACGTGGATATTTTCACCACTTAGAGGCCTTCGTTGGAAACGGGTTTTTTTCCTGTAAGGCTAGACAGAAGAATTCCCAGTAACTTCCTTGTGTTGTGTGCATTCAACTCACAGAGTTGAACGTTCCCTTAGACAGAGCAGATTTGAAACACTCTCTTTGTGCAATTTGCAAGTGTAGATTTCAAGCGCTTTAAGGTCAACGGCAGAAAAGGAAATATCTTCGTTTCAAAACTAGACAGAATCATTCCCACAAACTTCGTTGTGATGTGTTCGTTCAACTCACAGAGTTTAACCTTCCTGTTCATAGAGCAGTTAGGAAACACTCTGTTTGTAAAGTCTGTAAGTGGATATTCTGACATCTTGTGGCCTTCGTTGGAAACGGGATTTCTTCATATTCTGCTAGACAGAAGAATTCTCAGTAACTTCCTTGTGTTGTGTGTATTCAACTCACAGAGTTGAACGATCCTTTACACAGAGCAGACTTGAAACACTCTTTTTGTGGAATTTGCAAGTGGAGATTTCAGCCGCGTTGAGGTCAATGGTAGAAAAGGAAATATCTTCATATAAAAACTAGACAGAATGATTCTCAGAAACTCCTTTGTGATGTGTGTGTTCAACTCACACAGTTTAACCTTTCTTTTCATAGAGCAGTTAGTAAACACTCTGTTTATAAAGTCTGCAAGTGGATATTCAGACCCCTTTGAGGCCTTCGTTGGAAACGGGATTTCTTCATATTATGCTAGACAGAAGAATTCCCAGTAACTTCCTTGTGTTGTGTGTGTTCAACTCACAGAGTTGAACTTTCATTTACCCAGAGCAGATTTGAAACACTCTTTTTGTGGAATTTGCAAGTGGAGATTTCAAGCGCTTTGAGGCCAAAGGCAGAAAAGGTAATATCTTCGTATAAAAACTAGACAGAACGATTCTCAGAAACTCCTTTGTGATGTGTGCGTTCAACTCACAGAGTTTAACTTTTCTTTTCATAGAGCCATTAGGAAACACTCTGTTTGTAAAGTCTGCAAGTGGATACTCAGACCTCTTTGAGGCCTTCGTTGGAAACGGGTTTTTTTCATGTAAGGCTAGACAGAAGAATTCCCAGTAACTTCCTTGTGTTGTGTGCATTCAACTCACAGAGTTGAACGTTCCCTTAGACAGAGCAGATTTGAAACACTCTATTTGTGCAATTTGCAAGTATAGATTTCAAGCGCTTTCAGGTCAACGGCAGAAAAGGAAATATCTTCGTTTCAAAACTAGACAGAATCATTCCCAAAAACTGCGTTGTGATGTGTTCGTTCATCTCACAGAGTTTAACCTTTCTTTTCATAGAGCAGTTAGGAAACAGTCTGTTTGTAAATTCTGTAAGTGGATATTCTGACATCTTGTGGCCTTCGATGGAAACGGGATTTCTTCATATTCTGCTAGACAGAAGAATTCTCAGTAACTTCCTTGTGTTGTGTGTATTCAACTCACAGAGTTGAACGATCCTTTACACAGAGCAGACTTGAAACATTCTTTTTGTGGAATTTGGAAGTGGAGATTTCAGCCGCTTTGAGGTCAATGGTAGAATAGGGAATATCTTCCTATAGAAACTAGACAGAATGATTCCCACAAAATCCTTTGTGATGTGTGTGTTCAACTCACAGAGTTTAACCTTTCTTTTCATAGAGCAGTTAGTAAACACTCTGTTTATAAAGTCTGCAAGTGGATATTCAGACCCCTTTGAGGCCTTCGTTGGAAACGGGATTTCTTCATATTATGCTAGACAGAAGAATTCTCAGTAACTTCCTTGTGTTGTGTGTATTCAACTGACAGAGTTGAACTTTCATTTAGAGAGAGCAGATTTGAAACACTGTTTTTGTGGAATTTGCAAGTGGAGATTTCAAGCGCTTTGGGGTCAAAGGCAGACAACGAAATATCTTCGTATAAAAACTAGACAGAATCATGCTCAGAAACTGCTCTGCGATGTGTGCCTTCAGCTCTCAGAGTTTAACTTTTCTTTTCATTCAGCAGTTTGGAAACACTCTGTTTGTAAAGCCTGCACGTGGATATTTTGACCACTTAGAGGTCTTCGTTGGAAACGGGTTTTTGTCATGTAAGGCTAGACAGAAGAATTACCAGTAACTTCCTTGTGTTGTGTGCATTCAACTCACAGAGATGAACGTTCCCTTAGACAGAGCAGATTTGAAACACTCTATTTGTGCAATTTGCAAGTGTAGATTTCAAGCGCTTAAAGGTCAATGGTAGAAAAGGAAATATCTTCGTTTCAAAACTAGACAGAATCATTCCCACAAACTGCGTTGTGATGTGTTCGTTCAACTCACAGAGTTTAACCTTTCTGTTCATAGAGCAGTTAGGAAACACTCTGTTTGTAAAGTCTGTAAGTGGATATTCTGACATCTTGTGGCCTTCGTTGGAAACGGGATTTCTTCGTATTGTGCTAGACAGAAGAATTCTCAGTAACTTCCTTGTGTTGTGTGTATTCAACTCACAGAGTTGAACGATCCTTTACACAGAGCGGACTTGTAACATTCTTTTTGTGGAATTTGCAAGTGGAGATTTCAGCCGCTTTGAAGTCAAAGGTAGAAAAGGAAATATCTTCCTATAAAAACTAGACAGAATGATTCTCAGAAACTCCTTTGTGATGTGTGCATTCAACTCACAGAGTTTAACCTTTCTTTTCATAGAACAGTTAGGAAACACTCTGTTTGTAAAGTCTTCAGGTGGATATTCAGACCTCTTAGAGGCCTTCGTTGGAAACAGGATTTCTTCATATAATGCTAGACAGAAGAATTCTCAGTAACTTCATTGTATTGTGTGTATTCAACTCACAGATTTCAACGATCCTTTACACAGAGCAGACTTGAAACACTCTTTTTCTGGAATTTGCAAGTGGAGATTTCAGCCGCTTTGAGGTCAATGGTAGAATAGGAAATATCTTCCTATAGAAACTAGACAGAATGATTCTCAGAAACTCCTTTGTGATGTGTGCGTTCAACTCACAGAGTTTAACCTTTCTTTTCATAGAGCAGTTAGGAAACACTCTGTTTGTAGAGTCTGCAAGTTGATATTCAGACCTCCTTGAGGCCTTCGTTGGAAACGGGATTTCTTCATATTATGCTAGACAGAAGAATTCCCAGTAACTTCCTTGTGTTGTGTACATTCAACTCACAGAGTTGAACGTTCCCTTAGACAGAGCAGACTTGTAACACACTTTTTGTGGAATTTGCAAGTGGAGATTTCAGCCGCTTTGAAGTCAAAGGTAGAAAAGGAAATATCTTCCTATAAAAACTAGACAGAATGATTCTCAGAAACTCCTTTGTGATGTGTGCGTTCAACTCACAGAGTTTAACCTTTCTTTTCATAGAGGAGTTAGGAAACACTCTGTTTGTAAAGTCTGCAAGTGGATATTCAGACCTCCTTGAGGCCTTTGTTGGAAACGGGATTTCTTCATATCCTGCTAGACAGAAGAATTCTCAGTAACTTCCTTGTGTTGTGTGTATTCAACTCACAGAGTTGAACGATCCTTTACAGAGAGCAGACTTGAAACACTCTTTTTGTGGAATTTGCAAGTGGAGATTTCAGCCGCTTTGAGATCAATGGTAGAATAGGAAATATCTTCCTATAGAAACTAGACAGAATCATTCTCAAAAACTGCTGCGTGATGTTTGCGTTCAACTCTCAGAGTTTAACTTTTCTTTTCATTCAGCGGTTTGGAAACACTCTGTTTGTAAAGTCTGCACGTGGATATTTTGACCACTTAGAGGCCTTCGTTGGAAACGGGTTTTTTTCATGTAAGGCTAGACAGAAGAATTCCCAGTAACTTCCTTGTGTTGTGTGCATTCAACTCACAGAGTTGAACGTTTCCTTAGACAGAGCAGATTTGAAACACTCTATTTGTGCAATTTGCAAGTGTAGATTTCAAGCGCTTTAAGGTCAATGGCAGAAAAGGAAATATCTTCGTTTCAAAACTAGACAGAATCATTCCCAAAAACTGCGTTGTGATGTGTTCGTTCAACTCACAGAGTTTAACCTTTCTGTTCATAGAGCAGTTAGGAAACACTCTGTTTGTAAAGTCTGTAAGTAGATATTCTGACATCTTGTGGCCTTCGTTGGAAACGGGATTTCTTCATATTCTGCTAGACAGAAAGAATTCTCAGTAACTTCCTTGTGTTGTGTGTATTCAACTCACAGAGTTGAACGATCCTTTACACAGAGCAGACTTGAAACACTCTATTTGTGGAATTTGCAAGTGGAGATTTCAGCCGCTTTGAGGTCAATGATAGAAAAGGAAATATCTTCGTATAAAAACTAGACAGAATGATTCTCATAAACTCCTTTGTGAAGTGTGCGTTCAACTCACAGAGTTTAACCTTTCTTTTCATAGAGCAGTTAGGAAACACTCTGTTTGTTAAGTCTGTAAGTGGATATTCAGACCTCCTTGAGGCCTTCGTTGGAAACGGGATTTCTTCATATTATGCTAGACAGAAGAATTCTCAGAATCTTCCTTGTGTTGTGTGTATTCAACTCACAGAGTTGAACGATGGTTTACACAGAGCAGATTTGAAACACTCTTTTTGTGGAATTTGCAAGTGGAGATTTCAGCCGCTTTGAGGTCAATGGTAGAAAATGAAATATCCTTCGTATAAAAACTAGACAGAATGATTCTCAGAAAATCTTTTGTGATGTGTGCGTTCAACTCACAGAGTTTAACTTTTCTTCTCATAGAGCAGTTAGGAAACACTCTGTTTGTAAAGTCTGCAAGTGGATATTCAGACCTCCTTGAGGCCTTCGTTGGAAACGGGATTTCTTCATATTATGCTAAACAGAAGAATTCCCAGTAACTTCCTTGTGTTGTGTGTATTCAACTCACAGAGTTGAACTTTCATTTACACAGAGCAGATTGGAAACACTCTTTTTGTGGAATTTGCAAGTGGAGATTTCAAGCGCTTTGAGGCCAAAGGCAGAAAAGGAAATATCTTCGTATAAAAACTAGACAGAATCATTCTCAGAAACTGCTCTGCGATGTGTGCCTTCAGCGCTCAGAGTTTAACTTTTCTTTTCATTCAGCAGTTTGGAAACACTCTGTTTGTAAAGTCTGCACGTGGATATTTTGACCACTTAGAGGCCTTCGTTGCAAGCGGGTTTTTGTCATGTAAGGTTAGACAGAAGAATTCCCAGTAACTTCCTTGTGTTGTATACATTCAACTCACAGAGTTGAACGTTCCCTTAGACAGAGCAGATTTGAAACACTCTTTTTGTGCAATTGGCAAGTGGAGATTTCAAGCGCTTTGAGGTCAATGGCAGAAAAGGAAATATCTTCGTTTCAAAACTAGACAGAATGATTCTCAGAAACTCCTTTGTGATGTGTGCGTTCAACTCACAGAGTTTAACCTTTCTATTCATAGAGCAGTTAGGAAACACTCTGTTTGTAAAGTCTGCAAGTGGATATTCAGACATCCTTGAGGCTTTCGTTGGAAACGGGATTTCTTCATATTCTGCTAGAAAGAAGAATTCTCAGAAACTTCCTTGTGTTGTGTGTATTCAACTCACAGAGTTGAACGATCCTTTACACAGAGCAGACTTGAAACACTCTTTTTGTGGAATTTGCAAGTGGAGATTTCAGCCGCTTTGAGGTCAATGGTAGAAAAGGAAATATCTTCGTATAAAAACTAGACAGAATGATTCTCAGAAACTCCTTTGAGATGTGTGTGTTCAACTCACAGAGTTTAACCCTTCTTTTCATAGAGCAGTTAGGAAACACTCTGTTTGTAAAGTCTGCAAGTGGATATTCAGACCTCTTTGAGGCCTTCGTTGGAAACCGGATTTCTTCATACTGTGCTAGACAGAAGAATTCCCAGTAACTTCCTTGTGTTGTGTGTGTTCAACTCACAGAGTTGAACTTCCATTTACACAGAGCAGATTTGAAACACTCTTTTTGTGGAATTTGCAAGTGGAGATTTCAAGCACTTTGAGGCCAAAGGCAGAAAAGGAAATATCTTCGTTTCAAAACTAGACAGAATGATTCTCAGAAACTCCTTTGTGATGTGTGCGTTCAACTCACAGAGTTTAACCTTTCTTTTCATAGAGCAGTTAGGAAACACTCTGGTTGTAAAGTCTGCAAGTGGATATTTTGACCACTTAGAGGCCTTCGTTGGAAACGGGTTTTTTTTCATGTAAGACTAGACAGAAGAATTCTCAGAAACTTCCTTGTGTTGTGTGTTTTCAACTCACAGAGTTGAACGATGCTTTACACAGAGTAGACTTGAAACACTCTTTTTGTGGAATTTGCAAGTGGAGATTTCAGCCGCTTTGAGGTCAATGGTAGAAAAGGAAATATCTTTGTATAAAAACTAGACAGAATGATTCTCAGAAACTCCTTTGTGATGTGTGCGTTCAACTCACAGAGTTTAACCTTTCTTTTCATAGAGCAGTTAGGAAACACTCTGTTTGTAAAGTGTGCAAGTGGATATTCAGACCTCTTTGAGGCCTTCGTTGGAAACGGGATTTCTTCATATTCTGCTAGAGAGAAGAATTCTCAGTAACTTCCTTGTGATGTGTGTATTCAACTCACAGAGTTCAACGATCCTTTACACAGAGCAGACTTGAAACACTCTTTTTGTGGAATTTGCAAGTGGAGATTTCAGCCGCTTTGAGGTCAATGGTAGAATAGGAAATATCTTCCTATAGAAACTAGACAGAATGATTCTCAGAAACTCCTTTGTGATGTGTGTGTTCAACTCACAGAGTTTAACCTTTCTTTTCATAGAGCAGTTAGTAAACACTCTATTTATAAAGTCTGCAATTGGATATTCAGACCCCTTTGAGGCCTTCGTTGGAAACGGGATTTCTTCATATTATGTTAGACAGAAGAATTCCCAGTAACTTCCTTGTGTTGTGTGTGTTCAACTCACAGAGTTGAACTTTCATTTCCACAGAGCAGATTTGAAACACTCTTTTTGTGGAATTTGCAAATGGAGATTTCAAGCGCTTTGAGGCCAAAGGCAGAAAAGGATATATCTTCGTATAAAAACTAGACAGAATCATTCTCAGAAACTGCTCTGCGATGTGTGCGTTCAACTCTCAGAGTTTAACTTTTCTTTTCATTCAGCAGTTTCGAAACACTCTGTTTGTAAAGTCTGCACGTGGATAATTTGACCACTTAGAGGCCTTCGTTGGAAACGGGTTTTTTTCATGTAAGGATAGACAGAAGAATTCCCAGTAACTTCCTTGTGTTGTGTACATTCAACTCACAGAGTTGAACGTTCCCTTAGACAGAGCAGATTTGAAACACTCTTTTTGTGCAACTGGCAAGTGGAGATTTCAAGCGCTTTGAGGTCAATGGCAGAAAAGGAAATATCTTCGTTTCAAAACTAGACAGAATCATTCCCACAAACTGCGTTGTGATGTGTTCGTTCAACTCACAGACTTTAACCTTTCTTTTCATAGAGCAGTTAGGAAACAGTCTGTTTGTAAATTCTGTAAGTGGATATTCTGACATCTTGTGGCCTTCGTTGGAAACGGGATTTCTTCATATTCTGCTAGACAGAAGAATTCTCAGTAACTTCCTTGTGTTGTGTGTATTCAACTCACAGAGTTGAACGATCCCTTACACAGAGCAGACTTGAAACACTCTTTTTGTGGAATTTGCAAGTGGAGATTTCAGCCGCTTTGAGGTCAATGGTAGAAAAGGAAATATCTTCGTATAAAAACTAGACAGAATGATTCTCAGAAACTCCTTTGTGATGTGTGTGTTCAACTCACAGAATTTAACCTTTCTTTTCATAGAGCAGTTAGTAAACACTCTGTTTATAAAGTCTGCAAGTGGATATTCAGACCCCTTTGAGGCCTTCGTTGGAAACGGGATTTCTTCATATTATGCTAGACAGAAGAATTCTCAGTAACTTCCCTGTGTTGTGTGTATTCAACTCACAGAGTTGAACGATCCTTTACAGAGAGCAGACTTGAAACACTCTTTTTGTGGAATTTGCAAGTGGAGATTTCAGCCGCTTTGAGGTCAATGGTAGAATAGGAAATATCTTCCTATAGAAACTAGACAGAATGATTCTCAGAAACTCCTTTGTGATGTGTGCGTTCAACTCACAGAGTTTAACCTTTCTTTTCATAGAGCAGTTAGGACACACTCTGTTTGTAAAGTCTGCAAGTGGATATTCAGACCTCTTTGAGGCCTTCGTTGGAAACGGGATTTCTTCATATTATGCTAGACAGAAGAATTCTCAGTCACTTCCTTGTGTTGTGTGTATTCAACTGACAGAGTTGAACTTTCATTTAGAGAGAGCAGATTTGAAACACTGTTTTTGTGGAATTTGCAAGTGGAGATTTCAAGCGCTTTGGGGCCAAAGGCAGAAAAGGATATATCTTCGTATAAAAACTGGACAGAATCATTCTCAGAAACTGCTCTGCGATGTGTGCGTTCAACTCTCAGAGTTTAACTTTTCTTTTCATTCAGCAGTTTGGAAACACTCTGTTTGTAAAGTCTGCTCGTTGATAATTTGACCACTTAGAGGCCTTCGTTGGAAACGGGTTTTTTTCATATAAGGCTAGACAGAAGAATTCCCAGTAACTTCCTTGTGTTGTGTGCATTCAACTCACAGAGTTGAACGTTCCCTTAGACAGAGCAGATTTGAAACACTCTATTTGTGCAATTTGCAAGTGTAGATTTCAAGCGCTTTCAGGTCAATGGCAGAAAAGGAAATATCTTCGTTTCAAAACTAGACAGAATCATTCCCACAAACTGCGTTGTGATGTGTTCGTTCAACTCACAGAGTTTAACCTTTCTTTTCATAGAGCAGTTAGGAAACAGTCTGTTTGTCAATTCTGTAAGTGGATATTCTGACATCTTGTGGCCTTCGTTGGAAACGGGTTTTCTTCATATTCTGCTAGACAGAAGAATTCTCAGTAACTTCCTTGTGTTGTGTGTATTCAACTCACAGAGTTCAACGATGCTTTACACAGAGTAGATTGAAACACACTTTTTTTTGAATTTGCAAGTGGAGATTTCAGCCGCTTTGAGGTCAATGGTAGAATAGGAAATATCTTCCTATAGAAACTAGACAGAATGATTCTCAGAAACTTCTTTGTGATGTGTGCGCTCAACTCACAGAGTTTAACCTTTCTTTTCATAGAGCATTTAGGAAACACTCTGTTTGTAAAGTCTGCAAGTGGATATTCAGACCTCTTTGAGGCCTTCGTAGGAAACGGGATTTCTTCATATTATGCTAGACAGAAGAATTCCCAGTAACATCCTTGTGTTGTGTGTGTTCAACTCACAGAGTTGAACTTTCATTTACACAGATCAGATTTGAAAGACTCTTTTTGTGGAATTTGCAAATGGAGATTTCAAGCGCTTTGAGGCCAAAGGCAGAAAAGGAAATATCTTCGTATAAAAACTAGACAGAATCATTCTCAGAAACTGCTCTGCGATGTGTGCGTTCAACTGTCAGAGTTTAACTTTTCTTTTCATTCAGCAGTTTGGAAACACTCTGGTTGTAAAGTCTGCACGTGGATATTTTGACCACTTAGAGGCCTTCGTTGGAAACGGGTTTTTTTCCTGTAAGGCTAGACAGAAGATTTCCCAGTAATTTCCTTGTGTTGTGTGCTTCAACTCACAGAATTGAACGTTCCGTTAGACAGAGCAGATTTGAAACACTCTATTTGTGCAATTTGCAAGTGTAGATTTCAAGCGCTTTAAGGTCGTTGGCAGAAAAGGAAATATCTTCGTTTCAAAAGTAGACAGAATGATTCTCAGAAACTTCATTGTGATGTGTGTGTTCAACTCACAGAGTTTAACCTTTCTTTTCATAGAGCAGTTGGGAAACAGTCTGTTTGTAAATTCTGTAAGTGGATATTCTGACATCTTGTGGCCTTCGTTGGAAACGGGATTTCTTCATATTCTGCTAGACAGAAGAATTCTCAGTAACTTCCTTGTGTTGTGTGTATTCAACCCACAGAGTTGAACGATCCTTTACACAGAGCAGACTTGAAACACTCTTTTTCTGGAATTTGCAAGTGGAGATTTCAGCCGCTTTGAGGTCAATGGTAGAATAGGAAATATCTTCCTATAGAAACTAGACAGAATGATTCTCATAAACTACTTTGTGATGTGTGCGTTCAACTCACAGAGTTTAACCTTTCTTTTCATAGAGCAGTTAGGAAACACTCTGTTTGTAAAGTCTGCAAGTGGATATTCAGACCTCTTTGAGGCCTTCGTTGGAAACGGGATTTCTTCATATTCTGCTAGACAGAAGAATTCTCAGTAACTTCCTTGTGTTGTGTGTATTCAACTCACAGAGTTGAACGATCCTTTACACAGAGCATTCTTGAAACACTCTTTTTGTGGAATTTGCAAGTGGAGATTTCAGCCGCTTTGAGGTCAATAGTAGAAAAGGAAATATCTTCGTAGAAAAACTAGACAGAAATCATTCTCAGAAACTGCTGCGTGATGTGTGCGTTCAACTCTCAGAGTTTAACTTTTCTTTTCATTCAGCGGTTTGGAAACACTCTGTTTGTAAAGTCTGCAAGTGGATATTTTGACCACTTAGAGGCCTTCGTTGGAAACGGGTTTTTTTCATGTAAGGCTAGACAGAAGAATTCCCAGTAACTTCCTTGTGTTGTGTGCATTCAACTCACAGAGTTGAACGTTCCCTTAGACAGAGCAGATTTGAAACACTCTATTTGTGCAATTTGCAAGTGTAGATTTCAAGCGCTTTAAGGTCAATGGCAGAAAAGGAAATGTCTTCGTTTCAAAACTAGACAGAATGATTCTCAGAAACTTCATTGTGATGTGTGCGTTCAACTCACAGAGTTTAACCTTTCTTTTCATAGAGCAGTTAGGAAACACTCTGTTTGTAAACTCTGCAAGTGGATATTCAGACCTCTTTGCTGCCTTCGTTGGAAACGGGATTTCTTCATACTGTGCTAGACAGAAGAATTCTCAGTAACTTCCTTGTGTTGTGTGTATTTAACTCACAAAATTGAACGATCCTTTACACAGAGCGGACTTGAAACACTCTTTTTGTGTAATTTGCAAGTGGAGATTTCAGCCGCGTTGAGGTCAACGGTAGAAAAGGAAATATCTTCGTATAAAAACTAGACAGAATGATTCTCAGAAACTGCTTTGTGATGTGTGCGTTCAACTCACAGAGTTCAACCTTTCTTTTCATAGAGCAGTTGGGAAACACTCTGTTTTTAAGTCTGCAAGTGGATATTCAGACTTCTTTGAGGCCTTCGTTGGAAGCGGGATTTCTTCATGTTCTGCTAGACAGAGGAATTCCCAGTAACTTCCTTGTGCTGTGTGTGTTCAACTCACAGAGTTGAACTTTCATTTACACAGAGCAGATTTGAAACACTCTTTTTGTGGAATTTGCAAATGGAGATTTCAAGCGCTTTGAGGCCAAAGGCAGAAAAGGAAATATCTTCGTTTCAAAACTAGACAGAATCATTCTCAGAAACTGCTCTGCGATGTGTGCCTTCAACTCTCAGAGTTTAACTTTTCTTTTCATTCAGCAGTTTGGAAACACTCTGTTTGTAAAGTCTGCACGTGGATATTTTGACCACTTAGAGGCCTTCGTTGGAATCGGGTTTTTTTCCTCTAAGGCTAGACAGAAGAATTCTCAGAAACTTCCTTGTGTTGTGTGTATTCAACTCACAGAGTTGAACGATCGTTTACACAGAGCAGACTTGAGACACTCTTTTTGTGGAATTTGTAAGTGGAGATTTCAGCCGCTTTGAGGTCAATGGTAGAAATGGAAATATCTTCATATAAAAACTAGACAGAATCATTCCCACAAACTGCGTTGTGATGTGTTCGTTCAACTCACAGACTTTAACCTTTCTGTTCATAGAGCAGTTAGGAAACACTCTGTTTGTAAAGTCTGCAAGTGGATATTCAGACCTCCTTGAGGCCTTCGTTGGAAACGGGATTTCTTCATATTCTGCTAGACAGAAGAATTCCCAGTAACTTCCTTGTGTTGTGTGTGTTCAACTCACAGAGTTGAACTTTCATTTACACAGCGCAGATTTGAAACACTCTTTTTGTGGAATTTGCAAGTGGAGATTTCAAGCGCTTTGAGGCCAAAGGCAGAAAAGGAAATATCTTCGTATAAAAACTAGACAGAATCATTCTCAGAAACTGCTGCGTGATGTGTGCGTTCAACTCTCAGAGTTTAACTTTGCTTTTCATTCAGCGGTTTGGAAACACTCTGTTTGTAAAGTCTGCACGTGGATATTTTGACCACTTAGTGGCCTTCGTTGGAAACGGGTTTTTTTCATGTAAGGCTAGACAGAAGAATTCCCAGTAACTTCCTTGTGTTGTGTACATTCAACTCACAGAGTTGAACGTTCCCTTAGACAGAGCAGATTTGAAACACTCTTTTTGTGCAATTGGCAAGTGGAGATTTCAAGCGCTTTGAGGTCAATGGCAGAAAAGGAAATATCTTCGTTTCAAAACTAGACAGAATGATTCTCATAAACTCCTTTTTGATGTGTGCGTTCAACACACAGAGTTTAACCTTTCTGTTCATAGAGCAGTTCGGAAACACTCTGTTTGTAAAGTTTGTAAGTGGATATTCTGACATCTTGTGGCCTTCGTTGGAAACGGGATTTCTTCATATTCTGCTAGACAGAAGAATTCTCAGAAACTTCCTTGTGTTGTGTGTATTCAACTCACAGAGTTGAATGATCCTTTACACAGAGCAGACTTGAAACACTCTTTTTGTGGAATTTGCAAGTGGAGATTTCAGCCGCTTTGTGGTCAATGGTAGAAAAGGAAATATCTTCGTATAAAGACTAGACAGAATGATTCTGAGAAACTCCTTTGTGATGTGTGCGTTCAACTCACACAGTTTAACCTTTCTTTTCATAGAGCAGTTAGGAAACACTCTGTTTGTAAAGTCTGCAAGTGGATATTCAGACCTCCTTGAGGCTTTCGTTGGAAACGGGATTTCTTCATATTCTGCTAGAAAGAAGAATTCTCAGTAACTGCCTTGTGTTGTGTGTATTCAACTCACAGAGTTGAACGATCCTTTACACAGAGCAGACTTGAAATACTCTTTTTGTGGAATTTGCAAGTGGAGATTTCAGCCGCTTTGAGGTCAATGGTAGAATAGGAAATATCTTCCTATAGAAACTAGACAGAATGATTCTCAGAAACTCCTTTGTGATGTGTACGTTCAACTCACAGAGTTTAACCTTTCTTTTCATAGAGCAGTTAGGAAACACTCTGTTTGTAAAGTCTGCAAGTGGATATTCAGACATCTTTGAGGCTTTCTTTGGAAACGGGATTTCTTCATATTCTGCTATACAGAAGAATTCTCAGAAACTTCCTTGTGTTGTGTGTTTTCAACTCACAGAGTTCAACGATCCTTTACACAGAGTAGACTTGAAACACTGTTTTTGTGGAATTGGCAAGTGGAGATTTCAGCCGCTATGAGGTCAATGGTAGAAAAGGAAATATCTTCGTATAAAAACTAGACAGAATGATTCTCAGAAACTCCTTTGTGATGTGTGCGTTCAACTCACAGAGTTTAACCTTTCTTTTCATAGAGCAGTTGGGAAACACTCTTTTTGTAAAGTCTGCAAGTGGATATTCAGACATCCTTGAGGCTTTCCTTGGAAACGGGATTTCTTCATATTCTGCTAGAAAGAAGAATTCTCAGTAACTTCCTTGTGTTGTGTGTATTCAACTCACAGAGTTGAATGATCCTTTACAAAGAACAGTCTTGAAACACTCTTTTTGTGGAATTTGCAAGTGGAGATTTCAGCCGCTTTGAGGTCAATGGTAGAATAGGAAATATCTTCTTATAGAAACTAGACAGAATGATTCTCAGAAACTACTTTGTGATGTGTGTGTTCAACTCACAGAGTTTAACCTTTCTTTTCATAGAGCAGTTAGTAAACACTCTGTTTATAAAGTCTGCAAGTGGATATTCCGACCCCTTTGAGGCCTTCGTTGGAAACGGGATTTCTTCATATTATGCTAGACAGAAGAATTCTCAGTAACTTCCTTGTGTTGTGTGTATTCAAGTGACAGAGTTGAACTTTCATTTAGAGAGAGCAGATTTGAAACACTGTTTTTGTGGAATTTGCAAGTGGAGATTTCAAGCGCTTTGGGGCCAAAGGCAGAAAAGGAAATATCTTCGTATATAAACTAGACAGAATGATTCTCAGAAACTCCTTTGTGATGTGTGCATTCAACTCACAGAGTTTAACCATTCTTTTCATAGAGCAGTTAGGAAACACTCTGTTTGTAAAGACTGCAAGTGGATATTCAGACCTCCTTGAGGCCTTCGTTGGAAACGGGACTTCTTCATATTATGCTACACAGAAGAATTCTCAGTAACTTCCTTGTGTTGTGTGTATTCAACTCACAGAGTTGAACGATCCTTTACACAGAACATACTTGAAACACTCTTTTTGTGGAATTTGCAAGTGGAGATTTCAGCCGCTTTGAGGTCAATGGTAGAATAGGAAATATCTTCCTATAGAAACTAGACAGAATGATTCTCAGAAACTCCTTTGTGAAGTGTGCGTTCAACTCACAGAGTTTAACCTTTCTGTTCATAGAGCAGTTAGGAAACACTCTGTTTGTAAAGTCTGCAAGTGGATATTCAGACCTCCTTGAGGCCTTCGTTGGAAACGGGATTTCTTCATATTCTGCTAGACAGAAGAATTCTCAGTAACTTCCTTGTGTTGTGTGTATTCAACTGAGAGAGTTGAACTATCATTTAGAGACAGCAGATTTGAAACACTGTTTTTGTGGAATTTGCAAGTGGAGATTTCAAGCGCTTTGGGGCCAAAGGCAGAAAAGGAAATATCTTCGTATAAAAACTAGACAGAATGATTCTCAGAAACTCCTTTGTGATGTGTGCGTTCAACTCACAGAGTTTAACCTTTCTTTTCATAGAGCAGTTAGGAAACACTCTGTTTGTAAAGTCTGCACGTGGATATTTTGACCACTTAGAGGCCTTCGTTGGAAACGGGTTTTCTTCCTGTAAGGCTAGACAGAAGAATTCCCAGTAACTTCCTTGTGTTGTGTACATTCAACTCACAGAGTTGAACGTTCCCTTAGACAGAGCAGATTTGAAACACTCTTTTTGTGCAATTGGCAAATGGAGATTTCAAGCGCTTTAAGGTCAATGGCAGAAAAGGAAATATCTTCGTTTCAAAAATAGACAGAATCATTCCCACAAACTGCGTTGTGATGTGTTCGTTCAACTCACAGAGTTTAACCTTTCTGTTCATAGAGCAGTTAGGAAACACTCTGTTTGTAAAGTCTGTAACTGGATATTCTGACATTTTGTGGCCTTCGTTGGAAACGGGATTTCTTCATATTCTGCTAGACAGAAGAATTCTCAGTAACTGCCTTGTGTTGTGTGTATTCAACTCACAGAGTTGAACGATCCTTAACACAGAGCAGACTTGAAACACTCTTTTTGTGGAACTTGCAAGTGGAGATTTCAGCCGCTTTGAGGTCAATGGTAGAATAGGAAATATCTTCCTATAGAAACTAGACAGAATGATTCTCATAAACTCCTTTGTGATGTGTGCGTTCAACTCACAGAGTTTAACCTTTCTGTTCATAGAGCAGTTAGGAAACACTCTGTTTGTAAAGTCTGCAAGTGGATATTCAGAACTCCTTGAGGCCTTCGTTGGAAACGGGATTTCTTCATATTCTGCTAGACAGAAGAATTCTCAGTAACTTCCTTGTGTTGTGTGTATTCAACTCACAGAGTTGAACGATCCTTTACACAGAGCAGACTTGAAACACTCTTTTTGTGGAATTTGCAAGGGGAGATTTCAGCCGCTTTGAGTTCAATGGTAGAATAGGAAATATCTTCCTATAGAAACTAGACAGAATGATTCTCAGAAACTCCTTTGTGATGTGTGCCTTCAACTCACAGAGTTTAACCTTTCTTTTCATAGAGCAGTTAGGAAACACTCTGTTTGTAAAGTCTGCAAGTGGATATTCAGACCTCTTTGAGGCCTTCGTTGGAAACGGGATTTCTTCATACTATGCTAGACAGAAGAATTCTCAGTAACTTCCTTGTGTTGTGTGTATTCAACTCACAGAGTTGAACGATCCTTTACACAGAGCAGACTTGAAACACTCTTTTTGTGGAATTTGCAAGGGGGGATTTCTGCCGCTTTGAGGTCAATGGTAGAATAGGAAATATCTTCCTATAGAAACTAGACAGAACGATTCTCAGAAACTCCTTTGTGATGTGAGCGTTCAACTCACAGAGTTTAACCTTTCTTTTCATAGAGCAGTTAGGAAACACTCTGTTTGTAAAGTCTGCAAGTGGATATTCAGACCTCTTTGAGGCCTTCTTTGGAAACGGGATTTCTTCATATTCTGCTAGACAGAAGAATTCTCAGTAACTTCCTTGTGTTGTGTGTATTCAACTGACAGAGTTGAACTTTCATTTAGAGAGAGCAGATTTGAAACACTGTTTTTGTGGAATTTGCAAGTGGAGATTTCAAGCGCTTTGGGGCCAAAGGCAAAAAAGGAAATATCTTCGTATAAAAACTAGACAGAATCATTCTCAGAAACTGCTCTGCGATGTGTGCGTTCAACTCTCAGAGTTTAACTTTTCTTTTCATTCAGCAGTTTGGAAACACTCTGTTTGTAAAGTCTGCACGTGGATATTTTGACCACTTAGAGGTCTTCGTTGGAAACGGGTTTTTTTCCTGTAAGGCTTGACAGAAGAATTCCCAGTAACTTCCTTGTGTTGTGTGCATTCAACTCACAGAGTTGAAAGTTCCCTTAGACAGAGCAGATTTGAAACACTCTATTTGTGCAATTTGCAAGTGTAGATTTCAAGCGCTTTAAGGTCAATGGCAGAAAAGGAAATATCTTCGTTTCAAAGCTAGACAGAATCATTCCCACAAACTGCGTTGTGATGTGTGCGTTCAACTCAAAGAGTTTAACCTTTCTTTTCATAGAGCAGTTAGGAAACACTCTGTTTGTAAAGTCTTCAAGTGGATATTCAGACCTCCTTGAGGCCTTCGTTGGAAACGGGATTTCTTCATATTCTGCTAGACAGAAGAATTCTCAGTAACTTCCTTGTGTTGTGTGTATTCAACTCACAGAGTTGAACGATCCTTTACACAGAGCAGACTTGAAACACTCTTTTTCTGGAATTTGCAAGTGGAGATTTCAGCCGCTTTGAGGTCAATTGTAGAATAGGAAATATCTTCCTATAGAAACTAGACAGAATGATTCTCAGAAACACTTTTGTGATGTGTGCGTTCAACTCACAGAGTTTAACCTTTCTTTTCATAGAGCAGTTAGGAAACACTCTGTTTGTAAAGTCTGCAAGTGGATATTCAGACCTCTTTGAGGCCTTCGTTGGAAACGGGATTTCTTCATATTCTGCTAGACAGAAGGATTCCCAGTAACTTCCTTGTGTTGTGTGTGTTCAACTCACAGAGTTGAACTTTCATTTACAAAGAGCAGATTTGAAACACTCTTTTTGTGGAATTTGCAATTGGAGATTTCAAGCGCTTTGAGGCCAAAGGCAGAAAAGGAAATATCTTCGTATAAAAACTAGACAGAATCATTCTCAGAAACTGCTCTGCGATGTGTGCGTTCAACTCTCAGAGTTTAACTTTTGTTTTCATTCAGCAGTTTGGAAACACTCTGTTTGTAAAGTCTGCACGTGGATAATTTGACCACTTAGAGTTCTTCGTTGGAAACGGGTTTTTTTCATGTAAGGCTAGACAGAAGAATTCTCAGTAACTTCCTTGTGTTGTGTGTATTCAACTCACAGAGTTGAACGATCCTTTACACAGAGCAGACTTGTAACACTCTTTTTGTGGAATTTGCAAGTGGAGATTTCAGCCGCTTTGAAGTCGAAGGTACAAAAGGAAATATCTTCCTATAAAAACTAGACAGAATGATTCTCAGAAACTCCTTTGTGATGTGTGCGTTCAACTCACAGAGTTTAACCTTTCTTTTCATAGAGCAGTTAGGAAACACTCTGTTTGTAAAGTCTGCAAGTGGATATTCAGACATCCTTGAGGCTTTCGTTGGAAACGGGATTTCTTCATGTTCTGCTAGAAAGAAGAATTCTCAATAACTTCCTTGTGTTGTGTGTATTCAACTGACAGAGTTGAACCTTCCTTCAGATAGAGCAGATTTGAAACACTCTTTTTGTGTAATTTGCAAGTGGAGATTTCAAGCGCTTTGAGGCCAAAGGCAGAAAAGGAAATATCTTCGTATAAAAACTAGACAGAATCATTCCCACAAACTGCGTTGTGATGTGTTCGTTCAACTCACAGAGTTTAACCTTTCTTTTCATAGAGCAGTTAGGAAACAGTCTGTTTGTAAATTCTGTAAGTGGATATTCTGACATCTTGCGGCCTTCGTTGGAAACGGGATTTCTTCATATTCTGCTAGACAGAAGAATTCCCAGTAACTTCCTTGTGTTTTGTACATTCAACCCACAGAGTTGAACGTTTCCTTAGACAGAGCAGATTTGAAACACTCTTTTTGTGCAATTGGCAAGTGGTGATTTCAACCACTTTCAGGTCAAAGGTAGAAAAGGAAATATCTTCCTATAAAAACTAGACAGAATCATTCCCACAAACTGCGTTGTGATGTGTTCCTTCAACTCACAGAGTTTAACGTTTCCGTTCATAGAGCAGTTAGGAAACACACTGTTTGTAAAGTCTGTAAGTGGATATTCTGACATCTTGTGGCCTTCGTTGGAAACGGGATTTCTTCATATTCTGCTAGACAGAAGAATTCTCAGTAACTTCCTTGTGTTGTGTGTATTCAACTCACAGAGTTGAATGATCCTTTACACAGAGCAGACTTGAAACGCTCTTTTTGTGGAATTTGCAAGTGGAGATTTCAGCCGCGTTGAGGTCAATGGTAGAAAAGGAAATATCTTCGTATAAAAACTAGACAGAATGATTCTCAGAAACTTCTTTGTGATGTGTGCGCTCAACTCACAGAGTTTAACTTTTCTTTTCATAGAGCAGTTAGGAAACACTCTGTTTGTAAACTCTGCAAGTGGATATTCAGACCTCTTTGAGGCCTTCGTTGGAAACGGGATTTCTTCATATTATGCCTGAGAGAAGAATTCTCAGTAACTTCCTTGTGTTGTGTGCATTCAACTCACAGAGTTGAACGTTCCCTTAGACAGAGCAGATTTGAAACACTCTATTTGTGCAATTTGCAAGTGTAGATTTCAAGCGCTTTGAGGCCAACGGCAGAAAAGGAAATATCTTCGTAGAAAAAATAGACGGAAATCATTCCCACAAACTGCGTTGTGATGTGTTCGTTCATCTCACAGAGTTTAAGCTTTCTTTTCATAGAGCAGTTAGGAAACACTCTGTTTGTAAATTCTGTAAGTGGATATTCTGACATCTTGTGGCCTTCGTTGGAAACGGGATTTCTTCATATTCTACTAGACAGAAGAATTCCCAGTAACTTCCTTGTGTTGTGTACATTCAACTCACAGAGTTGAACGTTCCCTTAGACAGAGCAGATTTGAAACACTCTTTTTGTGCAATTGGCAAGTGGAGATTTCAAGCGCTTTGAGGTCAATGGCAGAAAAGGAAATATCTTCGTTTCAAAACTAGACAGAATCATTCCCACAAACTGCGTTGTGATGTGTTCGTTCAACTCACAGAGTTTAACCTTTCTTTTCATAGAGCAGTTAGGAAACAGTCTGTTTGTGAATTCTGTAAGTGGATATTCTGACATCTTGTGGCCTTCGTTGGAAACGGGATTTCTTCATATTCTGCTAGACAGAAGAATTCTCAGAAACTTCCTTGTGTTGTGTGTATTCAACTCACAGAGTTGAACGATCCTTTACAGAGAGCAGACTTGAAACACTCTTTTTGTGGAATTTGCAAGTGGAGATTTCAGCCGCTTTGAGGTCAATGGTAGAATAGGAAATATCTTCCTATAGAAACTAGACAGAATGATTCTCAGAAACTCCTTTGTGATGTGTGCGTTCATCTCACAGAGTTTAACTTTTCTTTTCATGGAGCAGTTAGGAAACACTCTGTTTGTAAAGTCTGCAAGTGGATATTCAGACCTCTTTGAGGCCTTCGTTGGAAACGGGATTTCTTCGTATTCTGCTAGACAGAGGATTCCCAGTAACTTCCTTGTGTTGTGTGTGTTCAACTCACAGAGTTGAACTTTCATTTACAAAGAGCAGATTTGAAACACTCTTTTTGTGGAATTTGCAAGTGGAGATTTCAAGCGCTTTGAGGCCAAAGGCAGAAAAGGAAATATCTTCGTATAAAAACTAGACAGAATCATTCTCAGAAACTGCTGCGTGACGTGTGCGTTCAACTCTCAGAGTTTAACTTTTCTTTTCATTCAGCGGTTTGGAAACACTCTGTTTGTAAAGTCTGCACGTGGATATTTTGACCACTTAGAGGCCTTCGTTGGAAACGGGTTTTTTTCATGTAAGGCTAGACAGAAGAATTCCCAGTAACTTCCTTGTGTTGTGTGCATTCAACTCACAGAGTTGAACGTTCCCTTAGACAGAGCAGATTTGAAACACTCTATTTGTGCAATTTGCAAGTGTAGATTTCAAGCGCTTTAAGGTCAATGGCAGAAAAGAAAATATCTTCGTTTCAAAACTAGACAGAATCATTCCCACAAACTGCGTTGTGATGTGTTCGTTCAACTCACAGAGTTTAACCATTCTTTTCATAGAGCAGTTAGGAAACAGTCTGTTTGTCAATTCTGTAAGTGGATATTCTGACATCTTGTGGCCTTCGTTGGAAACGGGATTTCTTCATATTCTGCTAGACAGAAGAATTCTCAGAATCTTCCTTGTGTTGTGTGTATTCAACTCACAGAGTTGAACGATCCTTCACACAGAGCAGACTTGAAACACTCTTTTTGTGGAATTTGCAAGTGGAGATTTCAGCCGCTTTGAGGTCCATGGTAGAAAAGGAAATATCTTCGTATAAAAACTAGACAGAATGATTCTCAGAAACTCCTTTGTGATGTGTGCGTTCAACTCACAGAGTTTAACCTTTCTGTTCATAGAGCTGTTAGGAAACACTCTGTTTGTAAAGTCTGCAAGTGGGTATTCAGACCTCCTTGAGGCCTTCGTTGGAAACGGGATTTCTTCATATTTTGCTAGACAGAAGAATTCTCAGTAACTTCCTTGTGTTGTGTGTATTCAACTGACAGAGTTGAACTTTCATTTAGAGAGAGCAGTTTTGAAACACTGTTTTTGTGGAATTTGCAAGTGGAGATTTCAAGCGCTTTGGGGCCAAAGGCAGAAAAGGAAATATCTTCGTATAAAAACTAGACAGAATCATTCTCAGAAACTGCTCTGCGATGTGTGCGTTCAACTCTCAGAGTTTAACTTTTCTTTTCATTCAGCAGTTTGGAAACACTCTGTTTGAAAAGTCTGCACGTGGATATTTTGACCACTTAGAGGCCTTCGTTGGAAACGCGTTTTTTTCCTGTAAGGCTAGACAGAAGAATTCCCAGTAACTTCCTTGTGTTGTGTACATTCAACTCACAGAGTTGAACGTTCCCTTAGACAGAGCAGATTTGAAACACTCTTTTTGTGAAATTGGCAAGTGGTGATTTCAGCCGCTTTGAGGTCAATGGTAGAAAAGGAAATATCTTCGTATAAAAACTAGACAGAATCATTCCCACAAACTGCGTTGTGATGTGTTCGTTCAACTCACAGAGTTTAACCTTTCTGTTCATAGAGCAGTTAGGAAACACTCTGTTTGTAAAGTCTGCAAGTGGATATTCAGACCTCCTTGAGGCCTTCGTTGGAAACGGGGTTTCTTCATATTCTGCTAGACAGAAGAATTCTCAGTAACTTCCTTGTGTTGTGTGTATTCAACTCACAGAGTTGAACGATCCTTTACACAGAGCAGACTTGAAACATTCTTTTTGTCGAATTTGCAAGTGGAGATTTCAGCCGCTTTGAGGTCAATGGTAGAATAGGAAATATCTTCCTATAGAAACTAGACAGATAATGATTCTCAGAAACTCCTTTGTGATGTGTGCGTTCAACTCACAGAGTTTAACCTTTCTTTTCATAGAGCAGTTAGGAAACACTCTGTTTGTAAAGTCTGCAAGTGGATATTCAGACCTCTTTGAGGCCTTCGTTGGAAACGGGTTTTTTTCATATAAGGCTAGACAGAAGAATTCCCAGTAACTTCCTTGTGTTGTGTGTGTTCAACTCTGTGAGTTGAACTTCCATTTACACAGAGCAGATTTGAAACACTCTTTTTGTGGAATTTGCAAGTGGAGATTTCAAGCGCTTTGAGGCCAAAGGCAGAAAAGGAAATATCTTCGTTTCAAAACTAGACAGACTCATTCTCAAGAAACTGCTCTGCGATGTGTGCGTTCAACTCTCAGAGTTTAACTTTTCTTTTCATTCAGCAGTTTGGAAACACTCTGTTTGTAAAATCTGCACGTGGATATTTTGACCACTTAGAGGCCTTCGTTGGAAACGGGTTTCTTTCCTGTAAGGCTAGACAGAAGAATTCCCAGTAACTTACTTGTGTTGTGTACATTCAACTCACAGAGTTGAACGTTCCCTTAGACAGAGCAGATTTGAAACACTCTTTTTGTGCAATTGGCAAGTGGTGATTTCAGCTGCTTTGAGGTCTATGGTAGAAAAGGGAATATCTTCGGTATAAAAACTAGACAGAATCATTCCCACAAACTGCGTTGTGATGTGTTCGTTCAACTCACAGAGTTTAACCTTTCTGTTCATAGAACAGTTAGGAAACACTCTGTTTGTAAAGTCTGCAAGTGGATATTCAGACCTCCTTGAGGCCTTCGTTGGAAACGGGATTTCTTCATATTCTGCTAGACCGAAGAGTTCTCAGAATCTTCCTTGTGTTGTGTGTATTCAACTCACAGAATTGAACGATCCTTTACACAGAGCAGACTTGAAACACTCTTTTTGTGGAATTTGCAAGTGGAGATTTCAGCCGCTTTGAGGTCCATGGTAGAAAAGGAAATATCTTCGTATAAAAACTAGACAGAATGATTCTCAGAAACTCCTTTGTGATGTGTGCGTTCAACTCACAGAGTTTAACCTTTCTTTTCATAGAGCAGTTAGGAAACACTCTGTTTCTAAAGTCTGCAAGTGGATATTCAGACCTCTTTGAGGCCTTCGTTGGAAACGGGTTTTTTTCATATAAGGCTAGAGAGAAGAATTCCCAGTAACTTCCTTGTGTTGTGTGTGTTCAACTCACAGAGTTGAACTTTCATTTACACAGAGCAGATTTGAAACACTCTTTTTGTGGAATTTGCAAGTGGAAATTTCAAGCGCTGTGAGGCCAAAGGCAGAAAAGGAAATATCTTCGTATAAAAACTAGACAGAATCATTCTCAGAAACTGCTCTGCGATGTGTGCGTTCAACTCTCAGAGTTTAACTTTGCTTTTCATACAGCAGTTTGGAAACACTCTGTTTGTAAAGTCTGCACGTGGATAATTTGACCACTTAGAGGCCTTCGTTGGAAACGGGTTTTTTTCATGTAAGGCTAGACAGAAGAATTCTCAGTAACTTCCTTGTGTTGTGTGTATTCAACTCACAGAGTTGCACGATCCTTTACACAGAGCAGACTTGAAACACTCTTTTTGTGGAATTTGCAAGTGGAGATTTCAGCCGCTTTGAGGTCAATGGTAGAATAGGAAATATCTTCCTATAGACACTAGACAGAATGATTCTCAGAAACTGCTTTGTGATGTGTGTGTTCAACTCACAGAGTTTAACATTTCTTTTCATAGAGCAGTTAGGAAACACTCTGTTTGTAAAGTCTGCAAGTGGATATTCAGACCTCTTTGAGGCCTTCGTTGGAAACGGGTTTTTTTCATATAAGGCTAGACAGAAGAATTCTCAGTAACTTCCTTGTGTTGTGTGTATTCAACTGACAGAGTTGAACTTTCATTTAGAGAGAGCAGATTTGAAACACTGTTTTTGTGGAATTTGCAAGTGGAAATTTCAAGTGCTTTGGGGCCAAAGGCAGAAAAAGAAATATCTTCGTATAAAAACTTGACAGAATCACTCTCAGAAACTGCTCTGCGATGTGTGCGTTCAACTCTCAGAGTTTAACTTTTGTTTTCATTCAGCAGTTTGGAAACACTCTGTTTGTAAAGTCTGCACGTGGATATTTTGACCACTCAGAGGCCTTCGTTGGAAACGGGTTTTTTTCCTGTAAGGCTAGACAGAAAGAATTCCCAGTAACTTCCTTGTGTTGTGTGCATTCAACTCACAGAGTTGAACGTTCCCTTAGACAGAGCAGATTTGAAACACTCTATTTGTGCAATTTGAAAGTGTAGATTTCAAGCGCTTTAAGGTCAACGGCAGAAAAGGAAATATCTTCGTTTCAAAACTAGACAGATGATTCTCAGAAACTCCTTTGTGATGTGTGCGTTCAACTCACAGAGTTTAACCTTTCTTTTCATAGAGCAGTTAGGAAACATTCTGTTTGTAAAGTCTGCAAGTGGATATTCAGACATCTTTGAGGTTTTCGTAGGAAACGGGATTTCTTCATATTCTGCTAGACAGAAGAATTCTCAGAAACTTCCTTGTGTTGTGTTTATTCAACTCACAGAGTCGAACGATCCTTTACTCAGAGCAGACTTGAAACACTCCATTTGTGGAATTTGCAAGTGGAGATTTCAGCCGCTTTGAGGTCAATGGTAGAATAGGAAATATCTTCCTATGGAAACTAGACAGAATGATTCTCAGAAACTCCTTTGTGCTGTGTGCGTTCAGCTCACAGAGTTTAAACTTTCTTTTCATAGAGCAGTTAGGAAACACTCTGTTTGTAAAGTCTGCAAGTGGATATTCAGACATCTTTGAGGCTTTCGTTGGAAACGGGATTTCTTCATATTCTGCTAGACAGAAGAATTCTCAGAAACTTCCTTGTGTTGTGTGTTTTCAACTCACAGAGTTCAACGATCCATTACACAGAGTAGACTTGAAACACTCTTTTTGTGGAATTGGCAAGTGGAGATTTCAGCCGCTTTGAGGTCAATGGTAGAAAAGGAAATATCTTCGTATAAAAACTAGACAGAGTGATTCTCAGAAACTCCTTTGTGATGTCTGCGTTCAACTCACAGAGTTTAACCTTTCTTTTCATAGAGCAGTTAGGAAACACTCTGGTTGTAAAGTCTGCAAGTGCATATTCAGACCTCCTTGAGGCCTTCGTTGGAAACGGGATTTCTTCATATTCTGCTATACAGAAGAATTCTCAGAAACTTCCTTGTGTTTTGTGTATTCAACTCACAGAGTTGAACGATCCTTTACACAGAGCAGACTTGAAACACTCTTTTTGTGGAATTTGCAAGTGGAGATTTCAGCCGCTTTGAGGTCAATGGTAGAAAAGGAAATATCTTCGTATAAAAACTAGACAGAATGATTCTCAGAAACTCCTTTGTGATGTGTGCGTTCAACTCACAGAGTTTAACCTTTCTTTTCATAGAGCAGTTAGGAAACACTCTGTTGGTAAAGTCTGCAAGGGGATATTCAGACCTCTTTGAGGCCTTCTTTGGAAACGGGATTTCTTCATATTCTGCTAGACAGAAGAATTCTCAGTAACTTCCTTGTGTTGTGTGTATTCAACTCACAGAGTTGAATGATCCTTTACACAGAGCAGACTTGAAACACTCTTTTTGTGGAATTTGCAAGTGGAGATTTCAGCCGCTTTGAGGTCAATGGTAGAATAGGAAATAACTTCCTATAGAAACTAGACAGAATGATTCTCAGAAACTCCTTTGTGATGTGTGCGTTCAACTCGCAGAGTTTAACCTTTCTTTTCATAGAGCAGTTAGGAAACACTCTGGTTGTAAAGTCTGCAAGTGGATATTCAGACCTCCTTGAGGCCTTCGTTGGAAACGGGATTTCTTCATATTATGCTAGACAGAAAGCAATTCTCAGTAACTTCCTTGTGTTGTGTGTATTCAACTCACAGAGTTGAACGATCCTTTACACAGAGCAGACTTGAAACACTCTTTTTGTGGAATTTGCAAGTGGAGATTTCAGCCGCTTTGAGGTCAATGGTAGAAAAGGAAATATCTTCGTATAAAGACTAGACAGAATGATTCTCAGAAACTCCTTTGTGATGTGTGCGTTCAACTCACACAGTTTAACCTTTCTTTTCATAGAGCAGTTGGGAAACACTCTGTTTGTAAAGTCTGCAAGTGGATATTCAGACCTCCTTGAGGCCTTCGTTGGAAACGGGATTTCTTCATATTCTGCTAGACAGAAGAATTCTCAGTAACTTCCTTGTGTTGTGTGTATTCAACTCACAGAGTTGAACGATCCTTTACACAGAGCAGACTTGAAACACTCTTTTTGTGGAATTTGCAAGTGGAGATTTCAGCCGCTTTGTGGTCAATGGTAGAAAAGGAATTATCTTCGTATAAAGACTAGACAGAATGATTCTCAGAAAATCCTTTGTGATGTGTGCGTTCAACTAACAGAGTTTAACCTTTCTTTTCATAGAGCAGTTAGGAAACACTCTGTTTGTAAAGTCTGCAAGTGGATATTCAGACATCTTTGAGGCTTTCGTTGGAAACGGGATTTCTTCATATTCTGCTATACAGAAGAATTCCCAGTAACTTCCTCGTGTTGTGTGTGTTCAACTCACAGAGTTGAACTTTCATTTACACAGAGCAGATTTGAAACACTCTTTTTGTGGAATTTGCAAGTGGAGATTTCAAGCGCTTTGAGGCCAAAGGCAGAAAAGGAAATATCTTCGTATAAAAACTAGACAGAATCATTCTCAGAAACTGCTCTGCGATGTGTGCGTTCAACTCTCAGAGTTTAACTTTTCTTTTCATTCAGAAGTTTGGAAACACTCTGTTTGTAAAGTCTGCACGTGGATAACTTGACCACTTAGAGGCCTTCGTTGGAAACGGGTTTTTTTCCTGTAAGGCTAGACAGAAGAATTCTCAGTAAATTCCTTGTGTTGTGTGTATTCAACTCACAGAGTTGAACGATCCTTTACACAGAGCAGACTTGAAACACTCTTTTTGTGGAATTTGCAAGTGGAGATTTCAGCCGCTTTGAGGTCAATGGTAGAATAGGAAATATCTTCCTATAGAAACTAGACAGAATGATTCTCAGAAACTTCTTTGTGATGTGTGCGTTCAACTCACAGAGTTTAACATTTCTTTTCATGGAGCAGTTAGGAAACACTCTGTTTGTAAACTCTGCAAGTGGATATTCAGACCTCTTTGAGGCCTTCGTTGGAAACGGGATTTCTTCATACTGTGCTAGACAGAACAATTCCCAGTAACTTCCTTGTGTTGTGTGTGTTCAACTCACAGAGTTGAACTTTCATTTACACAGAGCAGATTTGAAACACTCTTTTTGTGGAATTTGCAAGTGGAGATTTCAAGCGCTTTGAGGCCAAAGGCAGAAAAGGAAATATCTTCGTATAAAAACTAGACAGAATCATTCTAAGAAACTGCTCTGCGATGTGTGTGTTCAACTCTCAGAGTTTAACTTTTCTTTTCCTTCAGCAGTTTGGAAACACTCTGTTTGTAAAGTCTGCACGTACATAATTTGACCACTTAGAGGCCTTCGTTGGAAACGGGTTTTTTTCATGTAAGGCTAGACAGAAGAATTCCCAGTAACTTCCTTGTGTTGTGTGCATTCAACTCACAGAGTTGAACGTTCCCTTAGACAGAGCAGATTTGAAACACTCTATTTGTGCAATTTGCAAGTGTAGAATTCAAGCGCTTTAAGGTGAATGGCAGAAAAGGAAATGTCTTCGTTTCAAAACTAGACAGAATCATTCCCAAAAACTGCGTTGTGATGTGTTCGTTCAACTCACAGAGTTTAACCTTTCTGTTCATAGAGCAGTTAGGAAACACTCTGTTTGTAAAGTCCGTAAGTGGATATTCTGACATCTTGTGGCCTTCGTTGGAAACGGGATTTCTTCATATTCTGCTAGACAGAAGAATTCTCAGTAACTTCCTTGTGTTGTGTGTATTCAACTCACAGAGTTGAACGATCCTTTACACAGAGCAGACTTGAAACACTCTTTTTGTGGAATTTGCAAGTGGAGATTTCAGCCGCGTTGAGGTCAACGGTAGAAAAGGAAATATCTTCGTATAAATACTAGACAGAATGATTCTCAGAAACTCCTTTGTGATGTTTGCGTTCAACTGACAGAGTTTAAACTTTCTTTTCATAGAGCAGTTAGGAAACACTCTGTTTGTAAAGTCTGCAAGTGGATATTCAGACCTCTTTGAGGCCTTCGTTGGAAACGGGATTTCTTCATATTCTGCTAGACAGAAGAATTCCCAGTAACTTCCTTGGGTTGTGTGTGTTCAACTCACAGAGTTGAACTTTCATTTACACAGAGCAGATTTGAAACACTCTTTTTGTGGAATTTGCAGGTGGAGATTTCAAGCGCTTTGAGGCCAAAGGCAGAAAAGGAAATATCTTCGTATAAAAACTAGACAGAATCATTCTCAGAAACTGCTCTGCGATGTGTGCGTTCAACTCTCAGAGTTTAACTTTTGTTTTCATTCAGCAGTTTGGAAACACTCTGTTTGTAAAGTCTGCACGTGGATAATTTGACCACTTAGAGGCCTTCGTTGTAAACGGGTTTTTTTCCTGTAAGGCTAGACAGAGGAATTCCCAGTAACTTCCTTGTGTTGTGTGCATTCAACTCACAGAGATGAACGTTCCCTTAGACAGAGCAGATTTGAAACACTCTATTTGTGTAATTTGCAAGTGTAGATTTCAAGCGCTTTAAGGTCAATGGCAGAAAAGGATATATCTCCGTTTCAAAACTAGACAGAATCATTCCCACAAACTGCGTTGTGATGTGTTCGTTCAACTCACAGAGTTTAACCTTTCTGTTCATAGAGCAGTTAGGAAACACTCTGTTTGTAAAGTCTGTAAGTGGATATTCTGACATCTTCTGGCCTTCGTTGGAAACGGGATTTCTTCATATTCTGCTAGACAGAAGAATTCTCAGAATCTTCCTTGTGTTGTGTGTATTCAACTCACAGAGTTGAACGATCCTTTACACAGAGCAGACTTGAAACACTCTTTTTGTGGAATTTGCAAGTGGAGATTTCAGCCGCTTTGAGGTCCACGGTAGAAAAGGAAATATCTTCGTATAAAAACTAGACGGAATGATTCTCAGAAACTCCTTTGTGATGTGTGCGTTCAACTCACAGAGTTTAACCTTTCTTTTCATAGAGCAGTTAGGAAACACTCTGTTTGTAAAGTCTGCAAGTGGATATTCAGACCTCTTTGAGGCTTTCGTTGGAAACGGGATTTCTTCATATTCTGCTAGACAGAAGAATTCTCAGTAACTTCCTTGTGTTGTGTGTATTCAACTGACAGAGTTGAACTTTCATTTAGAGAGAGCAGATTTGAAACACTGTTTTTGTGGAATTTGCACGTGGAGATTTCAAGCGCTTTGGGGCCAAAGGCAGAAAAGGAAATATCTTCGTATAAAAACTAGACAGAATCATTCTCAGAAACTGCTCTGCGATGTGTGCGTTCAACTCTCAGAGTTTAACTTTTCTTTTCATTCAGAAGTTTGGAAACACTCTGTTTGTAAAGTCTGCACGTGGATAACTTGACCACTTAGAGGCCTTCGTTGGAAACGGGTTTTTTTCATGTAAGGCTAGAGAGAAGAATTCCCAGTAACTTCCTTGTGTTGTGTACATTCAACTCACAGAGTTGAACGTTCCCTTAGACAGAGCAGATTTGAAACACTCTTTTTGTGCAATTGGCAAGTGGCGATTTCAGCCTCTTTGAGGTCAATGGTAGAAAAGGAAATATCTTCGTATAAAAACTAGACAGAATGATTCTCAGAAACTTCATTCTGATGTGTGTGTTCAACTCACAGAGTTTAACCTTTCTTTTCATAGAGCAGTTGGGAAACAGTCTGTTTGTAAATTCTGTAAGTGGATATTCTGACATCTTGTGGCCTTCGTTGGAAACGGGATTTCTTCATATTCTGCTAGACAGAAGAATTCTCAAGTAACTTCCTTGTGTTGTGTGTATTCAACTCACAGAGTTGAACGATCCTTTACACAGAGCGGACTTGAAACACTCGTTTTGTGGAATTTGCAAGTGGAGGTTTCTGCCGCGTTGAGGTCAATGGTAGAAAAGGAAATATCTTCGTATAAAAACTAGACAGAATGATTCTCAGAAACTCCTTTGTGATGTGTGCGTTCAACTCACACAGTTTAACCTTTCTTTTCATAGAGCAGTTAGGAAACACTCTGTTTGTAAAGTCTGCAAGTGGATATACAGACCTCCTTGAGGCCTTCGTTGGAAACGGGATTTCTTCATATTATGCTAGACAGAAGAATTCTCAGTAACTTCCTTGTGTTGTGTGTATTCAACTCACAGAGTTGAAGGATCCTTTACAGAGAGCAGGCTTGAAACACTCTTTTTGTCGAATTTGCAAGTGGAGATTTCAGCCGCTTTGAGGTCAATGGTAGAATAGGAAATATCTTCTAATAGAAACTAGACAGAATGATTCTCAGAAACTTCATTGTGATGTGTGCGTTCAACTCACAGAGTTTAACCTTTCTTTTCATAGAGCAGTTAGGAAACACTCTGTTTGTAAACTCTGCAAGTGGATATTCAGACCTCTTTGAGGCCTTCGTTGGAAACGGGATTTCTCCATACTTTGCTAGACAGAAGAATTCTCAGTAACTTCCTTGTGTTGTGTTTATTCAACTCACAGAGTTGAATGATCCTTTACACAGAGCAGACTTGAAACACTCTTTTTGTGGAATTTGCAAGTGGAGATTTCAGCCGCTTTGAGGTCAACGGTAGAAAAGTAAATATCTTCGTATAAAGACTAGACAGAATGATTCTCAGAAACTCCTTTGTGATGTGTGCGTTCAACTCACAGAGTTTAACCTTTCTTTTCATAGAGCAGTTAGGAAACACTCTGTTTGTAAAGTCTGCAAGTGGATATTCAGACCTCCTTGAGGCCTTCATTGGAAACGGGATTTCTTCATATTATGCTAGACAGAAGAATTCTCAGTAACTTCCTTGTGTTGTGTGTATTCAACTCACAGAGTTGAACGATCCTTTACACAGAGCATACTTGAAACACTCTTGTTGTGGAATTTGCAAGTGGAGATTTCAGCCGATTTGAGTTCAATGGTAGAATAGGAAATATCTTCCTATAGAAACTAGACAGAATGATTCTCAGAAACTCCTTTGTGATGTGTGCGTACAACTCACAGAGTTCAACCTTTCTTTTCATAGAGCAGTTGGGAAACACTCTGTTTGTAAAGTCTGCAAGTGGATATTCAGACTTCTTTGAGGCCTTCGTTGGAAGCGGGATTTCTTCATATTATGCTAGACAGAAGATTTCCCAGTAACTTCCTTGTGTTGTGTACATTCAACTCACAGAGTTGAACGTTCCCTTAGACAGAGCAGATTTGAAACACTCTTTTTGTGCAATTGGCAAATGGAGATTTCAAGCGCTTTAAGGTCAATGGCAGAAAAGAAAATATCTTCGTTTCAAAACTAGACAGAATCATTCCCACAAACTGCGTTGTGATGTGTTCGTTCAACTCACAGAGTTTAACCTTTCTGTTCATAGAGCAGTTAGGAAACACTCTGTTTGTAAAGTCTGTAAGTGGATATTCTGACATTTTGTGTCCTTCGTTGGAAATGGGATTTCTTCATATTCTGCTAGACAGAAGAATTCTCAGTAACTTCCTTGTGTTGTGTGTATTCAACTCACAGAGTTCAACGATGCTTTACACAGAGTAGACTTGAAACACACTTTTTGTTGAATTTGCAAGTGGAGATTTCAGCCGCTTTGAGGTCAATGGTAGAATAGGAAATATCTTCGTATAAAAAGTAGACAGAATGATTCTCAGAAACTCCTTTGTGATGTGTGTGTTCAACTCACAGAGTTTAACCTTTCTTTTCATAGAGCAGTTAGGAAACACTCTGTTTGTAAAGTCTGCAAGTGGATATTCAGACCTCTTGAGGCCTTCGTTGGAAACGGGTTTTTTTCATATAAGGCTAGACAGAAGAATTCCCAGTAACTTCCTTGTGTTGTGTGTGTTCAACTCACAGAGTTGAACTTTCATTTACACAGAGCAGATTTGAAACACTCTTTTTGTGGAATTTGCAAATGGAGATTTCAAGCGCTTTGAGGCCAAAGGCAGAAAAGGAAATATCTTCGTATAAAACCTAGACAGAATCATTCTCAGAAACTGCTCTGCGATGTGTGCGTTCAACTCTCAGAGTTTAACTTTTCTTTTCATTCAGCAGTTTGGAAACACTCTGTTTGTAAAGTCTGCACGTGGATAATTTGACCTCTTAGAGGCCTTCGTTGGAAACGGGTTTTTTTCCTGTAAGGCTAGACAGAAGAATTCTCAGTAACTTCCTTGTGTTGTGTGTATTCAACTCACAGAGTTGAACGATCCTTTACACAGAGCAGACTTGTAAGACTCTTTTTGTGGAATTTGCAAGTGGAGATTTCAGCCGCTTTGAAGTCAAAGGTAGAAAAGGAAATATCTTCCTATAAAAACTAGACAGAATGATTCTCAGAAACTTCTTTGTGATGTGTGCGTTCAACTCACAGAGTTTAACCTTTCTTTTCATAGAGCAGTTAGGAAACACTCTGTTTGTAAACTCTGCAAGTGGATATTCAGACCTCCTTGAGGCCTTCGTTGGAAACGGGATTTCTTCATACTGTGCTAGACAGAAGAATTCTCAGTAACTTCCTTGTGTTGTGTGTATTCAACTGACAGAGTTGAACTTTCATTTAGAGAGAGCAGATTTGAAACACTGTTTTTGTGGAATTTGCAAGTGGAGATTTCAAGCGCTTTGGGGCCAAAGGAAGAAAAGGAAATATCTTCGTATAAAAACTAGACAGAATCATTCTCAGAAAATCCTCTGTGATGTGTGCGTTCAACTCTCAGAGTTTAACTTTTCTTTTCATTCAGCAGTTTGGAAACACTCTGTTTGTAAAGTCTGCACGTGGATATTTTGACCACTTAGAGGCCTTCGTTGGAAACGGGTTTTTTTCATATAAGGCTAGACAGAAGAATTCCCAGTAACTTCCTTGTGTTGTGTGCATTCAACTCACAGAGTTGAACGTTCCCTTAGACAGAGCCGATTTGAAACACTCTATTTGTGCAATTTGCAAGTGTAGATTTCAAGCGCTTTAAGGTCAATGGCAGAAAAGGAAATATCTTCGTTTCAAAACTAGACAGAATCATTCCCACAAACTGCGTTGTGATGTGTTCGTTCAACTCACAGAGTTTAACCTTTCTGTTCATAGAGCAGTTAGGAAACACTCTGTTTGTAAAGTCTGTAAGTGGATATTCTGACATCTTGTGGCCTTCGTTGGAAACGGGATTTCTTCATATTCTGCTGGACAGAGGAATTCTCAGGAACTTCCTTGTGTTGTGTGTATTCAACTCACAGAGTTGAACGATCCTTTACACAGAGCAGACTTGAAACACACTTTTTGTGGAATTTGCAAGTGGAGATTTCAGCCGCTTTGAGTTCAAAGGTAGAATAGGAAATATCTTCCTATAGAAAGTACACAGAATGATTCTCAGAAACTGCTTTGTGATGTGTGCGTTCAACTCACAGAGTTCAACCTTTCTTTTCATAGAGCAGTTGGGAAACACTCTGTTTGTAAAGTCTGCAAGTGGATATTCAGACTTCTTTGAGGCCTTCGTTGGAAGCGGGATTTCTTCATATTCTGCTAGACAGAATAATTCTCAGTAACTTCCTTGTGTTGTGTGTATTCAACTCACAGAGTTGAACGATCCTTTACAGAGAGCAGACTTGAAACACTCTTTTTGTGTAATTTGCAAGTGGAGATTTCAGCCGCTTTGAGGTCAATGGTAGAATAGGAAATATCTTCCTATAGAAACTAGACAGAATGATTCTCAGAAACTCCTTTGTGATGTGTGCGTGCAACTCACAGAGTTTAACCTTTCTTTTCATAGAGAAGTTAGGAAACACTCTGTTTGTAAAGTCTGCAAGTGGATATTCAGACATCCTTGAGGCTTTCGTTGGAAACGGGATTTCTTCATATTCTGCTAGAAAGAAGAATTCTCATTAACTTCCTTGTGTTGTGTGTATTCAACTCACAGAGTTGAAGGATCCTTTACACAGAGCGGACTTGAAACACTCTTTTTGTGGAATTTGCAAGTGGAGATTTCAGCCGCGTTGAGGTCAATGGTAGAAAAGGAAATCTCTTCGTATAAAAAGTAGACAGAATGATTCTCAGAAACTCCTTTGTGATGTGTGTGTTCAACCCACAGAGTTTAACCTTTCTTTTCATAGAGCAGTTAGGAAACACTCTGTTTGTAAAGTCTGCAAGTGGATATTCCGATCTCTTTGAGGCCTTCGTTGGAAACGGGTTTTTTTCATATAAGGCTAGACAGAAGGATTCCCAGTAACTTCCCTTGTGTTGTGTGTGTTCAACTCACAGAGTTGAACTTTCATATACAAAGAGCAGATTTGAAACACTCTTTTTGTGGAATTTGCAAGTGGAGATTTCAAGCGCTTTGAGGCCAAAGGCAGAAAAGGAAATATCTTCGTATAAAAACTAGACAGAATCATTCTCAGAAACTGCTGTGTGATGTGTGCGTTCAACTCTCAGAGTTTAACTTTTCTTTTCATTCAGCGGTTTGGAAACACTCTGTTTGTAAAGTCTGCACGTGGATATTTTGACCACTTAGAGGCCTTCGTTGGAAACGGTTTTTTTTCATGTAAGGCTAGACAGAAGAATTCCCAGTAACTTCCTTGTGTTGTGTACATTCAACTCACAGAGTTGAACGTTCCCTTAGACAGAGCAGATTTGAAACACTCTTTTTGTGCAATTGGCAAGTGGTGATTTCAGCCGCTTTGAGGTCAATGGTAGAAAAGGAAATATCTTCGTATAATAACTAGACAGAATCATTCCCACAAACTGCGTTGTGATGTGTTCGTTCAACTCACAGAGTTTAACCTTTCTGTTCATAGAGCAGTTAGGAAACACTCTGTTTGTAAAGTCTGGAAGTGGATATTCAGACCTCCTTGAGGCCTTCGTTGGAAACGGGATTTCTTCATATTCTGCTAGACAGAAGAATTCTCAGTAACTTCCTTGTGTTGTGTGTATTCAACTCACAGAGTTGAACGATCCTTTACACAGAGCAGACTTGAAACACTCTTTTTGTGGAATTTGCAAGTGGATATTTCAGCCGCTTTGAGGTCAATGGTAGAATAGGAAATATCTTCCTATAGAAACTAGACAGAATGATTCTCAGAAACTCCTTTGTGATGTGTGCGTTCAACTCACACAGTTTAACCTTTCTTTTCATAGAGCAGTTAGGAAACACTCTGTTTGTAAAGTCTGCAAGTGGATATTCAGACCTCTTTGAGGCATTCGTTGGAAACGGGATTTCTACATATTATGCTAGACAGAAGAATTCCCAGTAACTTCCTTGTGTTGTGTGTGTTCGACTCACAGAGTTGAACTTTCATTTACACAGAGCAGATTTGAAACACTCTTTTTGTGGAATTTGCAAGTGGAGATTTCAAGCACTTTGAGGCCAAAGGCAGAAAAGGAAATATCTTCGTTTCAAAACTAGACAGAATTATTCTCAGAAACTCCTTTGTGATGTGTGCGTTCAACTCACAGAGTTTAACCTTTCTTTTCATAGAGCAGTTAGGAAACACTCTGTTTGTAAAGACTGCAAGTGGATATTCAGACCTCTTTGAGGCCTTCGTTGGAAACGGGTTTTTTTCCTGTAAGGCTAGACAGAAGAATTCCCAGTAACTTCCTTGTGTTGTGTACATTCAACTCACAGAGTTGAACGTTCCCTTAGACAGAGCAGATTTGAAACACTCTTTTTGTGCAATTGGCAAGTGGAGATTTCAAGCGCTTTACGGTCAATGGCAGAAAAGGAAATATCTTCGTTTCAAAACAAGACAGAATCATTCCCACAAACTGCGTTGTGATGTGTTCGTTCAACTCACAGAGTTTAACCTTTCTGTTCATAGAGCAGTTAGGAAACACTCTGTTTGTAAAGTCTGCAAGTGGATATTCAGACCTCTTTGAGGCCTTCGTTGGAAACGGGATTTCTTCATATTCTGCTAGACAGAAGAATTCTCAGTAACTTCCTTGTGTTGTGTGTATTCAACTCACAGAGTTGAACAATCCTTTACACAGAGCAGAGTTGAAACACTCTTTTTGTGGAATTTGCAAGTGGAGATTTCAGCTGCTTTGAGGTCAATGGTAGAATAGGAAATATCTTCCTATAGAAACTAGACAGAATGATTCTCAGAAACTCCTTTGTGATGTGTGCGTTCAAATCACAGAGTTTAACCTTTCTGTTCATAGAGCAGTTAGGAAACACTCTGTTTGTAAAGTCTGCCAGTGGATATTCAGACCTCCTTGATTCCTTCGTTGGAAATGGGATTTCTTCATATTCTGCTAGACAGAAGAATTCTCAGTAACTTCTTTGTGTTGTGTGTATTCAACTCACAGAGTTGAACGATCCTTTACACAGAGCAGACATGAAACACTCTTTTTGTGGAATTTGCAAGTGGAGATTTCTGCCGCTTTGAGGTCAATGGTAGAATAGGAAATATCTTCCTATAGAAAATAGACAGAATGATTCTCAGAAACTTCTTTGTGATGTGTACGTTCAACTCACAGGAGTTTAACCTTTCTTTTCTTAGAGCAGTTAGGAAACACTCTGTTTGTAAAGTCTGCAAGTGGATATTCAGACCTCTTTGAGGCCTTCGTTGGAAACGGGTTTTTTTCATATAAGGCTAGACAGAAGAATTCTCAGTAACTTCCTTGTGTTGTGTGTATTCAACTCACAGATTTCAACGATCCTTTACACAGAGCAGACTTGAAACACTCTTTTTCTGGAATTTGCAAGTGGAGATTTCAGCCGCTTTGAGGTCAATGGTAGAATAGGAAATATCTTCCTATAGAAACTAGACAGAATGATTCTCAGAAACTCCTTTGTGATGTGTGCGTTCAACTCACAGAGTTTAACGTTTCTTTTCACAGAGCAGTTAGGAAACACTCTGTTTGTAATGTCTGCAAGTGGATATTCAGAACCCTTTGAGGCCTTCGTTGGAAACGGGATTTCTTCATATTATGCTAGACAGAATAATTCTCAGTAACTTCCTTCTTTTGTGTGTATTCAACTCACAGAGTTGAACGATCCTTTACAGAGAGCAGACTTGAAACACTCTTTTTGTGGAATTTGCAAGTGGAGATTTCAGGCGCTTTGAGGTCAATGGTAGAATAGGAAATATCTTCCTATAGAAACTAGACAGAATGATTCTCAGAAACTCCTTTGTGATGTGTGCGTTCAACTCACAGAGTTTAAGCTTTCTTTTCATAGAGCAGTTAGGAAACACTCTGTTTGTAAAGTCTGCAAGTGGCTATTCAGACCCCTTTGAGGCCTTCTTTCGAAACGGGATTTCTTCATATTATGCTAGACAGAAGAATTCTCAGTAACTTCCTTGTGTTGTGTGTTTTCAACTGACAGAGTTAAACTTTCATTTAGAGAGAGCAGATTTGAAACACTGTTTTTGTGGAATTTGCAAGTGGAGATTTCAAGCGCTTTGTGGCCAAAGGTAGAAAAGGAAATATCTTCGTATAAAAACTAGACAGAATCATTCTCAGAAACTGCTCTGCGATGTGTGCGTTCAACTCTCAGAGTTTAACTTTTCTTTTCATAGAGCAGTTAGGAAACACTCTGGTTTGTAAAGTCTGCATGTGGATAATTTGACCACTTAGAGGTCTTTGTTGGAAACGGGTTTTTTCATGTAAGGCTAGACAGAAGAATTCCCAGTAACTTCCTTGTGTTGTGTGCATTCAACTCACAGAGTTGAACGTTCCCTTAGACAGAGCAGATTTGAAACACTCTATTTGTGCAATTTGCAAGTGTAGATTTCAAGCGCTTTAAGGTCAATGGCAGAAAAGGAAATTTCTTCGTTTTAAAACTAGACAGAATGATTCTCAGAAACTCCTTTGTGATGTGTGCGTTCAACTCACAGAGTTTAACGTTTCTTTTCATAGAGCAGTTAGGAAACACTCTGTTTGTAAAGTCTGCAAGGGGATATTCAGACCTCTCTGAGGCCTTCGTTGGAAACGGGATTTCTTCATATTCTGCTTCACAGAAGAATTCTCAGTAACTTCCCTTGTGTTGTGTGTATTCAACTCACAGAGTTGAACGATCCTTTACACAGAGCAGACTTGAAACACTCTTTTTGTGGAATTTGCAAGTGGAGATTTCAGCCGCTTTGAGGTCAATGGTTGAATAGGAAATATCTTCCAATAGAAACTAGACAGAATGATTCTCAGAAACTCCTTTGTGATGTGTGCGTTCAACTCACAGAGTTTAACCTTTCTTTTCATAGAGTAGTTAGGAAACACTCTGTTTGTAAAGTCTGCAAGTGGATATTCAGACCTCTTTGAGACCTTCGTTGGAAACGGGTTTTTTTCATATAAGGCTAGACAGAAGAATTCTCAGTAACTTCCTTGTGTTGTGTGTATTCAACTCACAGAGTTGAACGATCCTTTACACAGAGCAGACTTGAAACATTCTTTTTGTGGAATTTGCAAGTGGAGATTTCAGCCGCTTTGAGGTCAATGGTAGAAAAGTAAATATCTTCCTATAAAGACTAGACAGAATGATTCTCAGAAACTTCTTTGTGATGTTTGCGTTCAACTCACAGAGTTTAACCTTTCTTTTCATAGAGCAGTTAGGAAACACTCTGTTTGTAAAGTCTGCAAGTGGATATTCAGACCTCCTTGAGGCCTTCGTTGGAAGCGGGATTTCTTCATGTTCTGGTAGACAGAAGAATTCTCAGTAACATCTTTGTGTTGTGTGTATTCAACTCACAGAGTGGAACGATCCTTTACAGAGAGCAGACTTGAAACACTCTTTTTGTGGAATTTGCAAGTGGAGATTTCAGCCGCTTTGAGGTCAATGGTAGAATAGGAAATATCTTCCTATAGAAACTAGACAGAATGATTCTCAGAAACTCCTTTGTGATGCGTGCGTTCAACTCACAGAGTTTAACCTTTCTTTTCATAGAGCAGTTAGGAAACACTCTGTTTGTAAAGTCTGCAAGTGGATATTCAGACCTCTTTGAGGCCTTCGTTGGAAACGGGATTTCTTCATATTATGCTAGACAGAAGAATTCTCAGTAACTTCCTTGTGTTGTGTGTATTCAACTGACAGAGTTGAACTTTCATTTAGAGAGAGCAGATTTGAAACACTGTTTTTGTGGCATTTGCAAGTGGAGATTTCAAGCGCTTTGGGGCCAAAGGCAGAAAACGAAATATCTTCGTATAAAAACTAGACAGAATCATTCTCAGAAACTGCTCTGCGATGTGTGCGTTCAACTCTCAGAGTTTAACTTTTCTTTTCATTCAGCAGTTTGGAATCACTCTGTTTGTAAAGTCTGCACGTGGATATTTTGACCACTTAGAGGCCTTCGTTGGAAACGGGTTTTTTTCCTGTAAGGCTAGACAGAAGAATTCTCAGTAACTTCCTTGTGTTGTGTGTATTCAACTCACAGAGTTGAACGATCCTTTACACAGAGCAGACTTGTAACACTCATTTTGTGGAATTTGCAAGTGGAGATTTCAGCCACTTTGAAGTCAAAGGTAGAAAAGGAAATAACTTCCTATAAAAACTAGACAGAATCATTCCCACAAACTGCGTTGTGATGTGTTCGTTCAACTCACAGAGTTTAACCTTTCTGTTCATAGAGCAGTTAGGAAACACTCTGTTTGTAAAGTCTGTAAGTGGATATTCTGACATCTTGTGGCCTTCTTTGGAAACGGGATTTCTTCATATTCTGCTAGACAGAATAATTCTCAGTAACTTCTTTGTGTTGTGTGTATTCAACTCACAGAGTTGAAGGATCCTTTACAGAGAGCAGGCTTGAAACACTCTTTTTGTCGAATTTGCAAGTGGAGATTTCAGCCGCTTTGAGGTCAATGGTTGAATAGGAAATAGCTTCTTATAGAAACTAGACAGAATGATTCTCAGAAACTCCTTTGTGATGTGTGCGTTCAACTCACAGAGTTTAACCTTTCTTTTCATAGCGCAGTTGGGAAACACTCTGTTTGTAAAGTCTGCAAGTGGATATTCAGACATCCTTGAGGCTTTCGTTGGAAACGGGATTTCTTCATATTCTGCTAGAAAGAAGAATTCTCAGTAACTTCCTTGTGTTGTGTGTATTCAACTCACAGAGTTGAACGATCCTTTACACAGAGCAGACTTGAAACACTCTTTTTGTGGAATTTACAAGTGGAGATTTCAGCCGATTTGAGGTCAATGGTAGAAAAGGAAATATCTTCCTATAGAAACTAGACAGAATGATTCTCAGAAACTCCTTTGTGATGTGTGCGTTCAACTCACAGAGTTCAACCTTTCTTTTCATAGAGCAGTTGGGAAACACTCTGTTTGTAAAGTCTGCAAGTGGATATTCAGACCTCCTTGAGGCCTTCGTTGGCAACGGGATTTCTTCATATTCTGCTAGACAGAAGAATTCTCAGTAACTTCCTTGTGTTGTGTGTATTCAACTCACAGAGTTGAACGATCCTTTACACAGAGCCGACTTGAAACACTCTTTTTGTGGAATTTGCAAGTGGAGATTTCAGCCGCTTTGAGTTCAATGGTAGAATAGGAAATATCTTCCTATAGAAACTAGACAGAAAGATTCTCAGAAACTCCTTCGTGATGTGTGCGTTCAACTCACAGAGTTTAACCTTTCTTTTCAGAGAGCAGTTAGGAAACACTCTGTTTGTAAAGTCTGCAAGTGGATATTCAGACCTCTTTGAGGCCTTCGTTGGAAACGGGATTTCTTCATATTCTGCTAGACAGAAGAATTCCCAGTAACTTCCTTGTGTTGTGTGTGTTCAACTCACAGAGTTGAACTTTCATTTACACAGAGCAGATTTGAAACACTCTTTTTGTGGAATTTGCAAGTGGAGATTTCAAGCGATTTGAGGCCAAAGGCAGAAAAGGAAATATCTTCGTATAAAAAGTAGACAGAATCATTCTCAGAAACTGCTCTGAGATGTGTGCATTCAACTCTCAGAGTTTAACTTTTCTTTTCATTCAGCAGTTTGGAAACACTCTGTTTGTAAAGTCTGCACGTGGATAATTTGACCACTTAGAGGCCTTCGTTGGAAACGGGTTTTTTTCATGTAAGGCTAGACAGAAGAATTCCCAGTAACTTCCTTGTGTTGTGCGCATTCAACTCACAGAGTTGAACGTTCCCTTAGACAGAGCAGATTTGAAACACTCTATTTGTGCAATTTCCAAGTGTAGATTTCAAGCGCTTTAAGGTCAACGGCAGAAAAGGAAATATCCTTCGTTTCAAAACTAGACAGAATCATTCCCACAAACTGCGTTGTGATGTGTTCGTTCAACTCACAGTAGTTTAACCTTTCTTTTCATAGAGCAGTTAGGAAACAGTCTGTTTGTCAATTCTGTAAGTGGATATTCTGACATCTTGTGGCCTTCGTTGGAAACGGGATTTCTTCATATTCTCCTAGACAGAAGAATTCTCAGTAACTTCCTTGTGTTGTGTGTATTCAACTCACAGAGTTGAAAGATCCTTTACACAGAGCAGACTTGAAACACTCTTTTTGTGGAATTTGCAAGTGGAGATTTCAGCCGCTTTGATGTCACTGGTAGAAAAGGAAATATCTTCGTATAAAGACTAGACAGAATGATTCTCAGAAACTCCTTTGTGATGTGTGCGTTCAACTCACAGAGTTTAACCTTTCTTTTCATAGAGCAGTTAGGAAACACTCTGTTTGTAAAGTCTGCAAGTGGATATTCAGACCTCTTTGAGGAAATCGTTGGAAACGGGATTTCTTCACATTCTGCTAGACAGAAGAATTCCCAGTAACTTCCTTGTGTTGTGTGTGTTCAACTCACAGAGTTGAACTTTCATTTACACAGAGCAGATTTGAAACACTCTTTTTGTGGAATTTGTAAGTGGAGATTTCAAGCGCTTTGAGGCCAAAGGCAGAAAAGGAAATATCTTCGTTTCAAAACTAGACAGAATCATTCTCAGAAACTGCTGCGTGATGTGTGCTTTCAACTCTCAGAGTTTAACTTTTCTTTTCATTCAGCGGTTTGGAAACACTCTGTTTGTAAAGTCTGCACGTGGATATTTTGACCACTTAGAGGCCTTCGTTGGAAACGGGTTTTTTTCATGTAAGGGTAGACAGAATAATTCTCAGTAACTTCCTTGTGTTGTGTGTATTCTACTCACAGAGTTGAACGATCCTTTACACAGAGCAGACTTGAAACACTCTTTTTGTGGAATTTGCAAGTGGATATTTCAGCCGCTTTGAGGTCAATGGTAGAATAGGAAATATCTTCCTATAGAAACTAGACCGAATGATTCTCAGAAACTCCTTTGTGATGTGTGCGTTCAACTCACAAGAGTTTAACCTTTCTTTTCTTAGAGCAGTTAGGAAACACTCTGTTTGTAAAGTCTGCAAGTGGATATTCAGACCTCCTTGAGGCCTTCGTTGGAAACGGGTTTTTTTCATATAAGGCTAGACAGAAGAATTCCCAGTAACTTCCTTGTGCTGTGTGTGTTCAACTCACAGAGTTGAACTTTCATTTACACAGAGCAGATTTGAAACACTCTTTTTGTGGAATTTGCAAGTGGAGATTTCAAGCGCTTTGAGGCCAAAGGCAGAAAAGGAAATATCTTCGTTTCAAAACTAGACAGAATCATTCTCAGAAAATCCTCTGTGATGTGTGCGTTCAACTCTCAGAGTTTAACTTTTCTTTTCATTCAGCAGTTTGGAAACACTCTGTTTGTAAAGTCTGCACGTGGATATTTTGACCACTTACAGGCCTTCGTTGGAAACGGGTTTTTTCATGTAAGGGTAGACAGAAGAATTCCCAGGAACTTCCTTGTGTTGTGTACATTCAACTCACAGAGTTGAACGTTCCCTTAGACAGAGCAGATTTGAAACACTCTTTTTGTGCAATTGGCAAGTGGTGATTTCAGCCGCTTTGAGGTCAATGGTAGAAAAGGAAATATCTTCGTAGAAAAACTAGACAGAATGATTCTCAGAAACTCCTTTGTGATGTGTGCGTTCAACTCACAGAGTTTAACCTTTCTTTTCATAGAGCAGTTAGGAAACACTCTGTTTGTAAAGTCTGCAAGTGGATATTCAGACCTCCTTGAGGCCTTCGTTGGAAACGGGATTTCTTCATATTCTGCTAGATAGAAGAATTCTCAGTAACTTCCTTGTGTTGTGTGTATTCAACTTACAGAGTTGAACGATTCTTTACACAGAGCAGACTTGAAACACTCTTTTTGTGGAATTTGCAAGTGGAGATTTCAGCCGCTTTGAGGTCAATGGTAGAAAAGGAAATATCTTCGTATAAAGACTAGACAGAATGATTCTCAGAAACTCCTTTGTGCTGTGTGCGTTCAACTCACAGAGTTTAACCTTTCTTTTCATAGAACAGATAGTAAACACTCTGTTTGTAAAGTCTGCAAGTGGATATTCAGACATCTTTGAGGCTTTCGTTGGAAACGGGATTTCTTCATATTCTGCTAGACAGAATAATTCTCAGTAACTTCCTTGTGTTGTGTGTATTCAACTCACAGAGTTGAACGATCCTTTACACAGAGCAGACTTGAAACACTCTTTTTGTGGAATTTGCAAGTGGAGATTTCAGCCGCGTTGAGGTCAATGGTAGAATAGGAAATATCTTCCTATAGAAACTAGACAGAATCATTCTCAGAAACTGCTGCGTGATGTGTGCGTTCAACTCTCAGAGTTTAACTTTTCTTTTCATTCAGCGGTTTGGAAACACTCTGTTTGTAAAGTCTGCACAGTGGATATTTTGACCACTTAGAGGCCTTCGTTGGAAACGGGTTTTTTTCAAGTAAGGCTAGACAGAAGAATTCCCAGTAACTTCCTTGTGTTGTGTACATTCAACTCACAGAGTTGAACGTTCCCTTAGACAGAGCAGATTTGAAACACTCTTTTTGCGCAATTGGCAAGTGGAGATTTCAAGCGCTTTAAGATCAATGGCAGAAAAGGAAATATCTTCGTTTCAAAACTAGACAGAATGATTCTCAGAAACTCCTTTGTGATGTGTTCGTTCAACTCACAGAGTTTAACCTTTCTTTTCATAGAGCAGTTAGGAAACACTCTGTTTGTAAAGTCTGCAAGTGGATATTCAGACATCCTTGAGGCTTTCGTTGGAAACGGGATTTCTTCATATTCTGCTAGAAAGAAGAATTCTCAGTAACTTCCTTGTGTTGTGTGTATTCAGCTCACAGAGTTGAACGATCCTTTACACAGAGCAGACTTGAAACACTCTTTTTGTGGAATTTGCAAGTGGAGATTTCAGCCGCTTTGAGGTCAATGGTAGAATAGGAAATATCTTCCTATAGAAACTAGACAGAATGATTCTCAGAAAAACCTTTGTGATGTGTGTGTTCAACTCACAGAGTTTAACCTTTCTTTTCATAGAGCAGTTAGGAAACACTCTGTTTTTAAAGTCTGCAAGTGGATATTGAGACCTCTTTCAGGCCTTCGTTGGAAACGGGATTTCTTCATATTATGCTAGACAGAAGAATTCTCAGTAACTTCCTTGCGTTGTGTGTATTCAACTGACAGAGTTGAACTTTCATTTAGAGAGAGCAGATTTGAAACACTGTTTTTGTCGAATTTCCAATGGAGATTTCAAGCGCTTTGGGGCCAAAGGCAGAAAAGGAAATATCTTCGTATAAAAACTAGACAGAATCATTCTCAGAAACTGCTGCGTGATGTGTGCGTTCAACTCCTCAGAGTTTAACTTTTCTTTTCATTCAGCGGTTTGGAAACACTCTGTTTGTAAAGTCTGCACGTGGAAATTTTGACCACTTAGAGGCCTTCGTTGGAAACGGGTTTTTTTCATGTAAGGCTAGACAGAAGAATTCCCAGTAACTTCCTTGTGTTGTGTGCATTCAACTCACAGAGTTGAACGTTCCCTTAGACAGAGCAGATTTGAAACACTCTATTTGTGCAATTTGCAAGTGTAGTTTTCAAGCTCTTTAAGGTCAACGGCAGAAAAGGAAATATCTTCGTTTCAAAACTAGACAGAATCATTCCCACAAACTGCGATGTGATGTGTTCGTTAAACTCACAGAGTTTAACCTTTCTGTTCATAGAGCAGTTAGGAAACACTCTGTTTGGAAAGTCTGTAAGTGGATATTCTGACATCTTGTGGCCTTCGTTGGAAACGGGATTTCTTCATATTCTGCTAGACAGAAGAATTCTCAGAATCTTCCTTGTGTTGTGTGTATTCAACTCAAAGAGTTGAACGATCCTTTACACAGAGCAGACTTGAAACACTCTTTTTGTGGAATTTGCAAGTGGAGATTTCACCCGCTTTGAGGTCCATGGTAGAAAAGGAAATATCTTTGTATAAAAACTAGACAGAATGATTCTGAGAAACTCCTTTGTGATGTGTGCGTTCAACTCACAGAGTTTAACCTTTCTTTTCATAGAGCAGTTAGGAAACACTCTGTTTGTAAAGTCTGCAAGTGGATATTCAGACCTCTTTGAGGCCTTCGTTGGAAACGGGATTTCATCATATTCTGCTAGACAGAAGAATTCTCATTAACTTCCTTGTGTTGTGTGTATTCAACTCACAGAGTTGAACGATCCTTTACACAGAGCGGACTTGAAACACTCTTTTTGTGTAATTTGCAAGTGGAGATTTCAGCCGCGTTGAGGTCAATGGTAGAAAAGGAGATCTCTTCGTATAAAAACTAGACAGAATGATTCTCAGAAACTCCTTTGAGATGTGTGCGCTCAACTCACAGAGTTTAACCTTTCTTTTTATAGAGCAGTTAGGAAACACTCTGTTTGTAAAGTCTGCAAGTGGATATTCAGACCTCTTTGAGGCCTTCGTTGGAAACGGGTTTTTTTCATATAAGGCTAGACAGAAGAATTCCCAGTAACTTCCTTGTGTTGTGTGCATTCAACTCACAGAGATGAACGTTCGCTTAGACAGAGCAGATTTGAAACACTCTATTTGTGCAATTTGCAAGTGTAGATTTCAAGCGCTTTAAGGTCAATGGCAGAAAAGGAAATATCTTCGTTTCAAAACTAGACAGAATCATTCCCACAAACTGCGTTGTGATGTATTCGTTCAACTCACAGAGTTTAACCTTTCTGTTCATAGAGCAGTTAGGAAACACTCTGTTTGTAAAGTCTGTAAGTGGATATTCTGACATCTTGTGGCCCTTCGTTGGAAACGGGATTTCTTCATATTCTGCTAGACAGAAGAATTCCCAGTAACTTCCTTGTGTTGTGTGTATTCAACTCACAGAGTTGAACGATCCTTTACACAGAGCAGACTTGAAACACTCTTTTTGTGGAATTTGCAAGTGGAGATTTCAGCCGCTTTGAGGTCAATGGTAGAAAAGGAAATATCTTCGTAGAAAAACTAGACAGAATGATTCTCAGAAACTCCTTTGTGATGTGTGTGTTCAACTCACAGAGTTTAACCTTTCTTTTCATAGGGCAGTTAGGAAACACTCTGTTTGTAAAGTCTGCAAGTGGATATTCAGACCTCCTAGAGGCCTTCGTTGGAAACGGGATTTCTTCATATTCTGCTACACAGAAGAATTCCCAGTAACTTCCTTGTGTTGTGTGTGTTCAACTCACAGAGTTGAACTTTCATTTACCCAGAGCAGATTTGAAACACTCTTTTAGTGGAATTTGCAAGTGGAGATTTCAAGCGCTTTGAGGCCAAAGGCAGAAAAGGAAATATCTTCGTTTCAAAATTAGACAGAATCATTCTCAGAAACTGCTGCGTGATGTGTGCGTTCAACTCTCAGAGTTTAACTTTTCTTTTCATTCAGCGGTTTGGAAACACTCTGTTTGTAAAGTCTGCACGTGGTTATTTTGACCACTTAGACGCCTTCGTTGGAAACGGGTTTTTTTCATGTAAGGCTAGACAGAAGAATTCCCAGTAACTTCCTTGTGTTGTGTGCATTCAACTCACAGAGTTGAACGTTCCGTAGACAGAGCAGATTTGAAACACTCTATTTGTGCAATTTGCAAGTGTAGATTTCAAGCGCTTTAAGGTCAATGGCAGAAAAGGAAATATCTTCGTTTCAAAACTAGACAGAATGATTCTCAGAAAATCTTTTGTGATGCGTGCGTTCAACTCACAGAGTTTAACTTTTCTTCTCATAGAGCAGTTAGGAAACACTCTGTTTGTAAAGTCTGCAAGTGGATATTCAGACCTCTTTGAGGCCTTCGTTGGAAACGGGATTTCTTCATATTATGCTAGACAGAATAATTCTCAGTAACTTCCTTGTGTTGTGTGTATTCAACTCACAGAGTTGAAGGATCCTTTACAGAGAGCAGGCTTGAAACACTCTTTTTGTCGAATTTGCAAGTGGAGAATTCAGCCGCTTTGAGGTCAATGGTAGAATAGGAAATATCTTCTTATAGAAACTAGACAGAATGATTCTCAGAAACTCCTTTGTGATGTGTGCGTTCAACACACAGAGTTCAAACTTTCTTTTCATAGAGCAGTTGGGAAAAACTCTGTTTGTAAAGTCTGCAAGTGGATATTCAGACTTCTTTGAGGCCTTCGTTGGAAGCGGGATTTCTTCATATTCTGCTAGACAGAAGAATTCTCAGTAACCTCCTTGTGTTGCGTGCATTCAACTGACAGGGTTGAAATTTCATTTAGACAGAGCAGATTTGAAACACTGTTTTTGTGGAATTTGCAAGTGGAGATGTCAAGCGCTTTGGGGCCAAAGGCAGAAAAGGAAATATCTTCGTATAAAAACTAGACAGAATCATTCTCAGAAACTGCTCTGCGATGTGTGCGTTCAACTCTCAGAGTTTAACTTTTCTTTCCATTCAGCAGTTTGGAAACACTCTGTTTGTAAAGTCTGCACGTGGATAATTTGACTACTTAGAGGCCTTCGTTGGAAACGGGTTTTTTTCCTGTAAGGCTAGAGAGAAGAATTCCCAGTAACTTTCTTGTGTTGTGTACATTCAACTCACAGAATTGAACGTTCCCTTAGACAGAGCAGATTTGAAACACTCTGTTTGTGCAATTGGCAAGTGGTGATTTCATCCGCTTTGAGGTCAATGGTAGAAAAGGAAATATCTTCGTATAAAAACTAGACAGAATCTTTCCCACAAACTGCCTTGTGATGTGTTCGTTCAACTCACAGAGTTTAACCTTTCTGTTCATAGAGCAGTTAGGAAACACTCTGTTTGTAAAGTCTGCAAGTGGATATTCAGACCTCCTTGAGGCCTTCGTTGGAAACGGGATTTCTTCATATTCTGCTAGACAGAATAATTCTCAGTAACTTCCTTGTGTTGTGTGTTTTCAACTCACAGAGTTGAACGATCCTTTACACAGAGCAGACTTGAAACACTCTTTTTGTGGAATTTGCAAGTGGAGATTTCAGCCGCTTTGAGGTCAATGGTAGAATAGGAAATATCTTCCTATAGAAACTAGACAGAATGATTCTCAGAAACTCCTTTGTGATGTGTGCGTTCAACTCACAGAGTTTAACCTTTCTTTTCATAGAGCAGTTAGGAAACACTCTGTTTTTATAGTCTGCAAGTGGATATTCAGACATCTTTGAGGCCTTCGTTGGAAACGTGATTTCTTCATATTCTGCTATACAGAAGAATTCTCAGAAACTTCCTTGTGTTGTGTGTTTTCAACTCACAGAGTTGAACGATGCTTTACACAGAGTAGACTTGAAACACTCTTTTTGTGTAATTTGCAAGTAGAGATTTCAGCCGCTTTGAGGTCAATGGTAGAAAAGGAAATATCTTCGTATAAAAACTAGACAGAATCATTCTCAGAAACTGCTGCGTGATGTGTGCGTTCAACTCTCAGAGTTTAACTTTTCTTTTCATTCAGCGGTTTGGAAACACTCTGTTTGTAAAGTCTGCACGTGGATATTTTGACCACTTAGAGGCCTTCGTTGGAAACGGGTTTTTTTTCATGTAAGGCTAGACAGAAGAATTCCCAGTAACTTCCTTGTGTTGTGTGCATTCAACTCACAGAGTTGAACGTTCCCTTAGACAGAGCAGATTTGAAACACTCTATTTGTGCAATTTGAAAGTGTAGATTTCAAGCGCTTTAAGGTCAACGGCAGAAAAGGAAATATCTTCGTTTCAAAACTAGACAGAATCATTCCCACAAACTGCGTTGTGATGTGTTCGTTCAACTCACAGAGTTTTACCTTTCTGTTCATAGAGCAGTTAGGAAACACTCTGTTTGTAAAGTCTGCAAGTGGATATTCAGACCTCCTAGAGGCCTTCGTTGGAAACGGGATTTCTTCATATTCTGCTAGACAGAAGAATTCTCAGTAACTTCCTTGTGTTGTGTGTATTCAACTCACAGAGTTGAACGATCCTTTACACAGAGCAGACTTGAAACACTCTTTTTGTGGAATTTGCAAGTGGAGATTTCAGCCGCTTTGAGGTCAATGGTAGAATAGGAAATATCTTCTTATAGAAACTAGACAGAATGATTCTCAGAAACTCCTTTGTGATGTGTGCGTTCAACTCACAGAGTTTAACCTTTCTTTTCATAGAGCAGTTAGGAAACACTCCGTTTGTAAAGTCTGCAAGTGGATATTCAGACCTCTTTGAGGCCTTCGTTGGAAACGGGTTTTTTTCATATAAGGCTAGACAGAAGAATTCTCAGTAACTTCCTTGTGTTGTGTGTATTCAACTCACAGAGTTGAACGATCTTTTACACAGACCAGACTTGAAACACTCTTTTTGTGGAATTTGCAAGTGGAGATTTCAGCCGCTTTGAGGTCAATGGTAGAATAGGAAATATCTTCCTATAGAAACTAGACAGAATCATTCTCAGAAACTCCTTTGTGATGTGTGCGTTCAACTCACAGAGTTTAACCTTTCTTTTCATAGAGCACTTAGGAAACACTCTGTTTGTAAAGTCTGCAAGTGGATATTCAGACCTCCTTGAGGCCTTCGTTGGAAACGGGATTTCTTCATATTATGCTAGACAGAAGAATTCTCAGTAACTTCCTTGTGTTGTGTGTATTCAACTGACAGAGTTGAACTTTCATTTAGAGAGAGCAGATTTGAAACACTGTTTTTGTGGAATTTGTAAGTGGAAATTTCAAGCGCTTTGGGGCCAAAGGCAGAAAAGGAAATATCTTCGTATAAAAACTAGACAGAATCATTCTCAGAAACTGCTCTGCGATGTGTGCGTTCAACTCTCAGAGTTAAACTTTTCTTTTCATTCAGCAGTTTGGAAACACTCTGTTTGTAAAGTCTGCACGTGGATAATTTGACCACTTAGAGGCCTTCGTTGGAAACGGTTTTTTTTAATGTAAGGCTAGACAGAAGAATTCCCAGTAACTTCCTTGTGTTGTGTGCATTCAACTCACAGAGTTGAACGTTCCCTTAGACAGAGCAGATTTGAAACACTCTATTTGTGCAATTTGCAAGTGTAGATTTCAAGCGCTTTAAGGTCAATGGCAGAAAAGGAAATATCTTCGTTTCAATACTAGACAGAATGATTCTCAGAAACTCCTTTGTGATGTGTGCGTTCAAGTCGCAGAGTTTAACCTTTCTTTTCATAGAGCAGTTAGGAAACACTCTGTTTGTAAAGTGTGCAAGTGGATATTCAGACCTCTTTGAGGCCTTCGTTGGAAACGGGATTTCTTCATATTCTGCTAGACAGAAGAATTCTCAGTAACTTCCTTGTGTTGTGTGTATTCAACTCACAGAGTTCAACGATCCTTTACACAGAGCAGACTTGAAAAAATCTTTTTGTGGAATTTGCAAGTGGAGATTTCAGCCGCTTTGAGGTCAATGGTAGAAAAGGAAATATCTTCGTATAAAAACTAGACAGAATGATTCTCAGAAACTCCTTTGTGATGTGTGCGTTCAACTCACAGAGTTTCACCTTTCTTTTCATAGAGCAGTTAGGAAACACTCTGTTTGTAAAGTCTGCAAGTGGATATTCAGACCTCCTTGAGGGCTTCGTTGGAAACGGGATTTCTTCATATTCTGCTAGACAGAAGAATTCCCAGTAACTTCCTTGTGTTGTGTGTGTTCAACTCACAGAGTTGAACTTTCATTTACACAGAGCAGATTTGAAACACTCTTTTTGTGGAATTTGCAAGTGGAGATTTCAAGCGCTGTGAGGCCAAAGGCAGAAAAGGAAATATCTTCGTATAGAAACTAGACAGAATCATTCTCAGAAACTGCTGCGTGATGTGTGCGTTCAACTCACAGAGTTTAACTTTTCTTTTCATTCAGCGGTTTGGAAACACTCTGTTTGTAATGTCTGCACGTGGATATTTTGACCACTTAGAGGCCTTCGTTGGAAACGGGATTTTTTCATGTAAGGCTAGACAGAAGAATTCCCAGTAACTTCCTTGTGTTGTGTACATTCAACTCACAGAGTTGAACGTTCCCTTAGACAGAGCAGATTTGAAACACTCTTTTTGTGCAATTGGCAAGTGGAGATTTCAAGCGCTTTAAGGTCAATGGCAGAAAAGGAAATATCTTCGTTTCAAAACTAGAGAGAATCATTCCCACAAACTGCGTTGTGATGTGTTCGTTCAACTCACAGAGTTTAACCTTTCTGTTCATAAAGCAGTTAGGAAACACTCTGTTTGTAAAGTCTGTAAGTGGATATTCTGACATCTTGTGGCCTTCGTTGGAAACGGGATTTCTTCATATTCTGCTAGACAGAAGAATTCTCAGTAACTTCCTTGTGTTGTGTGTATTCAACTCACAGATTTGAACGATCCTTTACACAGAGCAGTCTTGAAACACTCTTTTTGTGGAATTTGCAAGTGGAGATTTCAGCCGCTTTGAGGTCAATAGTAGAAAAGGAAATATCTTCGTAGAAAAACTAGACAGAATGATTCTCAGAAAATCTTTTGTGATGTGTGCGTTCAACTCACAGAGTTTAACTTTTCTTCTCATAGAGCAGTTAGGAAACACTCTGTTTGTAAAGTCTGCAAGTGGATATTCAGACCTCTTTGAGGCCTTCGGTGGAAACGGGATTTCTTCATATTATGCTAGACAGAAGAATTCTCAGTAACTTCCTTGTGTTGTGTGTGTTCAACTCACAGAGTTGAACTTTCATTTACACAGAGCAGACTTTAAACACTCTTTTTGTGGAATTTGCAAGTGGAGATTTCAAGCGCTTTGAGGCCAAAGGCAGAAAAGGAAATATCTTCGTATAAAAACTAGACAGAATCATTCTCATAAACTGCTGCGTGATGTGTGCCTTCAACTCTCAGAGTTTAACTTTTCTTTTCATTCAGCGGTTTGGAAACACTCTGTTTGTAAAGTCTGCACGTGGATATTTTTGACCACTTAGAGGCCTTCGTTGGAAACGGGTTTTTTTCATGTAAGGCTAGACGGAAGAATTCCCAGTAACTTCCTTGTGTTGTGTGCATTTAACTCACAGAGTTGAACGTTCCCTTAGACAGAGCAGATTTGAAACACTCTATTTGTGCAATTTGCAAGTGTAGATTTCAAGCGCTTTAAGGTCAATGGCAGAAAAGGAAATATCTTCGTTTCAAAACTAGACAGATAATCATTCCCACAAACTGCGTTGTGATGTGTTCGTTCAACTCACAGAGTTTAACCTTTCTTTTCATAGAGCAGTTAGGAAACAGTCTGTTTGTAAATTCTGTAAGTGGATATTCTGACATCTTGTGGCCTTCGTTGGAAACGGGATTTCTTCATATTCTGCTAGACAGAAGAATTCTCAGTAACTTCGTTGTGTTGTGTGTATTCAACTCACAGAGTTGAACGATCCTTTACACAGAGCAGACTTGAAACACTCTTTTTGTGGAATTTGCAAGTGGAGATTTCAGCCGCTTTGAGGTCAATGGTAGAATAGGAAATATCTTCCTATAGAAACTAGACAGAATGATTCTCAGAAACTGCTTTGTGATGTATGCGTTCAACTCACAGAGTTCAACCATTCTGTTCATAGAGCAGTTAGGAAACACTCTGTTTGTAAAGTCTGCAAGTGGATATTCAGACCTCTTTGAGGCCTTCGTTGGAAACGGGATTTCTTCATATTCTGCTAGACAGAAGAATTCTCAGTAACTTCCTTGTGTTGTGTGTATTCAACTGACAGAGTTGAACTTTCATTTAGAGAGAGCAGATTTGAAACACTGTTTTTGTGGAATTTGCAATTGGAGATTTCAAGCGCTTTGGGGCCAAGGGCAGAAAAGGAAATATCTTCGTATAAAAACTAGACAGAATCATTCTCAGAAACTGCTGCGTGATGTGTGCGTTCAATTCTGAGAGTTTAACTTTTCTTTTCATTCAGCGGTTTGGAAACACTCTGTTTGTAAAGTCTGCACGTGGAAATTTTGACCACTTAGAGGCCTTCGTTGGAAACGGGTTTTTTTCATGTAAGGCTAGACAGAAGAATTCCCAGTAACTTCCTTGTGTTGTGTGCATTCAACTCACAGAGTTGAACGTTCCCTAAGACAGAGCAGATTTGAAACACTCTATTTGTGCAATTTGCAAGTGTAGATTTCAAGCGCTTTAAGGTCAACGGCAGAAAAGGAAATATCTTCGTTTCAAAACTAGACAGAATCATTCCCACAAACTGCGTTGTGATGTGTGTGTTCAACTCACAGAGTTTCACCTTTCTTTTCATAGAGCAGTTAGGAAACAGTCTGTTTGTCAATTCTGTAAGTGGATATTCTGACATCTTGTGGCCTTCGTTGGAAACGGGATTTCTTCATATTCTGCTAGACAGAAGAATTCTCAGTAACTTCCTTGTGTTGTGTGTATTCAACTCACAGAGTTGAACGATCCTTTACACAGAGTAGACTTGAAACACTCTTTTTGTGGAATTTGCAAGTGGAGATTTCAGCCGCTTTGAGGTCAATGGTAGAAAAGGAAATATCTTCGTATAAAAACTAGACAGAATGATTCTCAGAAACTTCTTTGTGATGTGTGCGTTCAACTCATAGAGTTTAACCTTTCTTTTCATAGAGCAGTTAGGAAACACTCGGTTTGTAAACTCTGCAAGTGGATATTCAGACCTCTTTGAGGCCTTCGTTGGAAACGGGATTTCTTCATACTGTGCTAGACAGAAGAATTCTCAGTAACTTCCCTTGTGTTGTGTGTATTCAACTCACAGAGTTGAACGATCCTTTACACAGAGCGGACTTGAAACACTCTTTTTGTGAAATTTGCAAGTGGAGATTTCAGCCGCGTTGAGGTCAATGGTAGAAAAGGAAATATCTTCGTATAAAAACTAGACAGAATCATTCTCAGAAACTGCTGCGTGATGTGTGCGTTCAACTCTCAGAGTTTAACTTTTCTTTTCATTCAGCGGTTTGGAAACACTCTGTTTGTAAAGTCTGCACGTGGATATTTTGACCACTTAGAGGCCTTCGTTGGAAACGGGTTTTTTTCATGTACGGCTAGACAGAAGAATTCCCAGTAACTTCCTTGTTTTGTGTACATTCAACTCACAGAGTTGAACGTTCCCTTAGATAGAGCAGATTTGAAACACTCTTTTTGTGCAATTGGCAAGTGGTGATTTCAGCCGCTTTGAGGTCAATGGTAGAAAAGGAAATATCTTCGTATAAAAACTAGACAGAATCATTCCCACAAACTGCGTTGTGATGTGTTCGTTCAACTCACAGAGTTTAACCTTTCTGTTCATAGAGCAGTTAGGAAACACTCTGTTTGTAAAGTCTGTAAGTGGATATTCTGACATCTTGTGGCCTTCGTTGGAAACGGGATTTCTTCATATTCTGCTACACAGAAGAATTCTCAGTAACTTCCTTGTGTTGTGTGTATTCAACGCACAGAGTTGAACGATCCTTTACACAGAGCAGACTTGAAACACTCTTTTTGTGGAATTTGCAAGTGGAGATTTCAGCCGCTTTGAGGTCAATGGTAGAAAAGGAAACTATCTTCATATAAAGACTAGACAGAATGATTCTCAGAAACTCCTTTGTGCTGTGTGCGTTCAACTCACAGAGTTTAACCTTTCTTTTCATAGAGCAGTTAGGAAACACTCTGTTTGTAAAGTCTGCAAGTGGATATTCAGACATCTTTGAGGCTTTCGTTGGAAACGGGATTTCTTCATATTCTGCTAGACAGAAGAATTCCCAGTAACATCCTTGTGTTGTGTGTGTTCAACTCACAGAGTTGAACTTTCATTTACACAGAGCAGATTTGAAACACTCTTTTTGTGGAATTTGCAAGTGGAGATTTCAAGCGCTTTGAGGCCAAAGGCAGAAAAGGAAATATCTTCGTTTCAAAACTAGACAGAATCATTCTCAGAATCTGCTGCGTGATGTGTGCGTTCAACTCTCAGAGTTTAACTTTTCTTTTCATTCAGCGGTTTGGAAACACTCTGTTTGTAAAGTCTGCACGTGGAAATTTTGACCACTTAGAGGCCTTCGTTGGAAACGGGTTTTTTTCATGTAAGGCTAGACAGAAGAATTCCCAGTAACTTCCTTGTGTTGTGTGCATTCAACTCACAGAGTTGAACGTTCCCTTAGACAGAGCAGATTTGAAACACTCTATTTGTGCAATTTGCAAGTGTAGTTTTCAAGCTCTTTAAGGTCAACGGCAGAAAAGGAAATATCTTCGTTTCAAAACTAGAGAGAACGATTCTCAGAAACTCCTTTGTGATGTGTGCGTTCACCTCACAGAGTTTAACTTTTCTTTTCATAGAGCAGTTAGTAAACACTCTGTTTGTAAAGTCTGCAAGTGGATATTCAGACCTCTTTGAGGCCTTCGTTGGAAACGGGATTTCTTCATATTCTGCTAGACAGAAAAATTCTCAGTAACTTCCTTGTGTTGTGTGTATTCAACTCACAGAGTTGAACGATCCTTTACACATAGCAGACTTGAAACACTCTTTTTGTGGAATTTGCAAGTGGAGATTTCAGCCGCTTTCAGGTCAATAGTAGAAAAGGAAATATCTTCGTAGAAAAACTAGACAGAATGATTCTCAGAAACTCCTTTGTGATGTGTGTGTTCAACTCACAGAGTTTAACCTTTCTTTTCATAGAGCAGTTAGTAAACACTCTGTTTATAAAGTCTGCAAGTGTATATTCAGACCCCTTTGAGGCCTTCGTTGGAAACGGGATTTCTTCATATTATGCTAGACAGAAGAATTCTCAGAAACTTCCTTGTGTTGTGTGTATTCAACTCACAGAGTTGAACGATCCTTTACACACAGCAGACTTGAGACACTCTTTTTGTGGAATTTGTAAGTGGAGATTTCAGCCGCTTTGAGGTCAATGGTAGAAAAGGAAATATCTTCATATAAAAACTAGACAGAATCATTCTCAGAAACTGCTCTGCGATGTGTGCGTTCAACTCTCAGAGTTTAACTTTGCTTTTCATTCAGCAGTTTGGAAACACTCTGTTTGTAAAGTCTGCACGTGGATATTTTGACCACTTAGAGGCCTTCGTTGGAAACGGGTTTCTTTCCTGTAAGGCTAGATAGAAGAATTCTCAGTAACTTCCTTGTGTTGTGTACATTCAACTCACAGAGTTGAACGTTCCCTTAGACAGAGCAGATTTGAAACACTCTTTTTGTGCAATTGGCAAGTGGTGATTTCAGCCGATTTGAGGTCAATGGTAGAAAAGGAAATATCTTCGTAGAAAAACTAGACAGAATCATTCCCACAAACTGCGTTGTGATGTGTTCGTTCAACTCACAGAGTTTAACCATTCTTTTCATAGAGCAGTTAGGAAACAGTCTGTTTGTAAATTCTGTAAGTGGATATTCTGACATCTTGTGGCCTTCGTTGGAAACGGGATTTCTTCATATTCTGCTAGACAGAAGGATTCTCAGTAACTTCCTTGTGTTGTGTGTATTCAACTCACAGAGTTGAACGATCCTTTACACAGAGCAGACTTGAAACACTCTTTTTGTGGAATTTGCAAGTGCAGATTTCAGCCGCTTTGAGGTCAATGGTAGAAAAGGAGATATCTTCGTATAAAAACTAGACAGAAATGATTCTCAGAAACTCCTTTGTGATGTGTGCGTTCAACTCACAGAGTTTAACCTTTCTGTTCATAGAGCAGTTAGGAAACACTCTGTTTGTAAAGTCTGCAAGTGGATACTCAGAACCTCCTTCAGGCATTCGTTGGAAACGGGATTTCTTCATATTCTGCTAGACAGAAGAATTCTCAGTAACTTCCCTTGTGTTGTGTGTATTCAACTGACAGAGTTGAACTTTCAGTTAGAGAGAGCAGATTTGAAACACTGTTTTTGTGGAATTTGCAAGTGGAGATTTCAAGCGCTTTGGGGCCAAAGGCAGAAAACGAAATATCTTCGTATAAAAAGTAGACAGAATCATTCTCAGAAACTGCTCTGCGATGTGTGCGTTCAACTCTCAGAGTTTAACTTTTCTTTTCATTCAGCAGTTTGGAAACACTCTGTTTGTAAAGTCTGCACGTGGATATTTTGACCAGTTAGAGGCCTTCGTTGGAAACGGGTTTTTTTCCTGTAAGGCTAGACAGAAGAATTCCCAGTAACTTCCTTGTCTTGTGTACATTCAACTCACAGAGTTGAACGTTCCCTTAGACAGAGCAGATTTGAAACACTCTTTTTGTGCAATTGGCAAGTGGAGATTTCAAGCGCTTTAAGGTCAATGGCAGAAAAGGAAATATCTTCGTTTCAAAACTAGAGAGAATCATTCCCAAAAACTGCGTTGTGATGTGTTCGTTCATCTCACAGAGTTTAACCTTTCTTTTCATACAGCAGTTAGGAAACAGTCTGTTTGTAAATTCTGTAAGTGGATATTCTGACATCTTGTGGCCTTCGTTGGAAACGGGATTTCTTCATATTCTGCTAGACAGAAGAATTCTCAGTAACTTCCTTGTGTTGTGTGTATTCAACTCACAGAGTTGAACGATCCTTTACACAGGGCGGACTTGAAACACTCTTTTTGTGGAATTTGCAATTGGAGATTTCAGCCGCTTTGAGGTCAATGGTAGAAAAGGAAATATCTTCGTATAAAAACTAGACAGAATGATTCTCAGAAACTTCATTGTGACGTGTGCGTTCAACTCACAGAGTTTAACATTTCTTTTCATAGAGCAGTTAGGAAACACTCTGTTTGTAAAGTCTGCAAGTGGATATTCAGACCTCTCTGAGGCCTTCGTTGGAAACGGGATTTCTTCATACTGTGCCAAACAGAAGAATTCCCAGTAACTTCCTTGTGTTGTGTGTGTTCAACTCACAGAGTTGAACTTTCATTTACACAGAGCAGATTGGAAACACTCTTTTTGTGGAATTTGCAAGTGGAGATTTCAAGCGCTTTGAGACCAAAAGCAGAAAAGGAAATATCTTCGTATAAAAACTAGACAGAATCATTCTCAGAACCTGCTCTGCGATGTGTGCGTTCAACTCTCAGAGTTTAACTTTTCTTTTCATTCAGCAGTTTGGAAACACTCTGTTTCTAAAGTCTGCACGTGGATATTTTGACCACTTAGAGGCCTTCGTTGGAAACGGGTTTTTTTCCTGTAAGGCTTGACAGAAGAATTCCCAGTAACTTCCTTGTGTTGTGTACATTCAACTCACAGAGTTGAACGTTCCCTTAGACAGAGCAGATTTGAAACACTCTTTTTGTGCAATTGGCAAGTGGTGATTTCAGCCGCTTTGAGGTCAATGGTAGAAAAGGAAATATCTTCGTATAAAAACTAGACAGAATGATTCTCAGAAACTTCATTGTGATGTGTGCGTTCAACTCACAGAGTTTAACCTTTCTTTTCATAGAGCAGTTAGGAAACACTCTGTTTGTAAACTCTGCAAGTGGATATTCAGACCTCTTTGCTGCCTTCGTTGGAAACGGGATTTATTCATACTGTGCTAGACAGAAGAATTCTCAGTAACTTCCTTCTGTTGTGTGTATTCAACTCACAGAGTTGAACGATCCTTTACACAGAGCGGACTTGAAACACTCTTTTTGTGGAATTTGCAAGTGGAGATTTCAGCCGCGTTGAGGTCAATGGTAGAAAAGGAAATATCTTCGTATAAAAATTAGACAGAATGATTCTCATAAACTCCTTTGTGATGTGTGCATTCAACTCACAGAGTTTCACCTTTCTTTTCATAGAGCAGTTGGGAAACACTCTGTTTGTAAAGTCTGCAAGTAGATATTCAGACCTCCTTGAGGCCTTCGTTGGAAACGGGATTTCTTCATATTCTGCTAGACAGAAGAATTCTCAGTAACTTCCTTGTGTTGTGTGTATTCAACTGACAGAGTTGAACTTTCATTTAGAGAGAGCAGATTTGAAACACTGTTTTTGTGGAAGTTGCAAGTGGAGATTTCAAGCGCTTTGGGGCCAAGGGCAGAAAAGGAAATATCTTCGTATAAAAACTAGACAGATAATCATTCTCAGAAACTGCTCTGCGATGTGTGCGTTCAACTCTCAGAGTTTAACTTTTCTTTTCATTCAGCAGTTTGGAAACACTCTGTTTGTAAAGTCTGCACGTGGATATTTTGACCATTTAGAGGCCTTCGTTGGAAACGGGTTTTTTTCTTGTAAGGCTAGACAGAAGAATTCCCAGGAACTTCCTTGTGTTGTGTACATTCAACTCACAGAGTTGAACGTTCCCTTAGACAGAGCAGATTTGAAACACTCTTTTTGTGCAATTGGCAAGTGGTGATTTCAGCCGCTTTGAGGTCAATGGTAGAAAAGGAAATATCTTCGTATAAAAACTAGACAGAATCATTCCCACAAACTGCGTTGTGATGTGTTCGTTCAACTCACAGAGTTTAACCTTTCTTTTCATAGAGTAGTTAGGAAACACTCTGTTTGTAAAGTCTGCAAGTGGATATTCAGACCTCTTTGAGGCCTTCGTTGGAAACGGGATTTCTTCATGTTCTGCCAGACAGAATAATTCTCAGTAACTTCCTTGTGTTGTGTGTATTCTACTCACAGAGTTGAACGATCCTTTACACAGAGCAGACTTGAAACACTCTTTTTGTGGAATTTGCAAGTGGAGATTTCAGCCGCTTTGAGGTCAATGGTAGAATAGGAAATATCATCCTATAGAAACTAGACCGAATGATTCTCAGAAACTCCTTTGTGATATGTGCTTTCAACTCATAGAGTTCAACCTTTCTTTTCATAGAGCACTTGGGAAACACTCTGTTTGTAAAGTCTGCAAGTGGATATTCAGACTTCTTTGAGGCCTTCGTTGGAAGCGGGATTTCTTCATGTTCTGCTAGACAGAAGAATTCTCAGTAACTTACCTTGTGTTGTGTGTATTCAACTCACAGAGTTGAATGATCCTTTACACAGAACAGTCTTGAAACACTCTTTTTGTGGAATTTGCTAGTGGAGATTTCAGCCGCTTTGATGTCAATGGTAGAATAGGAAATATCTTCCTATAGAAACTAGACAGAATGATTCTCAGAAACTCCTTTGTGATGTGTGTGTTCAACTCACAGAGTTTAACCTTTCTTTTCATAGAGCAGTTAGGAAACACTCTGTTTGTAAAGTCTGCAAGTGGATATTCAGACCTTTTTGAGACCTTCGTTGGAAACGGGATTTTTTCATATAAGGCTAGACAGAAGAATTCCCAGTAACTTCCTTGTGTTGTGTGTGTTCAACTCACAGAGTTGAACTTTGATTTACACAGAGCAGATTTGAAACACTCTTTTTGTGGAATTTGCAAGTGGAGATTTCAAGCGCTTTGAGGCCAAAGGCAGAAAAGGAAATATCTTCGTATGAAAACTAGACAGAATCATTCTCAGAAACTGCTGCGTGATGTGTGCGTTCAACTCTCAGAGTTTAACTTTTCTTTTCATTCAGCGGTTTGGAAACACTCTGTTTGTAAATTCTGCACGTGGAAATTTTGACCACTTAGAGGCCTTCGTTGGAAACGGGTTTTTTTCATGTAAGGCTAGACAGAAGAATTCCCAGTAACTTCCTTGTGTTGTGTACATTCAACTCACAGAGTTGAACGTTCCCTTAGACAGAGCAGATTTGAAACACTCTTTTTGTGCAATTGGCAAATGGAGATTTCAAGCGCTTTAAGGTCAATGGCAGAAAAGGAAATATCATCGTTTCAAAACTAGACAGAATCATTCCCACAAACTGCGTTGTGATGTGTTCGTTCAACTCACAGAGTTTAACCTTTCTGTTCATAGAGCAGTTAGGAAACACTCTGTTTGTAAAGTCTGAAAGTGGATATTCTGACATCCTTGTGGCCTTCGTTGGGAACGGGATTTCTTCATATTCTGCTAGACAGAAGAATTCTCAGTAACTTCCTTGTGTTGTGTGTATTCAACTCACAGAGTTGAACGATCCTTTACACAGAGCAGACTTGAAACACTCTTGTTGTGTAATTTGCAAGTGGAGATTTCAGCCGCTTTGAGGTCAATGGTAGAATAGGAAATATCTTCCTATAGAAACTAGACAGAATGATTCTCAGAAACTCCTTTGTGATGTGTGCGTTCAACTCACAGAGTTTAACCTTTCTTTTCATAGAGCAGTTAGGAAACACTCTGTTTGTAAAGTCTGCAAGTGGATATACAGACCTCTTTGAGGCCTTCGTTGGAAACCGGATTTCTTCATATTCTGCTAGAGAGAAGAATTCTCAGTAACTTCCTTGTGTTGTGTGTATTCAACTTACAGAGGTGAACGATCCTTTACACAGAGCAGACTTGAAACACTCTTTTTGTGGAATTTGCAAGTGGAGATTTCAGCCGCTTTGAGGTCAATGGTAGAAAAGGAAATATCTTCGTATAAAAACTAGACAGAATGATTCTCAGAAACTCCTTTGTGATGTGTGTGTTCAACTCACAGAGTTTAACCTTTCTTTTCATAGAGCAGTTAGGAAACACTCTGTTTGTAAAGTCTGCAAGTGGATATTTTGACCTCTTTGAGGCCTTCGTTGGAAACGGGTTTTTTCATGTAAGGCTAGACAGAAGAATTCTCAGTAACTTCCTTGTGTTGTGTGTATTCAACTGACAGAGTTGAACTATCATTTAGAGAGAGCAGATTTGAAACACTGTTTTTGTGGAATTTGCAAGTGGAGATTTCAAGCGCTTTGGGGCCAAAGGCAGAAAAGGAAATATCTTCGTATAAAAACTAGACACAATCATTCTCAGAAACTGCTCTGCGAAGTGTGCGTTCAACTCTCAGAGTTTAACTTTTCTTTTCATTCAGCAGTTTGGAAACACTCTGTTTGTAAAGTCTGCACGTGGATAATTTGACCACTTAGAGGCCTTAGTTGGAAACGGGTTTTTTTCATGTAAGGCTAGACAGAAGAATTCCCAGTAACTTCCTTGTGTTGTGTGCATTCAACTCACAGAGTTGAACTTTCCTTTAGACAGAGCAGATTTGAAACACTCTATTTGTGCAATTTGCAAGTGTAGATTTCAAGCGCTTTAAGGTCAATGGCAGAAAAGGAAATATCTTCGTTTCAAAACTAGACAGAATCATTCCCACAAACTGCGTTGTGATGTGTTCGTTCAACTCACAGAGTATTAACCTTTCTGTTCATAGAGCAGTGAGGAAACACTCTGTTTGTAAAGTCTGTAAGTGGATATTCTGACATCTTGTGGCCTTCGTTGGAAACGGGATTTCTTCATATTCTGCTAGACAGAAGAATTCTCAGTAACTTCTTTGTGTTGTGTGTATTCAACTCACAGAGTTGAACGATCCTTTACACAGAGCAGACTTGAAACACTCTTTTTGTGGAATTTGCAAGTGGAGATTTCAGCCGCTTTGAGGTCAATGGTAGAATAGGAAATATCTTCCTATAGAAACTAGACAGAATGATTCTCAGAAACTCCTTTGTGATGTTTGCGTTCAACTCACAGAGTTTAACATTTCTTTTCATAGAGCAGTTAGGAAACACTCTGTTTATATAGTCTGCAAGTGGATATTCAGACCTCCTTGAGGCCTTCGTTGGAAACGGGGTTTCTTCATATTCTGCTAGACAGAAGAATTCTCAGTAACTTCCTTCTGTTGTGTGTATTCAACTGACAGAGTTGAACTTTCATTTAGAGAGAGCAGATTTGAAACACTGTTTTTGTGGAATTTGCAAGTGGAGATTTCAAGCGCTTTGGGGCCAAAGGCAGAAAGGAAATATCTTCGTATAAAAACTAGACAGAATCATTCTCAGAAACTGCTCTGTGATGTGTGCGTTCAACTCTCAGAGTTTAACTTTTCTTTTCATTCAGCAGTTTGGAAACACTCTGTTTGTAAAGTCTGCACGTGGATATTTTGACCACTTAGAGGCCTTCGTTGGAAACGGGTTTTCTTCATGTAAGGCTAGACAGAAGAATTCCCAGTAACTTCCTTGTGTTGTGTGCATTCAATTCACACAGATGAACGTTCCCTTAGACAGAGCAGATTTGAAACACTCTATTTGTGCAATTTGCAAGTGTAGATTTCAAGCGCTTTAAGGTCAATGGCAGAAAAGGAAATATCTTCGTTTCAAAACTAGACAGAATGATTCTCAGAAACTCCTTTGTGATGTGTGCGTTCAACTCACAGAGTTTAACCTTTCTTTTCATAGAGCAGTTAGGAAGCACTCTGTTAGTAAAGTCTGCAAGTGGATATTCAGACCTCCTTGAGGCCTTCGTTGGAAAGGGGATTTCTTCATATTATGCTACACAGAAGAATTCTCAGTAACTTTCCTTGTGTTGTGTGTATTCAACTCACAGAGTTGAACGATCCTTTACACAGAGCAGACTTGAAACACTCTTTTTGTGGCATTTGCAAGTGGAGATTTCAGCCGCTTTGAGTTCAATGGTAGAATAGGAAATATCTTCCTATAGAAACTAGACAGAATGATTCTCAGAAACTCCTTTGTGATGTGTGTGTTCAACTCACAGAGTTTAACCTTTCTTTTCATAGAGCAGTTGGGAAACACTCTGTTTGTAAAGTCTGCAAGTGGATATTCAGACATCCTTGAGGCTTTCGTTGGAAACGGGATTTCTTCATATTCTGCTAGAAAGAAGAATTCTCAGAATCTTCCTTGTGTTGTGTGTATTCAACTCACAGAGTTGAACGATCCTTTACACAGAGCAGACCTGAAACACTCTTTTTGTGGAATTTACAAGTGGAGATTTCAGCCGCTTTGAGGTCAATGGTAGAAAAGGAAATATCTTCGTATAAAAACTAGACAGAATGATTCTCAGAAACTCCTTTGTGATGTGTGCGTTCTACTCACAGAGTTTAACCTTTCTTTTCATAGAGCAGTTAGGAAACACTCTGTTTGTAAAGTCTGCAAGTGGATATTCAGACATCTTTGAGACTTTCGTTGGAAACGGGATTTCTTCATATTCTGCTAGACAGAAGAATTCCCAGTAACTTCCTTGTGTTGTGTGTGTTCAACTCAGAGAGTTGAACTTTCATTTACACAGAGCAGATTTGAAACACTCTTTTTGTGGAATTTGCAAGTGGAGATTTCAAGCGCTTTGAGGCCAAAGGCAGAAAAGGAAATATCTTCGTATAAAAACTAGACAGAATCATTCTCAGAAACTTCTCTGCGATGTGTGCGTTCAACTCTCAGAGTTTAACTTTTCTTTTCGTTCAGCAGTTTGGAAACACTCTGTTTGTAAAGTCTGCACGTGGATATTTTGACCACTTAGAGGCCTTCGTTGGAAACGGGTTTTTTTCCTGTAAGGCTAGACAGAAGAATTCCCAGTAACTTCCTTGTGTTGTGTACATTCAACTCACAGAGTTGAACGTTCCCTTAGACAGAGCAGATTTGAAACACTCTTTTTGTGCAATTAGCAAGTGGAGATTTCAAGCGCTTTAAGGTCAATGGCAGAAAAGGAAATATCTTACTTTCAAAACTAGACAGAAATCATTCCCACAAACTGCGTTGTGATGTGTTCGTTCAACTCACAGAGTTTAACCTTTCTGTTCATAGAGCAGTTAGGAAACACTCTGTTTGTAAAGTCTGTAAGTGGATATTCTGATATCTTGTGGCCTTCGTTGGAAACGGGATTTCTTCATATTCTGCTAGACAGAAGCAATTCTCAGTAACTTCCTTGTGTTGTGTGTATTCAACTCACAGAGTTGAAGGATCCTTTACAGAGGGCAGGCTTGAAACACTCTTTTTGTCGAATTTGCAAGTGGAGATTTCAGCCGCTTTGAGGTCAATGGTAGAATAGGAAATATCTTCTTATAGAAACTAGACAGAACGATTCTCAGAAACTCCTTTGTGATGTGTGCGTTCAACTCACAGAGTTTAACCTTTCTTTTCATAGAGCAGTTACGAAACACTCTGTTTGTAAAGTCTGCAAGTGGATATTCAGACCTCTTTGAGGCCTTCGTTGGAAACGGGATTTCTTCATATTCTGCTAGACAGAAGAATTCTCAGTAACTTCCTTGTGTTGTGTTTATTCAACTCACAGAGTTGAATGATCCTTTACACAGAGCAGACTTGAAACACTCTTTTTGTGGAATTTGCAAGTGGAGATTTCAGCCGCTTTGAGGTCAATGGTAGAAAAGTAAATACCTTCCTATAAAGACTAGACAGAATGATTCTCAGAAACTCCTTTGTGATGTGTGCCTTCAACTCACAGAGTTTAACCTTTCTTTTCATAGAGCAGTTAGGAAACACTCTGTTTGTAAAGTCTGCAAGTGGATATTCAGACCTCTTTGAGGCCTTCGTTGGAAACGGGTTTTTTTCATATAAGGCTAGACAGAAGAATTCTCAGAAACTTTCCTTGTGTTGTGTGTATTCAACTCACAGAGTAGAACGATCCTTTACACAGAGCAGACTTGAAACACTCTTTTTGTGGAATTTGCAAGTGGAGATTTCAGCCGATTTGAAGTCAATGGTAGAAAGGGAAATATCTTCGTATAGAAACTAGACAGAATTATTCTCAGAAACTCCTTTGTGATGTGTGCGTTCAACTCACAGAGTTTAACCTTTCTGTTCATAGAGCAGTTAGGAAACACTCTGTTTGTAAAGTCTGCAAGTGGATATTCAGACCTCCTTGAGGCCTTCGTTGGAAACGGGATTTCTTCATATTCTGCTAGACAGAAGAATTCTCAGAAACTTCCTTGTGTTGTGTGTATTCAACTCACAGAGTTGAAGGATCCTTTACACAGAGCAGACTTGAAACACTCTTTTTGTGGAATTTGCAAGTGGAGATTTCAGCCGCTTTGTGGTCAATGGTAGAAAAGGAAATATCTTCGTATAAAGACTAGACAGAATGATTCTCAGAAACTTCTTTGTGATGTGTGCGTTCAGCTCACAGAGTTTAACCTTTCTTTTCATAGAGCAGTTAGGAAACACTCTGTTTGTAAACTCTGCAAGTGGATATTCAGACCTCTTTGAGGCCTTCGTTGGAAACGGGATTTCTTCATACTATGCTAGACAGAAGAATTCCCACTAACTTCCTTGTGTTGTGTGTGTTCAACTCACAGAGTTGAACTTTCATTTACACAGAGCAGATTTGAAACACTCTTTTTGTGGAATTTGCAAGTGGAGATTTCAAGCGCTGTGAGGCCAAAGGCAGAAAAGGAAGTATCTTCGTATAAAAACTAGACAGAATCATTCTCAGAAACTGCTCTGTGATGTGTGCGTTCAACTCTCAGAGTTTAACTTTTCTTTTCATTCAGCAGTTTGGAAACACTCTGTTTGTAAAGTCTGCACGTGGATAATTTGACCACTTAGAGGCCTTCGTTGGAAACGGGTTTTTTTCATGTAAGGCTAGACAGAAGAGTTCTCAGTAACTTCCTTGTGTTGTATGTATTCAACTCACACAGTTGAACGATCCTTTACAGAGAGCAGACTTGTAACACTCTTTTTGTGGAATTTGCAAGTGGAGATTTCAGCCGCTTTGAAGTCAAAGTAGAAAAGGAAATATCTTCCTATAAAAACTAGACAGAATGATTCTCAGAAAATCTTTTGTGATGTGTGCGTTCAACTCACAGAGTTTAACTTTTCTTCTCATAGAGCAGTTAGGAAACACTCTGTTTGCAAAGTCTGCAAGTGGATATTCAGACCTCTTTGAGGCCTTCGTTGGAAACGGGATTTCTTCAAATTATGCTAGACAGAAGAATTCTCAGTAACTTCCTTGTGTTGTGTGTATTCAACTCACAGAGTTGAACGATCCTTTACACACAGCAGACTTGAAACACTCTTTTTGTGTAATTTGCAACTGGAGATTTCAGCCGCTTTGAGGCCAATAGTAGAAAAGGAAGTATCTTCGTAGAAAAACTAGACAGAATGATTCTCAGAAAATCTTTTGTGATGTGTGCGTTCAACTCACAGAGTTTAACTTTTCTTCTCATAGAGCAGTTAGGAAACACTCTGTTTGTAAAGTCTGCATGTGGATATTCAGACCTCTTTGAGGCCTTCGTTGGAAACGGGATTTCTACATATTATGCTAGACAGAAGAATTCTCAGTAACTTCCTTGTGTTGTGTGTATTCAACTGACAGAGTTGAACTTTCATTTAGAGAGAGCAGATTTGAAACACTGTTTTTGTGGAATTTGCAAGTGGAGATTTCAAGCGCTTTGGGGCCAAAGGCACAAAAGGAAATATCTTCGTATAAAAACTAGACAGAATCATTCTCAGCAAACTGCTGCGTGATGTGTGCGTTCAACTCTCAGAGTTTAACTTTTCTTTTCATTCAGCGGTTTGGAAACACTCTGTTTGTAAAGTCTGCACGTGGAAATTTTGACCACTTAGAGGCCTTCGTTGGAATCGGGTTTTTTTCATGTAAGGCTAGACAGAAGAATTCCCAGTAACTTCCTTGTGTTGTGTACATTCAACTCACAGAGTTGAACGTTCCCTTAGACAGAGCAGATTTGAAACACTCTTTTTGTGCAATTGGCAAGTGGAGATTTCAAGCGCTTTAAGGTCAATGGCATAAAAGGAATTATCTTCGTTTCAAAACTAGACAGAATCATTCCCAAAAACTGCGTTGTGATGTGTTCGTTCAACTCACAGAGTTTAACCTTTCTGTTCATAGAGCAGTTAGGAAACACTCTGTTTGTAAAGTCTGTAAGTAGATATTCTGACATCTTGTGGCCTTCGTTGGAAACGGGATTTCTTCATATTCTGCTAGACAGAAGAAATCTCAGTAACTTCCTTGTGTTGTGTGTATTCAACTCACAGAGTTGAACGATCCTTTACACAGAGCGGACTTGAAACACACTTTTTGTGGAATTTGCAAGTGGAGATTTCAGCCGCGTTGAGGTCAATGGTAGAAAAGGAAATATCTTCGTATAAAAACTAGACAGAATGATTCTGAGAAACTCCTTTGTGATGTGTGCGTTCAACTCACAGAGTTTAACCTTTCTTTTCATAGAGCAGTTAGGAAACACTCTGTTTGTAATGTGTGCAAGTGGATATTCAGACCTCCTTGAGGCCTTTGTTGGAAACGGGATTTCTTCATATTATGCTAGACAAAAGAATTCTCAGTAACTTCCTTGTGTTGTGTGTATTCAACTCACAGAGTTGAACGATCCTTTACACAGATTGGACTTGAAACACTCTTTTTGTGGAATTTGCAAGTGGAGATTTCAGCCGCGTTGAGGTCAATGGTAGAAAAGGAAATATCTTCGTATAAAAACTAGACAGAATGATTCTCAGAAACTCCTTTGTGATGTGTGTGTTCAACTCACAGAGTTTAACCTTTCTTTTCATAGAGCAGTTAGGAAACACTCTGTTTGTAAAGTCTGCAAGTGGATATTCAGACCTCTTTGAGGCCTTCGTTGGAAACGGGATTTTTTCATATAAGGCTAGACAGAAGAATTCCCAGTAACTTTCCTTGTGTTGTGTGTGTTCAACTCACAGAGTTGAACTTTCATTTACACAGAGCAGATTTGAAACACTCTTTTTGTGGAATTTGCAAGTGGAGATTTCAAGCGCTTTGAGGCCAAAGGCAGAAAAGGAAATATCTTCGTTTGAAAACTAGACAGAATCATTCTCAGAAACTGCTCTGCGATGTGTGCGTTCAACTCTCAGAGTTTAACTTTTCTTTTCATTCAGCAGTTTGGAAACACTCTGTTTGTAAAGTCTGCACGTGGATAACTTGACCACTTAGAGGCCTTCGTTGGAAACGGGTTTTTTCATGTAAGGCTAGACAGAAGAATTCCCAGTAACTTCCTTGTGTTGTGTACATTCAACTCACAGAGTTGAACGTTCCCTTAGACAGAGCAGATTTGAAACACTCTTTTTGTGCAATTGGCAAGTGGAGATTTCAAGCGCTTAAGGTCAATGGCAGAAAAGGAAATATCTTCGTTTCAAAACTAGACAGAATGATTCTCAGAAACTCCTTTGTGATGTGTACGTTCAACTCACAGAGTTTAACCTTTCTTTTCATAGAGCAGTTAGGAAACACTCTGTTTGTAAATTCTGTAAGTGGATATTCTGACATCTTGTGGCCTTCGTTGGAAACGGGATTTCTTCATATTCTGCTAGACAGAAGAATTCTCAGTAGCTTCCTTGTGTTGTGTACTTTCAACTCACAGAGTTGAACGATCCTTTACACAGGAGCAGATTAGAAACACTCTTTTTGTGGAATTTGCAAGTGGAGATTTCAGCCGCTTTGAGGTCAATGGTAGAAAAGGAAATATCTTCATAAAAAAACTAGACAGAATGATTCTCAGAAACTCCTTTGTGATGTGTCTGTTCAACTCACAGAGTTTAACCTTTCTTTTCATAGAGCAGTTAGGAAACACTCTGTTTGTAAAGTCTGCAAGTGGATATTCAGACCTCTTTGAGGCCTTCGTTGGAAACGGGTTTTTTTCATATAAGGCTAGACAGAAGAATTCCCAGTAACTTCCTTGTGTTGTGTGTGTTCAACTCACAGAGTTGAACTTTCATTTACACAGAGCAGATTGGAAACACTCTTTTTGTGGAATTTGCAAGTGGAGATTTCAAGCGCTTTGAGGCCAAAGGCAGAAAAGGAAATATCTTCGTATAAAAACTAGACCGAATCATTCTCAGAAACTGCTCTGTGATGTGTGCGTTCAACTCTCAGAGTTTAACTTTTCTTTTCATTCAGCAGTTTGGAAACACTCTGTTTGTAAAGTCTGCACGTGGATAATTTGACCACTTAGAGGCCTTCGTTGGAAACGGGTTTTTTTCATGTAAGGCTAGACAGAAGATTTCTCAGTAACTTCCTTGTGTTGTGTGTATTCAACTCACACAGTTGAACGATCCTTTACACAGAGCAGACTTGTAACACTCTTTTTGTGGAATTTGCAAGTGGAGATTTCAGCCGCTTTGAAGTCAAAGGTAGAAAAGGAAATATCTTCCTATAAAAACTAGACAGAATCATTCCCACAAACTGCGTTGTGATGTGTTCGTTCAACTCACAGAGTTTAACCTTTCTGTTCATAGAGCAGTTAGGAAACACTCTGTTTGTAAAGTCTGTAAGTGGATATTCTGACATCTTGAGGCCTTCGTTGGAAACGGGATTTCTTCATATTCTGCTAGAGAGAAGAATTCTCAGAAACTTCCTTGTGTTGTGTGTATTCAACTCACAGAGTTGAACGATCCTTTACACAGAGCAGACTTGAAACACACTTTTTTTGGTATTTTCAAGTGGAGATTTCAGCAGCTTTGAGTTCAATGGTAGAAAAGGAAATATATTCGTATAAAGACTAGACAGAATGATTCTCAGAAACTACTTTGCGATGTGTGCGTTCAACTCACAGAGTTTAACCTTTCTTTTCATAGAGCAGTTAGGAAACACTCTGTTTGTAAAGTCTGCAAGTGGATATTCAGACCTCCTTGAGGCCTTCGTTGGAAACTGGATTTCTTCATATTATGCTAGACAGAATAATTCTCAGTAACTTCCTTGTGTTGTGTGTATTCAACTCACAGAGTTGAAGGATCCTTTACAGAGAGCAGGCTTGAAACACTCTTTTTCTCGAATTTGCAAGTGGAGATTTCAGCTGCTTTGAGGTCAATGGTAGAATAGGAAATATCTTCTTATAGAAACTAGACAGAATCATTCTCAGAAACTGCTCTGCGATGTGTGCGTTCAACTCTCAGAGTTTAACTTTTCTTTTCATTCAGCAGTGTGGAAACACTCTGTTTGTAAAGTCTGCACGTGGATATTTTGACCACTTAGAGGCCTTCGTTGGAAACGGGTTTTTTTCCCTGTAAGGCTAGACAGAAGAATTCCCAGTAACTTCCTTGTGTTGTGTGCATTCATCTCACAGAGTTGAACGTTCCCTTAGACAGAGCAGATTTGAAACACTCTATTTGTGCAATTTGCAAGTGTAGATTTCAAGCGCTTTAAGGTCAATGGCAGAAAAGGAAATATCTTCGTTTCAAAACTAGACAGAATCATTCCCACAAACTGCGTTGTGATGTGTTCGTTCAACTCACAGAGTTTAACCTTCCTTTTCATAGAGCAGTTAGGAAACACTCTGTTTGTAAAGTCTGCAAGTGGATATTCAGACCTCCTTGAGGCCTTCGTTGGAAACGGGATTTCTTCATATTCTGCTAGACAGAAGAATTCTCAGTAACTTCCTTGTGTTGTGTGTATTCAACTCACAGAGTTGAACGATCCTTTACACAGAGCAGACTTGAAACACTCTTTTTGTGGAATTTGCAAGTGGAGATTTCATCCGCTTTGAGGTCAATGGTAGAATAGGAAATATCTTCCTATAGAAAATAGACAGAATGATTCTCAGAAACTCCGTTGTGATGTGTGCGTTCAACTCACAGAGTTTAACCTTTCTTTTCATAGAGCAGTTGGGAAACACTCTGTTTGTAAAGTCTGCAAGTGGATATTCAGACCTCCTTGAGGCTTTCGTTGGAAACGGGATTTCTTCATATTCTGCTAGAAAGAAGATTTCTCAGAAACTTCCTTGTGTTGTGTGTTTTCAACTCACAGAGTTGAACGATCCTTTACACAGAGCAGACTTGAAACACTCTTTTTGTGGAATTTGCAAGTGGAGATTTCAGCCGCTTTGAGGTCAATTGTAGAAAAGGAAATATCTTCGTATAAAAACTAGACAGAATGATTCTCAGAAACTCCTTTGTGATGTGTGCATTCAACTCACAGAGTTTAACCTTTCTTTTCATAGAGCAGTTAGGAAACACTCTGTTTGTAAAGTCTGCAAGTGGATATTCAGACCTCTTTGATGCCTTCGTTGGAAACGGGATTTCTTCATATTCTGCTAGACAGAAGAATTCCCAGTAACTTACCTTGTGTTGTGTACATTCAACTCACAGAGTTGAACGTTCCCTTAGACAGAGCAGATTTGAAACACTCTTTTTGTGCAATTGGCAAGTGGAGATTTCAAGCGCTTTAAGGTCAATGGCAGAAAAGGAAATATCTTCGTTTCAAAACTAGACAGAATCATTCCCACAAACTGCGTTGTGATGTGTTCGTTCAACTCACAGAGTTTAACCTTTCTGTTCATAGAGCAGTCAGGAAACACTCTGTTTGTAAAGTCTGTAAGTGGATATTCTGACATCTTGTGGCCTTCGTTGGAAACGGGATTTCTTCATATTCTGCTAGACAGAAGAATTCTCAGTAACTTCCTTGTGTTGTGTTTATTCAACTCACAGAGGTGAATGATCCTTTACACAGAGCAGACTTGAAACACTCTTTTTGTGGAATTTGCAAGTGGAGATTTCAGCCGCTTTGAGGTCAATGGTAGAAAAGTAAATATCTTCGTATAAAGACTAGACAGAATGATTCTCAGAAACTCCTTTGTGATGTGTGCGTTCAACTCACAGAGTTTAACTTTTCTTTTCATAGAGCAGTTAGGAAACACTCTATTTGTAAAGTCTGCAAGTGGATATTCAGACCTCTTTGAGGCCATCGTTGGAAACGGGATTTCTTCATATTATGCTAGACAGAAGAATTCTCAGTAACTTCCTTGTGTTGTGTGTATTCAACTCACAGAGTTGAACGATCCTTTACACAGAGCAGACTTGAAACACTCTTTTTGTGGAATTTGCAAGTGGAGATTTCAGCCGCTTTGAGGTCAATGGTAGAATAGGAACTATCTTCCTATAGAAACTAGACAGAACGATTCTCAGAAACTCCTTTGTGATGTGTGCGTTCAACTCACAGAGTTTAACCTTTCTTTTCATAGAGCAGTTAGGAAACACTCTGTTTGTAAAGTCTGCAAGTGGATATTCAGACCCCTTTGAGGCCTGCGTTGGAAACGGGATTTCTTCATATTCTGCTAGACAGAAGAATTCCCAGTAACTTCCTTGTGTTGTGTGTGTTCAACTCACAGAGTTGAACTTTGATTTACACAGAGCAGATTTGAAACACTCTTTTTGTGGAATTTGCAAGTGGAGATTTCAAGCGCTTTCAGGCCAAAGGCAGAAAAGGAAATATCTTCGTATAAAAACTAGACAGAATCATTCTCAGAAACTCCTCTGCGATCTGTGCGTTCAACTCTCAGAGTTTAACTTTTCTTTTCATTCACCAGTTTGGAAACACTCTGTTTGTAAAGTCTGCACGTGGATATTTTGACCACTTAGAGGCCTTCGTTGGAAACGGGTTTTTTTCCTGTAAGGCTAGACAGAAGAATTCCCAGTAACTTCCTTGTGTTGTGTGCATTCAACTCACAGAGTTGAACGTTCCCTTAGACAGAGCAGATTTGAAACACTCTATTTGTGCAATTTGCAAGTGTAGATTTCAAGTGTTTAAGGTCAATGGCAGAAAAGGAAATATCTTCGTTTCAAAACTAGACAGAATCATTCCCACAAACTGCGTTGTGATGTGTTCGTTCAACTCACAGAGTTTAACCTTTCTTTTCATAGAGCAGTTAGGAAACACTCTGTTGGTAAATTCTGTAAGTGGATATTCTGACATCTTGTGGCCTTCGTTGGAAACGGGATTTCTTCATATTCTGCTACACAGAAGAATTCTCAGAATCTTCCTTGTGTTGTGTGTATTCAACTCACAGAGTTGAACGATCCTTTACACAGAGCAGACTTGAAACACTCTTTTTGTAGAATTTGCAAGTGGAGATTTCAGCCGCTTTGAGGTCAATGGTAGAAAAGGAAATATCTTCGTATAAAAACTAGACAGAATGATTCTCAGAAACTCCTTTGTGATGTGTGCGTTCAACTCACAGAGTTTAAACCTTTCTTTTCATAGAGCAGTTAGGAAACACTCTGTTTGTAAAGTCTGCAAGTGGATATTCAGACATCTTTGAGGCTTTCGTTGGAAACGGGATTTCTTCATATTCTGCTAGACAGAAGAATTCTCAGTAACTTCCTTGTGTTGTGTGTATTCAACTCACAGAGTTGAACGATCCTTTACACAGAGCAGGCTTGAAACACTCTTTTTGTGGAATTTGCAAGTGGAGATTTCAGCCGCTTTGAGTTCAATGGTAGAAATGGAAATATCTTCCTATAGAAACTAGACAGAATGATTCTCAGAAACTTCTTTGTGATGTGTGTGTTCAACTCACAGAGTTTAACCTTTCTTTTCATAGAGCAGTTAGGAAACACTCTGTTTGTAAAGTCTGCAAGTGGATATTCAGACCTCTTTGAGGCCTTCGTTGGAAACGGGTTTTTTTCATATAAGGCTAGACAGAAGAATTCCCAGTAACTTCCCTTGTGTTGTGTGTGTTCAACTCACAGAGTTGAACTTTCATTTACCCAGAGCAGATTTGAAACACTCTTTTTGTGGAATTTGCAAGTGGAGATTTCAAGCGCTTTGAGGCCAAAGGCAGAAAAGGAAATATCTTCGTTTCAAAACTAGACAGAATCATTCTCATAAACTGCTGCGTGATGTGTGCGTTCAACTCTCAGAGTTTAACTTTTCTTTTTATTCAGCGGTTTGGAAACACTCTGTTTGTAAAGTCTGCACGTGGATATTTTGACCACTTAGAGGCCTTCGTTGGAAACGGGTTTTTTTCATGTAAGGCTAGACAGAAGAATTCCCAATAACTTCCTTGTGTTGTGTACATTCAACTCACAGAGTTGAACGTTCCCTTAGACAGAGCAGATTTGAAACACTCTTTTTGTGCAATTGGCAAGTGGAGATTTCAAGCGCTTTAAGGTCAATGGCAGAAAAGGAAATCTCTTCGTTTCAAAACTAGACAGAAATCATTCCCACAAACTGCGTTGTGATGTGTTCGTTCAACTCACAGTAGTTTAACCTTTCTGTTCATAGAGCAGTTAGGAAACACTCTGTTTGTAAAGTCTGTAAGTGGATATTCTGACATCTTGTGGCCTTCGTTGGAAACGGGATTTCTTCGTATTCTGCTAGACAGAAGAATTCTCAGTAACTTCCTTGTGTTGTGTGTATTCAACTCACAGAGTTGAACGATCCTTTACACAGAGCGGACTTGAAACACACTTTTTGTGGAATTTGCAAGTGGAGATTTCAGCCACGTTGAGGTCAATGGTAGAAAAGGAAATATCTTCGTATAAAAACTAGACAGAATGATTCTCAGAAACTCCTTTGTGATGTGTGTGTTCAACTCACAGAGTTTAACCTTTCTTTTCATAGAGCAGTTAGGAAACACTCTGTTTGTAAAGTCTGCAAGAGGATATTCAGACCTCTTTGAGGCCTTCGTTGGAAACGGGTTTTTTTCATATAAGGCTAGACAGAAGAATTCCCAGTAACTTCCTTGTGTTGTGTGTGTTCAACTCACAGAGTTGAACTTTCATTTACACAGAGCAGATTTGAAACACTCTTTTTGTGGAATTTGCAAGTGGAGATTTCAAGCGCTTTGAGGCCAAAGGCAGAAAAGGAAATATCTTCTTTTCAAAACTAGACAGAATCATTCTCAGAAACTGCTCTGCGATGTGTGCGTTCAACTCTCAGAGTTTAACTTTTCTTTTCATTCAGCAGTTTGGAAACACTCTGGTTGTAAAGTCTGCACGTGGATAACTTGACCACTTAGAGGCCTTCGTTGGAAACGGGTTTTTTTCCTGTAAGGCTAGACAGAAGAATTCCCAGTAACTTCCTTGTGTTGTGTACATTCAACTCACAGAGTTGAACGTTCCCTTAGACAGAGCAGATTTGAAATACTCTTTTTATGCAATTGGCAAGTGGAAATTTCAAGCGCTTTAAGGTCAATGGCAGAAAAGGAAATATCTTCGTTTCAAAACTAGACAGAATCATTCCCACAAACTGCGTTGTGATGTGTTCGTTCAACTCACAGAGTTTAACCTTTCTGTTCATAGAGCAGTTAGGAAACACTCTGTTTGTAAAGTCTGTAAGTGGATATTCTGACATCATGTGGCCTTCGTTGGAAACGGGATTTCTTCATATTCTGCTAGACAGAAGAATTCTCAGTAACTTCCTTGTGTTGTGTTTATTCAACTCACAGAGTTGAATGATCCTTTACACAGAGCAGACTTGAAACACTCTTTTTGTGGAATTTGCAAGTGGAGATTTCAGCCGCTTTGAGGTCAATGGTAGAAAAGTAAATATCTTCGGATAAACACTAGACAGAATGATTCTCAGAAACTCCTTTGTGATGTGTGTGTTCAACTCACAGAGTTTAACTTTTCTTTTCATAGAGCAGTTAGGAAACACTCTGTTTGTAAAGTCTGCAAGTGGATATTCAGACCTCTTTGAGGCCTTCGTTGGAAACGGGATTTCTTCATATTCTGCTAGACAGAAGAATTCCCAGTAACTTCCTTGTGTTGTGTGTGTTCAACTCACAGAGTTGAACTTTCATTTACACAGAGCAGATTTGAAACACTCTTTTTGTGGAATTTGCAAGTGGAGATTTCAAGCGCTTTGAGGCCAAAGGCAGAAAAGGAAATATCTTCGTTTCAAAACTAGACTGAATCATTCTCAGAAACTGCTCTGCGATGTGTGCGTTCAACTCTCAGAGTTCAACTTTTCTTTTCATTCAGCAGTTTGGAAACACTCTGTTTGTAAAGTCTGCACGTGGATAATTTGACCACTTAGAGGCCTTCGTTGGAAACGGTTTTTTTTTCATGTAAGGCTAGACAGAAGAATTTCCCAGTAACTTCCTTGTGTTGTGTGCATTCAACTCACAGAGTTGAACGTTCCCTTAGACAGAGCAGATTTGAAACACTCTATTTGTGCAATTTGCAAGTGTAGATTTCAAGCGCTTTAAGGTCAATGGCAGAAAAGGAAATATCTTCGTTTCAAAACTAGACAGAATCATTCCCACAAACTGCGTTGTGATGTGTTCGTTCAACTCACAGAAGTTTAACCTTTCTTTTCATAGAGCAGTTAGGAAACAGTCTGTTTGTCAATTCTGTAAGTGGATATTCTGACATCTTGTGGTCTTCGTTGGAAACGGGATTTCTTCATATTCTGCTAGACAGAAGAATTCTCAGTAACTTCCTTGTGTTGTGTGTATTCAACTCACAGAGTTGAACGATCTTTTACACAGAGCAGACTTGAAACATTCTTTTTGTGGAATTTGCAAGTGGAGATTTCAGCCGCTTTGAGGTCAATGGTAGAATAGGAAATATCTTCCTATAGAAACTAGACAGAATGATTCTCATAAACTCCTTTGTGATGTGTGCATTCAACTCACAGAGTTTCACCTTTCTTTTCATAGAGCAGTTAGGAAACACTCTGTTTGTAAAGTCTGCAAGTGGATATTCAGGCCTCTTGAGGCCTTCGTTGGAAACGGGATTTCTTCATATTCTGCTAGACAGAATAATTCTCAGTAACTTCCTTCTGTTGTGTGTATTCAACTCACAGAGTTGAAGGATCCTTTACAGAGAGCAGGCTTGAAACACTCTTTTTGTCGAATTTGCAAGTGGAGATTTCAGCCGCTTTGAGGTCAATGGTAGAATAGGAAATATCTTCTTATAGAACCTAGACAAAATGATTCTCAGAAACTTCTTTGTGATGTGTGCGTTCAACTCACAGAGTTTAACCTTTCTTTTCATAGAGCAGTTAGGAAACACTCTGTTTGTAAACTCTGCAAGTGGATATTCAGACCTCTTTGAGGCCTTCGTTGGAAACGGGATTTCTTCATACTATGATAGACAGAAGAATTCTCAGTAACTTCTTTGTGTTGTGTGTATTCAACTCACAGAGTTGAACGATCCTTTACACAGAGCAGACTTGAAACACTCTATTTGTAGAATTTGCAAGTGGAGATTTCAGCCGCTTTGAGGTCAATAGTAGAAAAGGAAATATCTTCGTAGAAAAACTAGACAGAACGATTCTCAGAAACTCCTTTGTGATGTGTGCGTTCAACTCACAGAGTTTAACCTTTCTTTTCATAGAGCAGTTAGGAAACACTCTGTTTGTAAAGTCTGCAAGTGGATATTCAGACCTCTTTGAGACCTTCGTTGGAAACGGGATTTCTTCATATTCTGCTAGACAGAAGAATTCTCAGTAACTTTCCTTGTGTTGTGTGTATTCAACTGACAGAGTTGAACTTTCATTTAGAGAGAGCAGATTTGAAACACTGTTTTTGTGGAATTTGCCAGTGGAGATTTCAAGCGCTTTGGGGCCAAAGGCAGAAAAGGAAATATCTTCGTATAAAAACTAGACAGAATCATTCTCAGAAACTGCTCTGCGATGTGTGCCTTCAGCTCTCAGAGTTTAACTTTTCTTTTCATTCAGCAGTTTGGAAACACTCTGTTTGTAAAGTCTGCACGTGGATATTTTGACCACTTAGAGGTCTTCGTTGGAAACGGGTTTTTGTCATGTAAGGCTAGACAGAAGAATTCCCAGTAACTTCCTTGTGTTGTGTGCATTCAACTCACAGAGTTGAACGTTCCCTTAGACACAGCAGATTTGAAACACTCTATTTGTGCAATTTGCAAGTGTAGATTTCAAGCGCTTTAAGGTCAATGGCAGAAAAGGAAATATCTTCGTTTCAAAACTAGACAGAATCATTCCCACAAACTGCGTTGTGATGTGTTCGTTCAACTCACAGAGTTTAACCTTTCTGTTCATAGAGCAGTTAGGAAACACTCTGTTTGTAAAGTCTGTAAGTGGATATTCAGACCTCCTTGAGGCTTTCGTTGGAAACGGGATTTCTTCATATTCTGCTAGACAGAGGAATTCTCAGTAACTTCCTTGTGTTGTGTGTATTCAACTCACAGAGTTGAACGATCCTTTACCCAGAGCAGACTTGAAACACTCTTTTTGTGGAATTTGCAAGTGGAGATTTCAGCCGCTTTGAGGTCAATGGTAGAATAGGAAATATCTTCCTATAGAAACTAGACAGAATTATTCTCAGAAACTCCTTTGTGATGTGTGCGTTCAACTCACAGAGTTTAACCTTTCTTTTCATAGAGCAGTTAGGAAACACTCTGTTTGTAAAGTCTGCAAGTGGATATTCAGACCTCTTTGAGGCCTTCGTTGGAAACGTGATTTCTTCATATTCTGCTAGACAGAAAGAATTCTCAGTAACTTCCTTGTGTTGTGTGTATTCAACTCACAGAGTTGAACGATCCTTTACACAGAGCAGACTTGAAACACTCTTTTTGTGGAATTTGCAAGTGAAGATTTCAGCCGCTTTGAGGTCAATGGTAGAATAGGAAATATCTTCCTATAGAAAATAGACAGAATGATTCTCAGAAACTCCCTTGTGATGTGTGCGTTCAACTCACAGAGTTTAACCTTTCTTTTCATAGAGCAGTTAGGAGACACTCTGTTTGTAAAGTCTGCAAGTGGATATTCGGACCTCTTTGAGGCCTTCATTGGAAACGGGATTTCTTCATATTCTGCTAGACAGAAGAATTCTCAGTAACTTCTTTGTATTGTGTGTATTCAACTCACAGAGTTGAACGATCCTTTACACAGAGCAGACTTGAAACACTCTTTTTGTGGAATTTGCAAGTGGAGATTTCATCCGATTTGAGGTCAATGGTAGAATAGGAAATATCTTCCTATGGAAACTAGACAGAATGATTCTCAGAAACTCCTTTGTGATGCGTGTGTTCAACTCACAGAGTTTAACCTTTCTTTTCATAGAGCAGTTAGTAAACACTCTGTTTATAAAGTCTGCAAGTGGATATTCAGACCCCTTTGAGGCCTTCGTTGGAAACGGGATTTCTTCATATTATGCTAGACAGAAGAATTCTCAGTAACTTCCTTGTGTTGTGTGTATTCAACTGACAGAGTTGAACTTTCATTTAGAGAGAGCAGATTTGAAACACTGTTTTTGTGGAATTTGCAAGTGGAGATTTCAAGCGCTTTGGGGCCAAAGGCAGAAAAGGAAATTTCTTCGTATAAAAACTAGACAGAATCATTCTCAGAAACTGCTGCGTGATGTGTGCGTTCAACTCTCAGAGTTTAACTTTTCTTTTCATTCAGCGGTTTGGAAATACTCTGTTTGTAAAGTCTGCACGTGGACATTTTGACCACTTAGAGGCCTTCTTTGGAAACGGGTTTTTTTCATGCAAGGCTAGACAGAAGAATTCCCAGTAACTTCCTTGTGTTGTGTGCATTCAACTCACAGAGTTGAACGTTCCCTTAGACAGAGCAGATTTGAAACACTCTATTTGTGCAATTTGCAAGTGTAGATTTCAAGCGCATTAAGGTCAATGGCAGAAAAGGAAATATCTTCGTTTCAAAATTAGACAGAATCATTCCCACAAACTGCGTTGTAATGTGTGCGTTCAACTCACAGAGTTTAACCTTTCTTTTCATAGAGCAGTTAGGAAACACTCTGTTTGTAAAGTCTGCAAGTGGATATTCAGACCTCTTTGAGGCCTTCGTTGGAAACGGGATTTCTTAATATTCTGCTAGACAGAAGAATTCTCAGTAACTTCCTTGTGTTGTGTGTATTCAACTCACAGAGTTGAACGATCCTTTACAAAGAGCAGACTTGAAACACTCTTTCTGTGGAATTTGCAATTGGAGATTTCAGCCGCTTTGAGGACAATGGTAGAATAGGAAATATCTTCCTATAGAAACTAGACAGAATGATTCTCATAAACTCCTTTGTGATGTGTGCGTTCAACTCACAGAGTTTAACCTTTCTTTTCATAGTGCAGTTAGGAAACACTCTGTTTCTAAACTCTGCAAGTGGATATTCAGACATCCTTGAGGCCTTCGTTGGAAACGGGATTTCTTCATATTCTGCTAGACAGAAGAATTCTCAGTAACTTCCTTGTGTTGTGTGTATTCAACTCACAGAGTTGAACGATCCTTTACACAGAGCACACTTGAAACACTCCTTTTGTGGAATTTGCAAGTGGAGATTTCAGCCGCTTTGAGGTCAATAGTAGAAAAGGAAATATCTTCGTAGAAAAACTAGACAGAATGATTCTCAGAAACTTCTTTGTGATGTGTGCGTTCAACTCACAGAGTTTATCCTTTCTTTTCATAGAGCAGTTAGGAAACACTCTGTTTGTAAACTCTGCAAGTGGATATTCAGACCTCTTTGAGGCCTTCGTTGGAAACGGGATTTCTCCATACTGTGCTAGACAGAAGAATTCTCAGTAACTTCCCTTGTGTTGTGTGTATTCAAGTGACAGAGTTGAACTTTCATTTAGAGAGAGCAGATTTGAAACACTGTTTTTGTGGAATTTGCACGTGGAGATTTCAAGCGCTTTGGGGCCAAAGGCAGAAAAAGATATATCTTCGTATAAAAACTAGACAGAATCATTCTCAGAAACTGCTCTGCGATGTGTGCGTTCAACTCTCAGGAGTTTAACTTTTCTTTTCATTCAGCAGTTTGGAAACACTCTGTTTGTAAAGTCTGCACGTGGATATTTTGACCACTTAGAGGCCTTCGTTGGAAATGGGTTTTTTTCCTGTAAGGCTAGACAGAAGAATTCCCAGTAACTTCCTTGTGTTGTGTACATTCAACTCACAGAGTTGAACGTTCCCTTAGACAGAGCAGATTTGAAACACTCTTTTTGTGCAATTGGCAAATGGAGATTTCAAGCGCTTTAAGTTCAATGGCAGAAAAGGAAATATCTTCGTTTCAAAACTAGACAGAATCATTCCCACAAACTGCGTTGTGATGTGTTCGTTCAACTCACAGAGTTTAACCTTTCTGTTCATAGAGCAGTTAGGAAACACTCTGTTTGTAAAGTCTGTAAGTGGATATTCGGACATCTTGTGGCCTTCGTTGGAAACGGGATTTCTTCATATTCTGCTACACAGAAGAATTCTCAGAATCTTCCTTGTGTTGTGTGTATTCAACTCACAGAGTTGAACGATACTTTACACAGAGCAGACTTGAAACACTCTTTTTGTGGAATTTGCAAGTGGAGATTTCAGCCGCTTTGAGGTCCATGGTAGAAAAGGAAATATCTTCGTATAAAAACTAGACAGAATGATTCTCAGAAACTCCTTTGTGATGTGTGCGTTCAACTCACAGAGTTTAACCTTTCTTTTCATAGAGCAGTTAGGAAACACTCTGTTTGTAAAGTCTGCAAGTGGATATTCGGACCTCTTTGAGGCCTTCGTTGGAAACGGGTTTTTTTCATATAAGGCTAGATAGAAGAATTCTCAGTAACTTCCCTGTGTTGTGTGTATTCAACTCACAGAGTTGAACGATCCTTTACACAGAGCAGACTTGTAACACTCTTTTTGTGGAATTTGCAAGTGGAGATTTCAGCCGCTTTGAAGTCAAAGGTAGAAAAGGAAATATCTTCCTATAAAAACTAGACAGAATCATTCTCAGAAACTGCTGCGTGATGTGTGCGTTCAACTCTCAGAGTTTAACTTTTCTTTTCATTCAGCGGTTTGGAAACACTCTGTTTGTAAAGTCTGCACGTAGATATTTTGACCACTTAGAGGCCTTCGTTGGAAACGGGTTTTTTTCATGTAAGGCTAGACAGAAGAATTCCCAGGAACTTCCTTGTGTTGTGTACATTCAACTCACAGAGTTGAACGTTCCCTTAGACAGAGCAGATTTGAAACACTGTTTTTGTGCAATTGGCAAGTGGTGATTTCAGCCGCTTTGAGGTCAATGGTAGAAAAGGAAATATCTTCGTATAAAAACTAGACAGAATGATTCTCAGAAACTCCTTTGTGATGTGTGCGTTCAACTCACAGAGTTTAACCTTTCTTTTCATAGAGCAGTTAGGAAACACTCTGTTTGTAAATTCTGCAAGTGGATATTCAGACCTCCTTGAGGCCTTCGTTGGAAACGGGATTTCTTCATATTCTGCTATACAGAAGAATTCTCAGAAACTTCCTTGTGTTTTGTGTATTCAACTCACAGATTTGAACGATCCTTTACACAGAGCAGACTTGAAACACTCTTTTTCTGGAATTTGCAAGTGGAGATTTCAGCCGCTTTGAGGTCAATGGTAGAAAAGGAAATATCTTCGTATAAAAACTAGACAGAATGATTCTCAGAAACTCCTTTGTGATGTGTGTGTCCAACTCACAGAGTTTAACCTTTCTTTTCATAGAGCAGTTAGGAAACACTCTGTTTGTAAAGTCTGCAAGAGGATATTCAGACCTCTTTGAGGCCTTCTTTGGAAACGGGATTTTTTCATATAAGGCTAGACAGAAGAATTCCCAGTAACTTCCTTGTGTTGTGTGTGTTCAACTCTGTGAGTTGAACTTTCATTTACACAGAGCAGATTGGAAACACTCTTTTTGTGGAATTTGCAAGTGGAGATTTCAAGCGCTTTGAGGCCAAAGGCAGAAAAGGAAATATCTTCGTATAAAAACTAGACAGAATTATTCTCAGAAACTGCTGCGTGATGTGTGCGTTCAACTCTCAGAGTTTAACTTTTCTTTTCATTCAGCGGTTTGGAAACACTCTGTTTGTAAAGTCTGCACGTGGATATTTTGACCACTTAGAGGCCTTCGTTGGAAACGGGTTTTTTTTCATGTAAGGCTAGACAGAAGAATTCTCAATAACTTCCTTGTGTTGTGTGTATTCAACTGACAGAGTTGAACCTTCCTTCAGACAGAGCAGATTTGCAACAGTCTTTTTGTGTAATTTGCAAGTGGAGATTTCAAGCGCTTTGAGGCCAAAGGCAGAAAAGGAAATATCTTCGTATAAAAACTAGACAGAATGATTCTCAGAAACTCCTTTGTGATGTGTATGTTCAACTTACAGAGTTTAACTTTTCTATTCATAGAGTAGTTAGGAAACACTCTGTTTGTAAAGTCTGCAAGTGGATATTTTGACCTCTTTGAGGCCTTCGTTGGAAACGGGTTTTTTTCATGTAAGGCTAGACAGAAGAATTCTCAGTAACTTCCGCGTGTTGTGTGTATTCAACTCACAGAGTTGAACGATCCTTTACACAGAGCAGACTTGTAACACTCTTTTTGTGGAATTTGTAAGTGGAGATTTCAGCCGCTTTGAAGTCAAAGGTAGAAAAGGAAATATCTTCCTATAAAAACTAGACAGAATGATTCTCAGAAACTCCTTTGTGATGGGTGCGTTCAACTCACAGAGTTTAACCTTTCTTTTCATAGAGCAGTTAGGAAACACTCTGTTTGTAAAGTCTGCAAGTGGATATTCAGACCTCTTTGAGACCTTCGTTGGAAACGGGTTTTTTTCATATAAGGCTAGACAGAAGAATTCTCAGTAACTTCCTTGTGTTGTGTGTGTTCAACTCACAGAGTTGAACTTTCATTTACACAGAGCAGATTTGAAACACTCTTTTTGTGGAATTTGCAAATGGAGATTTCAAGCGCTTTGAGGCCAAAGGCAGAAAAGGAAATATCTTCGTATAAAAACTAGACAGAATCATTCTCAGAAACTGCTCTGTGATGTGTGCGTTCAACTCTCAGAGTTTAACTTTTGTTTTCATTCAGCAGTTTGGAAACACTCTGTTTGTAAAGTCTGCACGTGGATATTTTGACCACTTAGAGGCATTCGTTGGAAACGGGTTTTTTTCATGTAAGGCTAGACAGAAGAATTCCCAGTAACTTCCTTGTGTTGGGTGCATTCAACTCACAGAGTTGAACGTTCCCTTAGACAGAGCAGATTTGAAACACTCTATTTGTGCAATTTGCAAGTGTAGATTTCAAGCGCTTTAAGGTCAATGGAAGAAAAGGAAATATCTTCGTTTCAAAACTAGACAGAATCATTCCCACAAACTGCGTTGTGATGTGTTCGTTCAACTCACAGAGTTTAACCTTTCTGTTCATAGAGCAGTTAGGAAACACTCTGTTTGTAAAGTCTGTAAGTGGATATTCTGACATCTTGTGGCCATCGTTGGAAACGGGATTTCTTCATATTCTGCTAGACAGAAGAATTCTCAGAAACTTCCTTGTGTTGTGTGTATTCAACTCACAGAGTTGAACGATCGTTTACACAGAGCAGACTTGAGACACTCTTTTTGTGGAATTTGTAAGTGGAGATTTCAGCCGCTTTGAGGTCAATGGTAGAAAAGGAAATATCTTCGTATAAAAACTAGACAGAACGATTCTCAGAAACTCCTTTGTGATGTGTGCGTTCAACTCACAGAGTTTAACCTTTCTTTTCATAGAGCAGTTAGGAAACACTCTGTTTATAAAGTCTGCAAGTGGATATTCAGACCCCTTTGAGGCCTTCGTTGGAAACGGGATTTCTTCATATTATGCTAGACAGAAGATTTCCCAGTAACTTCCTTGTGTTGTGTGTGTTCAACTCACAGAGTTGAACTTTCATTTACACAGAGCAGATTTGGAACACTCTTTTTGTGGAATTTGCAAATGGAGATTTGAAGCGCTTTGAGGCCAAAGGCAGAAAAGGAAATATCTTCGTATAAAAACTAGACAGAATCATTCTCCGAAGCTGCTGACTGATGTGTGCGTTCAACTCTCAGAGTTTAACTTTTCTTTTCATTCAGCGGTTTGGAAACACTCTGTTTGTGAAGTCTGCACGTGGATATTTTGACCACTTAGAGGCCTTCGTTGGAAACGGGTTTTTTGCATGTAAGGCTAGACAGAAGAATTCTCAGTAACTTCCTTGTGTTGTGTGCATTCAACTCACAGAGTTGAACGTTCCCTTAGACACAGCAGATTTGAAACACTCTATTTGTGCAATTTGCAAGTGTAGATTTCAAGCGCTTTAAGGTCAATGGCAGAAAAGGAAATATCTTCGTTTCAAAGCTAGACAGAATCATTCCCACAAACTGCGTTGTGATGTGTTCGTACAACTCACAGAGTTTAACCTTTCTGTTCATAGAGCAGTTAGGAAACACTCTGTTTGTAAAGTCTGTAAGTGGATATTCTGACATCTTGTGGCCTTCGTTGGAAACGGGATTTCTTCATATTCTGCTAGACAGAAGAATTCTCAGTAACTTCCTTGTGTTGTGTTTATTCAACTCACAGAGTTGAATGATCCTTTACACAGAGCAGACTTGAAACACTCTTTTTGTGGAATTTGCAAGTGGAGATTTCAGCCGCTTTGAGGTCAATGGTAGGAAAGGAAATATCTTCGTATAAAGACTAGACAGAATGATTCTCAGAAACTCCTTTGTGATGTGTGCGTTCAACTCACACAGTTTAACCTTTCTTATCATAGAGCAGTTAGGAAACACTCTGTTTGTAAAGTCTGCAAGTGGATATTCCGACCTCCTTGAGGCCTTCGTTGGAAACGGGATTTCTTCATATTATGCTAGACAGAAGAATTCTCAGTAACTTCCTTGTGTTGTGTGTATTCAACTCACAGAGTTGAACGATCCTTTACACAGAGCAGATTTGAAACACTCTTTTTGTGGAATTTGCAAGTGGAGATTTCAGCCGCTTTGAGGTCAATGGTAGAAAAGGAAATATCTTCGTATAAAGACTAGACAGAGTGATTCTCAGAAACTCCTTTGTGATGTCTGCGTTCAACTCACAGAGTTTAACCTTTCTTTTAATAGAGCAGTTAGGAAACACTCTGTTTGTAAAGTCTGCAAGTGGATATTCAGACCTCCTTGAGGCCTTCGTTGGAAACGGGATTTCTACATATTATGCTAGACAGAAGAATTCTCAGTAACTTCCTTGTGTTGTGTGTATTCAACTCACAGAGTTGAACGATCCTTCACACAGAGCAGACTTGAAACACTCTTTTTGTGGAATTTGCAAGTGGAGATTTCAGCCGCTTTGAGGTCAATGGTAGAAAAGGAAATATCTTCGTATAAAGACTAGACAGAATGATTCTCAGAAACTCCTTAGTGATGTGTGCGTTCAACTCACAGAGTTTAACCTTTCTGTTCATAGAGCAGTTAGGAAACACTCTGTTTGTAAAGTATGCAAGTGGATATACAGACCTCCTTGAGGCCTTCGTTGGAAACGGGATTTCTTCATATTCTGCTAGACAGAAGAATTCTCAGTAACTTCCTTGTGTTGTGTGTATTCAACTCACAGAGTTGAACGGTTCTTTACACAGAGCAGATTTGAGACACTCTTTTTGTGGAATTTGTAAGTGGAGATTTCAGCCGCTTTGAGGTCAGTGGTAGAAAAGGAAATATCTTCGTATAAAAACTAGACAGAATGATTCTCAGAAACTCTTTGTGATGTGTGTGTTCAACTCACAGAGTTTAACCTTTCTTTTCATAGAGCAGTTAGGAAACGCTCTGTTTGTAAAGTCTGCAAGTGGATATTCAGACCTCGTTGAGACCTTCGTTGGAAACGGGATTTCTTCATATTCTGCTAGACAGAAGAATTCTCAGTAACTTCTTTGTGTTGTGTGTATTCAACTCACAGAGGTGAACGATCCTTTACACAGAGCAGACTTGAAACACTCTTTTTGTGGAATTTCAAGTGGAGATTTCAGCCGCTTTGAGGTCAATGGTAGAATAGGAAATATCTTCCTATAGAAACTAGACAGAATGATTCTCAGAAACTCCTTTGTGATGTGTGCGTTCAACTCACAGAGTTTAACCTTTCTCTCCATTGAGCAGTTAGGAAACACTCTGTTTGTAAAGTCTGCAAGTGGATATTCAGACCTCCTAGAGGCCTTCTTTGGAAACAGGCTTTCTTCATATTATGCTAGACAGAAGAATTCTCAGAAACTTCTTTGTGTTGTGTGTATTCAACTCACAGAGTTGAACGATCCTTTACACAGAGCAGACTTGAAACACTCTTTTTGTGGAATTTGCAAGTGGAGATTTCAGCCGCTTTGAGGTCAATGGTAGAATAGGAAATATCTTCCTATAGAAACTAGACAGAATGATTCTCAGAAACTCCTTTGTGATGTGTGCGATCAACTCACAGAGTTTAACTTTTCTTTTCATAGAGCAGTTAGGAAACACTCTGTTTGTAAAGTCTGCAAGTGGATATTCAGACCTCTTTGAGGCCTTCGTTGGAAACGGGATTTCTTCATATTATGCTAGACAGAAGAATTCTCAGTAACTTCCTTGTGTTGTGTGTATTCAACTGACAGAGTTGAACTTTCATTTACACAGAGCAGATTTGAAACACTCTTTTTGTGGAATTTGCAAATGGAGATTTCAAGCGCTTTGAGGCCAAAGGCAGAAAAGGAAATATCTTCGTATAAAAACTAGACAGAATCATTCTCAGAAACTGCTGCATGATGTGTGCGTTCAACTCTCAGAGTTTAACTTTTCTTTTCATTCAGCGGTTTGGAAACACTCTGTTTGTAAAGTCTGCACGTGGAAATTTTGACCACTTAGAGGCCTTCGTTGGAAACGGGTTTTTTTCATGTAAGGCTAGACAGAAGAATTCCCAGTAACTTCCTTGTGTTGTGTGCATTCAACTCACAGAGTTGAACGTTCCCTTAGACAGAGCAGATTTGAAACACTCTATTTGTGCAATTTGCAAGTGTAGTTTTCAAGCTCTTTAAGGTCAACGGCAGAAAAGGAAATATCTTGGTTTCAAAACTAGACAGAATCATTCCCACAAACTGCGTTGTGATGTGTTCGTTCAACTCACAGTGTTTAACCTTTCTGTTCATAGAGCAGTTAGGAAACACTCTGTTTGTAAAGTCTGCAAGTGGATATTCAGACCTCCTTGAGGCCTTCGTTGGAAACGGGATTTCTTCATATTCTGCTAGACAGAAGAATTCTAAGTAACTTCCTTGTGTTGTGTGTATTCAACTCACAGAGTTGAACGATCCTTTACACAGAGCAGACTTGAAACACTCTTTTTGTGGAATTTGCAAGTGGAGATTTCAGCCGCTTTGAGGTCAATGGTAGAAAAGGAAACTATCTTCATATAAAGACTAGACAGAATGATTCTCATAAACTCCTTTGTGATGTGTGCGTTCAACTCTCAAAGTTTAACTTTTCTTTTCATAGAGCAGTTAGGAAACACTCTGTTTGTAAAGTCTGCAAGTGGATATTCAGACCTCTTTGAGGCCTTCTTTGGAAACGGGATTTCTTCATATTATGCTAGACAGAAGAATTCTCAGTAACTTCCCTGTGTTGTGTGTATTCAACTGACAGAGTCGAACTTTCATTTAGAGAGAGCAGATTTGAAACACTGTTTTTGTGGAATTTGCAAGTGGAGATTTCAAGCGCTTTGGGGCCAAAGGCAGAAAAGGAAATATCTTCGTATAAAAACTAGACAGAATCATTCTCAGAAACTGCTCTGCGATGTGTGCGTTCAACTCTCAGAGTTTAACTTTTCTTTTCATTCAGAAGTTTGGAAACACTCTGTTTGTAAAGTCTGCACGTGGATAACTTGAACACTTAGAGGCCTTCGTTGGAAACGGGTTTTTTTCATGTAAGGCTAGACAGAAGAATTCTCAGTAACTTCCTTGTATTGTGTGTATTCAACTCACAGAGTTGAACGATCCTTTGCACAGAGCACACTTGTAACACTCTTTTTGTGGAATTTGCAAGTGGAGATTTCAGCCGCTTTGAAGTCAAAGGTAGAAAAGGAAATAACTTCCTATAAAAACTAGACAGAATGATTCTCATAAACTCCTTTGTGATGTGTGCGTTGAACTCACAGAGTTTAACCTTTCTTTTCATAGAGCAGTTAGGAAACACTCTGTTTGTAAAGTCTGTAAGTGGATATTCTGACATCTTGTGGCCTTCTTTGGAAACGGGATTTCTTCATATTGTGCTAGACGGAAGAATTCTCCGTAACTTCCTTGTGTTGTGTGTATTCAACTCACAGAGTTGAACGATCCTTTACACAGAGCAGACTTGTAACACTCTTTTTGTGGAATTTGCAAGTGGAGATTTCAGCCGCTTTGAAGTCAAAGGTAGAAAAGGAAATATCTTCCTATAAAAATTAGACAGAATGATTCTCAGAAACTCCTTTGTGATGTGTGCGTTCAACTCACACAGTTTAACTTTTCTTTTCATACAGCAGTTAGGAAACACTCTGTTTGTAAAGTCTGCAAGTGGATATTCAGACCTCCTTGAGGCCTTCTTTGGAAACGGGATTTCTTCATATTATGCTAGACAGAAGAATCCCCAGTAACTTCCTTGTGTTGTGTGTGTTCAACTCACAGAGTTGAACTTTGATTTACACAGAGCAGATTTGAAACACTCTTTTTGTGGAATTTGCAAGTGGAGATTTCAAGCGCTTTGGGGCCAAAGGCAGAAAAGGAAATATCTTCGTATAAAAACTAGACAGAATCATTCTCAGAAACTGCTCTGCGATGTGTGCGTTCAATTCTGAGTTTAACTTTTCTTTTCATTCAGCAGTTTGGAAACACTCTGTTTGTAAAGTCTGCACGTGGATATTTTGACCACTTAGAGGCCTTCGTTGGAAACGGGTTTTTTTCCTGTAAGGCTATACAGAAGAATTCCCAGTAACTTCCTTGTGTTGTGTACATTCAACTCACAGAGTTGAACGATCCCTTAGACAGAGCAGATTTGAAACACTCTTTTTGTGCAATTGGCAAGTGGAGACTTCAAGCGCTTTAAGGTCAATGGCAGAAAAGGAAATATCTTCGTTTCAAAACTAGACAGAATCATTCCCACAAACTGCGTTGTGATGTGTTCGTTCAACTCACAGAGTTTAACCTTTCTGTTCGTAGAGCAGTTAGGAAACACTCTGTTTGTAAAGTCTGTAAGTGGATATTCTGACATCTTGTGGCCTTCGTTGGAAACGGGATTTCTTCATATTCTGCTAGACAGAAGAATTCTCAGTAACTTCCTTGTGTTGTGTGTATTCAACTCACAGAGTTGAACGATCCTTTACAGAGAGCAGACTTGAAACACTCTTTTTGTGGAATTTGCAAGTGGAGATTTCAGCCGCTTTGAGGTCTATGGTAGAAAAGGAAATGTCTTCGTATAAAGACTAGACAGAACGATTCTCAGAAACTCCTTTGTGATGTGTGTGTTCAACTCACAGAGTTTAACCTTTCTTTTCATAGAGCAGTTAGTAAACACTCTGTTTATAAAGTCTGCAAGTGGATATTCAGACCCCTTTGTGGCCTTCTTTGGAAACGGGATTTCTTCATATTATGCTAGACAGAAGAATTCTCAGTAACTTCCTTGTGTTGTGTGTATTCAACTCACAGTAGTTGAACGACCCTTTACACAGAGTAGACTTGAAACACTCTTTTTGTTGAATTTGCAAGTGGAGATTTCAGCCGCTTTGAGGTCAATGGTAGAATAGGAAATATCTTCCTATAGAAACTAGACAGAATGATTCTCAGAAACTCCTTTGTGATGTGTGAGTTCAACTCACAGAGTTTAACCTTTCTTTTCATAGAGTAGTTAGGAAACACTCTGTTTGTAAAGTCTGCAAGTGGATATTCAGACCTCTTTGAGGCCTTCGTTGGAAACGGGATTTTTTCATATAAGGCTAGAGAGAAGAATTCCCAGTAACTTCCTTGTGTTGTGTGTGTTCAACTCACAGAGTTGAACTTTCATTTAGTCAGAGCAGATTTGAAACACTCTTTTTGTGGAATTTGCAAATGGAGATTTCAAGCGCTTTGAGGCCAAAGGCAGAAAAGGAAATATCTTCGTATAAAAACTAGACAGAATAATTCTCAGAAACTGTTCTGCGATGTGTGCGTTCAACTCTCAGAGTTTAACTTTTCTTTTCATTCAGCAGTTTGGAAACACTCTGTAAACTCTGCATGTGGATATTTTGACCACTTAGAGGCCTTCGTCGGAAACGGGTTTTTTTCCTGTAAGGCTAGACAGAAGAATTCCCAGTAACTTCCTTGTGTTGTGTACATTCAACTCACAGAGTTGAACGTTCCCTTAGACAGAGCAGATTTGAAACAATCTTTTTGTGCAATTGGCAAGTGGTGATTTCAGCCGCTTTGAGGTCAATGGTAGAAAAGGAAATATCTTCGTATAAAAACTAGACAGAATCATTCCCACAAAACTGCGTTGTGATGTGTTCGTTCAATTCACAGAGTTTAACCTTTCTGTTCATAGAGCAGTTAGGAAACACTCTGTTTGTAAAGTCTGTAAGTGGATATTCTGACATCTTGTGGCCTTCGTTGGAAACGGGATTTCTTCGTATTCTGCTAGACAGAAAGAATTCTCAGTAACTTCCTTGTGTTGTGTGTATTCAACTCACAGAGTTGAACGATCCTTTACACAGAGCAGACTTGAATCACTCTTTTTGTGGAATTTGCAAGTGGAGATTTCAGCCGCTTTGAGGTCAATAGTAGAAAAGGAAATATCTTCGTAGAAAAACTAGACAGATGATTCTCAGAAACTCCTTTGTGATGTGTGCGTTCAACTCACAGAGTTTAAACTTTCTTTTCATAGAGCAGTTAGGAAACACTCTGTTTGTAAAGTCTGCAAGTGGATATTCAGACCTCTTTGAGGCCTTCGTTGGAAACGGGATTTCTTCATATTCTGCTAGACAGAAGAATTCCCAGTAACTTCCTTGTGTTGTGTGTGTTCAACTCACAGAGTTGAACTTTCATTTACAAAGAGCAGATTTGAAACACTCTTTTTGTGGAATTTGCAAGTGGAGATTTCAAGCGCTTTGAGGCCAAAGGCAGAAAAGGAAATATCTTCGTATAAAAACTAGACAGAATCATTCTCAGAAACTGCTGCGTGATGTGTGCGTTCAACTCTCAGGAGTTTAGCTTTTCTTTTCATTCAGCGGTTTGGAAACACTCTGTTTGTAACGTCTGCACGTGGATATTTTGACCACTTAGAGGCCTTCGTTGGAAACGGGTTTTTTGCATGTAAGGCTAGACAGAAGAATTCCCAGTAACTTCCTTGTGTTGTGTGCATTCAACTCACAGAGTTGAACGTTCCCTTAGACAGAGCAGATTTGAAACACTCTATTTGTGCAATTTGCAAGTGTAGATTTCAAGCGCTTTAAGGTCAATGGCAGAAAAGGAAATTTCTTCGTTGCAAAACTAGACAGAATCATTCCCACAAACTGCGTTGTGATGTGTTCGTTCATCTCACAGAGTTTAACCTTTCTTTTCGTAGAGCAGTTAGGAAACAGTCTGTTTGTAAATTCTGTAAGTGGATATTCTGACATACTTGTGGCCTTCGTTGGAAACGGGATTTCTTCATATTCTGCTAGACAGAAGAATTCTCAGAATCTTCCTTGTGTTGTGTGTATTCAACTCACAGAGTTGAACGATCCTTTACACAGAGCAGACTTGAAACACTCTTTTTGTGGAATTTGCAAGTGGAGATTTCAGCCGCTTTGAGGTCCATGGTAGAAAAGGAAATCTCTTCGTATAAAAACTAGACAGAATGATTCTCAGAAAATCCTGTGTGATGTGTGCGTTCATCTCACAGAGTTTAACCTTTCTTTTCATAGAGCAGTTAGGAAACACTCTGTTTGTAAAGTCTGCAAGTGGATATTCAGACCTCCTTGAGGCCTTCCTTGGAAACGGGATTTCTTCATATTCTGCTAGACAGAAGAATTCTCAGTAACTTCCTTGTGTTGTGTGTATTCAACTGACAGAGTTGGACTATCATTTTGAGAGAGCAGATTTGAAACACTGTTTTTGTGGAATTTGCAAGTGGAGATTTCAAGCGCTTTGGGGCCAAAGGCAGAAAAGGAAATATCTTCGTATAAAAACTAGACAGAATCATTCTCAGAAACTGCTCTGCGATGTGTGCGTTCAACTCTCAGAGTTTAACTTTTCTTTTCATTCAGCAGTTTGAAAACACTCTGTTTGTAAAGTCTGCACGTGGATAATTTGACCACATAGAGGCCTTCGTTGGAAACGGGTTTTTTTCATGTAAGGCTAGACAGAAGAATTCCCAGTAACTTCCTTGTGTTGTGTGCATTCAACTCACAGAGTTGAACGTTCCCTTAGACAGAGCAGATTTGAAACACTCTATTTGCGCAACTTGCAAGTGTAGATTTCAAGCGCTTTAAGGTCAATGGCAGAAAAGGAAATATCTTCGTTTCAAAACTAGACAGAATCATTCCCTCAAACTGCGTTGTGATGTGTTCGTTCAACTCACAGAGTTTAACCTTTCTTTTCATAGAGCAGTTAGGAAACAGTCTGTTTGTAAATTCTGTAAGTGGATATTCTGACATCTTGTGGCCTTCGTTGGAAACGGGATTTCTTCATATTCTGCTAGACAGAAGAATTCTCAGAATCTTCCTTGTGTTGTGTGTATTCAACTCACAGAGTTGAACGATCCTTTACACAGAGCAGACATGAAACACTCTTTTTGTGGAATTTGCAAGTGGAGATTTCAGCCGCTTTGAGGTCCATGGTAGAAAAGGAAATATCTTCGAATAAAAACTAGACAGAATGATTCTCAGAAACTCCTTTGTGATGTGGGCGTTCAACTCACAGAGTTTAACCTTCCTTTTCATAGAGCAGTTAGGAAACACTCTGTTTGTAAAGTCTGCACGTGGATATTTGGACTTCTTTGAGGCCTTCGTTGGAAACGGGTTTTTTTCATGTAAGGCTAGACGGAAGAATTCTCAGTAACTTCCTTGTGTTGTGTGTATTCAACTGACAGAGTTGAACTTTCATTTGGAGAGAGCAGATTTGAAACACTATTTTTGTGGTATTTGCAAGTGGAGATTTCAAGCGCTTTGGGGCCAAAGGCAGAAAAGGAAATATCCTCGTATAAAAACAAGACAGAATCATTCTCAGAAACTGCTCTGCGATGTGTGCGTTCAACTCTCAGAGTTTAACTTTTCTTTTCATTCAGCAGTTTGGAAACACTCTGTTTGTAAAGTCTGCACGTGGATAATTTGGCCACTTAGAGGCCTTCGTTGGAAACGGGTTTTTTCATGTAAGGCTAGACAGAAGAATTCCCAGTAACTTCCTTGCGTTGTGTACATTCAACTCACAGAGTTGAACGTTCCCTTAGACAGAGCAGATTTGAAACACTCTTTTTGTGCAATTGGCAAGTGGAGATTTCAAGCGCTTTAAGGTCAATGGCAGAAAAGGAAATATCTTCGTTTCAAAACTAGACAGAATCATTCCCACAAACTGCGTTGTGATGTGTTCGTTCAAATCACAGAGTTTAACCTTTCTTTTCATAGAGCAGTTAGGAAACAGTCTGTTTGTAAATTCTGTAAGTGGATATTCTGACATCTTGTGGCCTTCGTTGGAAACGGGATTTCTTCATATTCTGCTAGACAGAAGAATTCTCAGTAACTTCCTTGTGTTGTGTGTATTCAACTCACAGAGTTGAACGATCCTTTACAGAGAGCAGGCTTGAAACACTCTTTTTGTGGAATTTGCAAGTGGAGATTTCAGCCGCTTTGAGGTCAATGGTAGAATGGGAAATATCTTCCTATAGAAACTAGACAGAATGATTCTCAGAAACTCCTTTGTGATGTGTGTGTTCAACTCACAGAGTTTAACCTTTTTTTTCATAGAGCAGTTAGGAAACACTCTGTTTGTAAAGTCTGCAAGAGGATATTCAGACCTCTTTGAGGCCTTCGTTGGAAACGGGTTTTTTTCATATAAGGCTAGACAGAAGAATTCACAGTAACTTCCTTGTGTTGTGTGTATTCAACTGACAGAGTTGAACTTTCATTTAGAGAGAGCAGATTTGAAACACTGTTTTTGTGGAATTTGCAAGTGGAGATTTCAAGCGCTTTGGGGCCAAAGGCAGAAAAGGAAATATCTTCGTATAAAAACTAGACAGAATCATTCTCAGAAACTGCTGCGTGATGTGTGCGTTCAACTCTCAGAGTTTAACTTTTCTTTTCATTCAGCGGTTTGGAAACACTCTGTTTGTAAAGTCTGCACGTGGATATTTTGACCACTTAGAGGCCTTCGTTGGAAACGGGTTTTTTTTCATGTAAGGCTAGACAGAAGAATTCCCAGTAACTTCCCTTGTGTTGTGTACATTCAACTCACAGAGTTGAACGTTCCGTTAGACAGAGCAGATTTGAAACACTCTTTTTGTGCAATTGGCAAATGGAGATTTCAAGCGCTTTAAGGTCAATGGCAGAAAAGGAAATATCTTCGTTTCAAAACTAGACAGAAATCATTCCCACAAACTGCGTTGTGATGTGTTCGTTCAACTCACAGCAGTTTAACCTTTCTTTTCATAGAGCAGTTAGGAAACAGTCTGTTTGTCAATTCTGTAAGTGGATATTCTGACATCTTGTGGCCTTCGTTGGAAACGGGATTTCTTCATATTCTGCTAGACAGAAGAATTCTCAGTAACTTCCTTGTGTTGTGTGTATTCAACTCACAGAGTTGAACGATCCTTTACACAGAGCAGACTTGAAACACTCTTTTTGTGGAATTTGCAAGAGTAGATTTCAAGCGCTTTAAGGTCAATGGCAGAAAAGGAAATATCTTCGTTTCAAAACTAGACAGAATGATTCTCAGAAACTCCTTTGTGATGTGTGCGTTCAACACACAGAGTTTAACTTTTCTTTTCATAGAGCAGTTAGGAAACACTCTGTTTGTAAAGTCTGCAAGTGGATATTCAGACCTCTTTGAGGCCTTCGTTGGAAACGGGATTTCTTCATATTCTGCTAGACAGAAGAATTCTCAGTAACTTCCTTGTGTTGTGTGTATTCAACTCACAGAGTTGAACGATCCTTTACACAGAGCAGACTTGAAACACTCTTTTTGTGGAATTTGCAAGTGGATATTTCAGCCGCTTTGAGGTCAATAGTAGAAAAGGAAATATCTTCGTAGAAAAACTAGACAGAATCATTCTCAGAAACTGCTGCGTGATGTGTGCGTTCAACTCTCAGAGTTTAACTTTTCTTTTCATTCAGCGGTTTGGAAACACTCTGCTTGTAAAGTCTGCACGTGGATATTTTGACCACTTAGAGGCCTTCGTTGGAAACGGGTTTTTTTCATGTAAGGCTAGACAGAAGAATTCCCAGTAACTTCCTTGTGTTGTGTGCATTCAACTCACAGAGTTGAACGTTCCCTTAGACAGAGCAGATTTGAAACACTCTATTTGTCCAATTTGCAAGTGTAGATTTCAAGCGCTTTAAGGTCAACGGCAGAAAAGGAAATATCTTCGTTTCAAAACTAGACAGAATGATTCTCAGAAAATCTTTTGTGATGTGTGCGTTCAACTCACAGAGATTAACTTTTCTTCTCATAGAGCAGTTAGGAAACACTCTGTTTGTAAAGTTTGCAAGTGGATATTCAGACCTCTTTGAGGCCTTCGTTGGAAACGGGATTTCTTCATATTATGCTAGACAGAAGAATTCTCAGTAACTTCCTTGTGTTGTGTGTATTCAACTCACAGAGTTGAACGATCCTTTACAGAGAGCAGACTTGAAACACACTTTTTGTGGAATTTGCAAGTGGAGTTTTCAGCCGCTTTGAGGTCAATTGTAGAAAAGGAAATATCTTCGTATAAAGACTAGACAGAATGATTCTCATAAGCTCCTTTGTGATGTGTGCGTTCAACTCACAGAGTTTAACCTTTCTTTTCATAGAGCAGTTAGGAAACACTCTGTTTGTAAAGTCTGCAAGTGGATATTCAGACCTCCTTGAGGCCTTCGTTGGAAACGGGATTTCTTCATATTCTGCTAGACAGAAGAATTCTCAGAAACTTCCTTGTGTTGTGTGTTTTCAACTCACAGAGTTGAACGATGCTTTACACAGAGTAGACTTGAAACACTCTTTTTGTGAAATTTGCAAGTAGAGATTTCAGCCGCTTTGAGGTCAACGGTAGAAAAGGAAATATCTTCCTATAAAAACTAGACAGAATGATTCTCAGAAACTCCTTTGTGATGTGTGTGTTCAACTCACAGAGTTTAACGTTTCTTTTCATAGAGCAGTTAGTAAACACTCTGTTTATAAAGTCTGCAAGTGGATATTCAGACCCCTTTGAGGCCTTCGTTGGAAACGGGATTTCTTCATATTATGCTAGACAGAAGAATTCTCAGTAACTTCCTTGTGTTGTGTGTATTCAACTCACAGAGTTGAACTTTCATTTACACAGAGCAGATTTGAAACACTCTTTTTGTGGAATTTGCAAATGGAGATTTCAAGCGCTTTGAGGCCAAAGGCAGAAAAGGAAATATCTTCGTTTCAAAACTAGACAGAATCATTCTCAGAAACTGCTGCGTGATGTGTGCGTTCAACTCTGAGAGTTTAACTTTTCTTTTCATTCAGCGGTTTGGAAACACTCTGTTTGTAAAGTCTGCACGTGGATATTCAGACCTCTTTGAGGCCTTCGTTGGAAACGGGTTTTTTTCATGTAAGGCTAGACAGAAGAATTCCCAGTAACTTCCTTGTGTTGTGTACATTCAACTCACAGAGTTGAACGTTCCCTTATACAGAGCAGATTTGAAACACTCTTTTTGTGCAATTGGCAAGTGGAGATTTCAAGCGCTTTAAGGTCAATGGCAGAAAAGGAAATATCTTCGTTTCAAAACTAGACAGAATCATTCCCACAAAGTGCGTTGTGATGTGTTCGTTCAACTCACAGAGTTTAACCTTTCTGTTCATAGAGCAGTTAGGAAACACTCTGTTTGTAAAGTCTGTAAGTGGATATTCTGACATCTTGTGGCCTTCGTTGGAAACGGGATTTCTTCATATTCTGCTAGACAGAAGAATTCTCAGTAACTTCCTTGTGGTGTGTGTATTCAACTCACAGAGTTGAACGATCCTTTACACAGAGCAGACTTGAGACACTCATTTTGTGGAATTTGCAAGTGGAGATTTCAGCCGCTTTGAGGTCAATGGTAGAAAAGGAAACTATCTTCATATAAAGACTAGACAGAATGATTCTCACAAACTCCTTTGTGATGTGGGCGTTGAACTCACAGAGTTTAACCTTTCTTTTCATAGAGCAGTTAGGAAACACTCTGTTGGTAAAGTCTGAACGTGGATATTTGGACTTCTTTGTGGTCTTCGTTGGAAACGGGTTTTTTTCATGTAAGGCTAGACAGAAGAATTCTCAGTAACTTCCTTGTGTTGTGTGTATTAAACTGACAGAGTTGAACTTTCATTTAGAGAGAGCAGATTTGTAACACTGTTTTTGTGGAATTTGCAAGTGGAGATTTCAAGCGCTTTGGGGCCAAAGGCAGAAAAGGAATTATCTTGGTATAAAAACTAGACAGAATCATTCTCAGTAACTGCTCTGTGATGTGTGCGTTCAACTCTCAGAGTTTAACTTTTCTTTTCATTCAGCAGTTTGGAAACACTCTGTTTGTAAAGTCTGCACGTGGATATTTTGACCACTTAGAGGCCTTCTTTGGAAACGGTTTTTTCTCATGTAAGGCTAGACAGAAGAATTCCCAGGAACTTACTTGTGTTGTGTACATTCAACTCACAGAGTTGAACGTTCCCTTAGACAGAGCAGATTTGAAACACTCTTTTTGTGCAATTGGCAAATGGAGATTTCAAGCGCTTTAAGGTCAATGGCAGAAAAGGAAATATCTTCGTTTCAAAACTAGACAGAATCATTCCCACAAACTGCGTTGTGATGTGTGCGTTCAACTCACAGAGTTTAACCTTTCTGTTCATAGAGCAGTTAGGAAACACTCTGTTTGTAAAGTCTGTAAGTGGATATTCTGACATCTTGTGGCCTTCGTTGGAAACGGGATTTCTTCATATTCTGCTAGACAGAATAATTCTCAGTAACTTCCTTGTGTTGTGTGTATTCAACTCAAAGAGTTGAAGGATCCTTTACAGAGAGCAGGCTTGAAACACTCTTTTTGTCGAATTTGCAAGTGGAGATTTCAGCTGCTTTGAGGTCAATGGTAGAATAGGAAATATCTTCTTATAGAAACTAGACAGAATGATTCTCAGAAACTCCTTTGTGATGTGTGCGTTCAACTCACAGAGTTCAACCTTTCTTTTCATAGAGCAGTTAGGAAACACTCTGTTTGTAAAGTCTGCAAGTGGATATTCAGACCTCCTTGAGGCCTTCGTTGGAAACGTGATTTCTTCATATTATGCTAGACAGAAGAATTCTCAGTAACTTCCCTTGTGTTGCGTGTATTCAACTCACAGAGTTGAACGATCCTTTACAAAGAGCAGACTTGAAACACTCTTTTTGGGGAATTTGCAAGTGGAGATTTCAGCCGCTTTGAGGTCAATGGTAGAATAGGGAATATCTTCCTATAGAAACTAGACAGAATGATTCTCAGAAACTCCTTTGTGATGTGTGCGTTCAACTCTCAGAGTTTAACTTTTCTTTTCATTCAGCAGTTTGGAAACACTCTGTTTGTAAAGTCTGCACGTGGATAATTTGACCACTTAGAGGCTTTCGTTGGAAACGGGTTTTTTTCCTGTAAGGCTAGACAAAAGATTTCCCAGTAACTTCCTTGTGTTGTGTGCATTCAACTCACAGAGTTGAACGTTCCGTTAGACAGAGCAGATTTGAAACACTCTATTTGTGCAATTTGCAAGTGTAGATTTCAAGCGCTTTAAGGTCAATGGCAGAAAAGGAAATATCTTCGTTTCAAAACCAGACAGAATCATTCCCACAAACTGCGTTGTGATGTGTTCGTTCAACTCACAGAGTTTAACCTTTCTGTTCATAGAGCAGTTAGGAAACACTCTGTTTGTAAAGTCTGCAAGTGGATATTCAGACCTCCTTGAGGCCTTCGTTGGAAATGGGATTTCTTAATATTCTGCTAGACAGAAGAATTCTCAGAATCTTCCTTGTGTTGTGTGTATTCAACTCACAGAGTTGAACGATCCTTTACACAGAGCAGACTTGAAACACTCTTTTTGTGGAATTTGCAAGTGGAGATTTCAGCCTCTTTGAGGTCCATGGTAGAAAAGGAAATATCTTCGTATAAAAACTAGACAGAATGATTCTCAGAAAATCTTTTGTGATGTGTGCGTTGAACTCACAGAGTTTAACTTTTCTTCTCATAGAGCAGTTAGGAAACACTCTGTTTGTACAGTCTGCAAGTGGATATTCAGACCTCTTTGAGGCCTTCGTTGGAAACGGGATTTCTTCATATTATGCTAGACAGAAGAATTCCCAGTAACTTCCCTTGTGTTGTGTGTGTTCAACTCACAGAGTTGAACTTTCATTTACCCAGAGCAGATTTGAAACACTCTTTTTGTGGAATTTGCAAGTGGAGATTTCAAGCGCTTTGAGGCCAAAGACAGAAAAGGAAATATCTTCGTTTCAAAACTAGACAGAATCATTCTCAGAAACTGCTGCGTGATGTGTGCGTTCAACTCTCAGAGTTTAACTTTTCTTTTCATTCAGCAGTTTGGAAACACTCTGTTTGTAAAGTCTGCACGTGGAAATTTTGACCACTTAGAGGCCTTCTTTGGAAACGGGATTTTTTCATGTAAGGCTAGACAGAAGAATTCCCAGTAACTTCCTTGTGTTGTGTGCATTCAACTCACAGAGTTGAACGTTCCCTTAGACAGAGCAGATTTGAAACACTCTATTTGTGCAATTTGCAAGTGTAGTTTTCAAGCTCTTTAAGGTCAACGGCAGAAAAGGAAATATCTTCGTTTCAAAACTAGACAGAATCATTCCCACAAACTGCGTTGTGATGTGTTCGTCCAACTCACAGAGTTTAACCTTTCTGTTCATAGAGCAGTTAGGAAACACTTTGTTTGTAAAGTCTGTAAGTGGATATTCTGACATCTTGTGGCCTTCGTTGGAAACGGGATTTCTTCATATTCTGCTAGACAGAAGAATTCTCAGTAACTTCCTTTTGCTGTGTGTATTCAACTCACATAGTTGAATGATCCTTTACACAGAGCAGATTAGAAACACACTTTTTGTGGATTTTGCAAGTGGAGATTTCAGCCGCTTTGAGGTCAATGGTAGAAAAGGATATATCTTCGTATAGAAACTAGACAGAATGATTCTCAGAAACTACTTTGTGATGTGTGCGTTCAACTCACAGAGTTTAACCTTTCTTTTCCTAGAGTAGTTAGGAAACACTCTGTTTTTAAAGTCTGCAAGTGGATATTCAGACCTCTTTGAGGCCTTCGTTGGAAACGGGATTTCTTCATATTATGCTAGACAGAAGAATTCCCAGTAACTTCCTTGTGTTGTGTGTGTTCAACTCACAGAGTTGAACTTTCATTTACACAGAGCAGATTTGAAACACTCTTTTTGTGGAATTTGCAAGTGGAGATTTCAAGCGCTTTGAGGCCAAAGGCAGAAAAGGAAATATCTTCGTTCAAAACTAGACAGAATCATTCTCAGAAACTGCTCTGCGATGTGTGCGTTCAACTCTCAGAGTTTAACTTTTCTTTTCATGCAGCAGTTTGGAAACACTCTGTTTGTAAAGTCTGCACGTGGATAACTTGACCACTTAGAGGACTTCGTTGGAAACGGGTTTTTTTCCTGTAAGGCTAGACAGAAGAATTCCCAGTAACTTCCTTGTGTTGTGTACATTCAAATCACAGAGTTGAACGTTCCCTTAGACAGAGCAGACTTGTAACACTCTTTTTGTGGAATTTGCAAGTGGAGATTTCAGCCGCTTTGAAGTCAAAGGTAGAAAAGGAAATATCTTCCTATAAAAACTAGACAGAATGATTCTCAGAAACTCCTTTGTGATGTGTGTGTTCAACTCACAGAGTTTAACATTTCTTTTCATAGAGCAGTTAGGAAACACTCTGTTTGTAAAGTCTGCAAGTGGATATTCAGACCTAGTTGAGGCCTTCGTTGGAAACGGGATTTCTTCATATTCTGCTAGACAGAAGAATTCTGAGTAACTTCCTTGTGTTGTGTTTATTCAACTCACAGAGTTGAATGATCCTTTACACAGAGCAGACTTGAAACACTCTTTTTGTGGAATTTGCATGTGGAGATTTCAGCCGCTTTGTGGTCAATGGTAGAAAAGGAAATATCTTCGTATAAAGACTAGACAGAATGATTCTCAGAAACTCCTTTGTGATATGTGCGTTCAACTCACAGAGTTTAACCTTTCTTTTCATAGAGCAGTTAGGAAACACTCTGCTTGTAAAGTCTGCAAGTGGATATTCAGCCCTCTTTGAGGCCTTCGTTGGAAATGGGTTTTTTTCATATAAGGCTAGACAGAGGAATTCCCAGTAACTTCCTTGTGTTGTGTGTGTTCAACTCACAGAGTTGAACTTTCATTTACACAGAGCAGATTTGAAACACTCTTTTTGTGGAATTTGCAAGTGGAGATTTCAAGCGCTTTGAGGCCAAAGGAAGAAAAGGAAATATCTTCGTTTCAAAACTAGACAGAATCATTCTCAGAAACTGCTGCGTGATGTGTGCGTTCAACTCTCAGAGTTTAACTTTTCTTTTCATTCAGCGGTTTGGAAACACTCTGTTTGTAAAGTCTGCACGTGGATATTTTGACCACTTAGAGGCCTTCGTTGGAAACGGGTTTTTTTTCATGTAAGGCTAGACAGAAGAATTCCCAGTAACTTCCTTGTGTTGTGTGCATTCAGCTCAGAGAGTTGAACCTTCCCTTAGACAGAGCAGATTTGAAACACTCTATTTGTGCAATTTGCAAGTGTAGATTTCAAGCGCTTCAAGGTCAATGGCAGAAAAGGAAATATCTTCGTTTCAAAACTAGACAGAATCATTCCCACAAACTGCGTTATGATGTGTTCGTTCAACTCACAGAGTTTAACCTTTCTTTTCATAGAGCAGTTAGGAAACAGTCTGTTTGTAAATTCTGTAAGTGGATATTCTGACATCTTGTGGCCTTCGTTGGAAACGGGATTTCTTCATATTCTGCTAGACAGAAGAATTCTCAGTAACTACCTTGTGTTGTGTGTATTCAACTCACAGAGTTGAACGATCCTTTACACAGAGCGGACTTGAAACACTCGTTTTGTGGAATTTGCAAGTGGAGATTTCAGCCGCGTTGAGGTCAATGGTAGAAAAGGAAATATCTACGTATAAAAACTAGACAGAATGATTCTCAGAAACTCCTTTGTGATGTGTGCGTTCAACTCACAGAGTATAACCTTTCTTTTCATAGAGCAGTTAGGAAACACTCTGTTTGTAAAGTCTGCAAGTGGATATTCAGACCTCTTTGAGGCCTTCGTTGGAAACGGGTTTTTTTCATATAAGGCTAGACAGAAGAATTCCCAGTAACTTCCCTTGTGTTGTGTGTGTTCAACTCACAGAGTTGAACTTTCATTTACACAGAGCAGATTTGAAACACTCTTTTTGTGGAATTTGCAGGTGGAGATTTCAAGCGCTTTGAGGCCAAAGGCAGAAAAGGAAATATCTTCGTATAAAACCTAGACAGAATCATTCTCAGAAACTGCTGCGTGGTGTGTGCGTTCAACTCTCAGAGTTTAACTTTTCTTTTCATTCAGCGGTTTGGAAACACTCTGTTTGTAAAGTCTACACGTGGATATTTTGACCACTTAGAGGCCTTCGTTGGAAACTGGTTTTCTTCATGTAAGGCTAGACAGAAGAATTCCCAGGAACTTCCTTGTGTTGTGTACATTCAACTCACAGAGTTGAACGTTCCCTTAGACAGAGCAGATTTGAAGCACTCTTTTTGTGCAATTGGCAAGTGGTGATTTCAGCCGCTTTGAGGTCAATGGTAGAAAAGGAAATATCTTCGTATAAAAACTAGACAGAATGATTCTCAGAAACTCCTTTGTGATGTGTGCGTTCAACTCACAGAGTTTAACCTTTCTTTTCATAGAGCAGTTAGGAAACACTGTTTGTAAAGTCTGCAAGTGGATATTCAGACATCCTTGAGGCCTTCATTGGAAACGGGATTTCTTCATATTATGCTAGACAGAAGAATTCTCAGTAACTTCCTTGTGTTGTGTGTATTCAACTCACAGAGTTGAACGATCCTTTACACAGAGCAGACTTGAAACACTCTTTTTGTGGAATTTGCAAGTGGAGATTTCAGCCGCTTTGAGGTCAATGGTAGAATAGGAAATATCTTCCTATAGAAACTGGACAGAACGATTCTCAGAAACTCCTTTGTGATGTGTGCGTACAACTCACAGAGTTTAACCTTTCTTTTCATAGAGCAGTTAGGAAACACTCTGTTTGTAAAGTCTGCAAGTGGATATTCAGACCTCTTTGAGGCCTTCGTTGGAAACGGGATTTCTTCATATTCCTGCTAGACAGAAGAATTCCCAGTAACTTCCTTGTGTTGTGTGTGTTCAACTCACAGTGTTGAACTTTCATTTACACAGAGCAGATTGGAAACACTCTTTTTCTGGAATTTGCAAGTGGAGATTTCAAGCGCTTTGAGGCCAAAGGCAGAAAAGGAAATATCTTCGTATAAAAACTAGACAGAATCATTCTCAGAAACTGCTGCGTGATGTGTGCGTTCAACTCTCAGAGTTTAACTTTTCTTTTCATTCAGCGCTTTGGAAACACTCTGTTTGTAAAGTCTGCACGTGGAAATTTTGACCACTTAGAGGCCTTCGGTTGGAAACGGGTTTTTTTCATGTAAGGCTAGACAGAAGAATTCTCAGTAACTTCCTTGTGTTGTGTGTATTCAACTCACAGAGTTGAACGATCCTTTACACAGAGCAGATTGAAACACTCTTTTTGTGGAATTTGCAAGTGGAGATTTCAGCCGCTTTGAGGTCAATGGTAGAAAAGGAAATATCTTCGTATAAAGACTAGACAGAATGATTCTCAGAAACTCCTTTGTGATGTGTGCGTTCAACTCACAGAGTTTAACCTTTCTGTTCATAGAGCAGTTAGGAAACACTCTGTTTGTAAAGTCTGTAAGTGGATATTCTGACATCTTGTGGTCTTCGTTGGAAACGGGATTTCTGCATATTCTGCTAGACAGAATAATTCTCAGTAACTTCCTTGTGTTGTGTGTATTCAACTCACAGAGTTGAACGATCCTTTACAGAGAGCAGACTTGAAACACTCTTTTTGTGGAATTCGCAAGTGGAGATTTCAGCCGCTTTGAGGTCAATGTTAGAAAAGGATATATCTTCGTATAAAGACTAGACAGAATGATTCTCAGAAACTCCTTTGTGATGTGTGCGTTCAACTCACAGAGTTTAACCTTTCTTTTCATAGAGCAGTTAGGAAACCCTCTGTTTATAAAGTCTGCAAGTGGATATTCAGACCTCTTTGAGGCCTTCGTTGGAAACGGGATTTCTTCATATTATGCTAGACAGATGAATTCTCATTAACTTCCTTGTGTTGTGTGTATTCAACTCACAGAGTTGAACGATCCTTTACACAGAGCGGACTTGAAACACTCTTTTTGTGGAATTTGCAAGTGGAGATTTCAGCCGCGTTGAGGTCAATGGTAGAAAAGGAAATCTCTTCGTATAAAAACTAGACAGAATGATTCTCAGAAACTCCTTTGTGATGTGTGTGTTCAACTCACAGAGTTTAACCTTAGTTTTCATAGAGCAGTTAGGAATCACTCTGTTTGTAAAGTCTGCAAGTGGATATTCAGACCTCTTTGAGGCCTTCGTTGGAAACGGGTTTTTTTCATATAAGGCTAGACAGAAGAATTCTCAGTAACTTCCTTATGTTGTGTGTATTCAACTGACAGAGTTGAACTTTCGTTTAGAGAGAGCAGATTTGAAACACTCTTTTTGTGGAATTTGCAAGTGGAGATTTCAAGCGCTTTGGGGCCAAAGGCAGAAAAGGAAATATCTTCGTATAAAAACTAGACAGAATCATTATCAGAAACTGCTGCGTGATGTGTGTGTTCAACTCTCAGAGTTTAACTTTTCTTTTCATTCAGCGGTTTAGAAACACTCTGTTTGTAAAGTCTGCACGTGGATATTTTGTCCACTTAGAGGCCTTCGTTGGAAACGGGTTTTTTGCATGTAAGGCTAGACAGAAGAATTCCCCAGTAACTTCCTTGTGTTGTGTACATTCAACTCACAGAGTTGAACGTTCCCTTACACAGAGCAGATTTGAAACACTCTTTTTGTGCAATTGGCAAGTGGAGATTTCAAGCGCTTTAAGGTCAATGGCAGAAAAGGAAATATCTTCGTTTCAAAACTAGACAGAATCATTCCCAGAAACTGCGTTGTGATGTGTTCGGTAAACTCACAGAGTTTAACCATTCTTTTCATAGAGCAGTTAGGAAACAGTCTGTTTGTAAATTCTGTAAGTGGATATTCTGACATCTTGTGGCCTTCGTTGGAAACGGGATTTCTTCATATTCTGCTAGACAGAAGAATTCTCAGTAACTTCCTTGTGTTGTGTGTATTCAACTCACAGAGTTGAACCATCTTTCACACAGAGCAGATCTGAAACACTCTTTTTGTGGAATTTGCAAGTGGAGATTTCAGCCACCTTGAGGTCAATGGTAGAAAAGGAAATATCTTCGTATAAAAACTAGACAGAATGATTCTCAGAAACTCCTTTGTGATGTGTGCGTTCAACTCACAGAGTTCAACCTTTCTTTTCATAGAGCAGTTAGGAAACACTCTGTTTGTAAAGTCTGCAAGTGGATATTCAGACCTCCTTGAGGCCTTCGTTGGAAACGGGATTTCTTCATATTATGCAAGACAGAAGAATTCTCAGTAACTTCCTTGTGTTGTGTGTATTCAACTCACAGAGTTGAAAGATCCTTTACAGAGAGCAGACTTCAAACACTCTTTTTGTGGAATTTGCAAGTGGAGATTTCAGGCGCTTTGAGGTCAATGGTAGAAAAGGAAACTATCTTCGTATAAAGACTAGACAGAATGATTCTCAGAAACTCCTTTGTGATGTGTGCGTTCAACTCACAGAGTTTAACTTTTCTTTTCATAGAGCAGTTAGGAAACACTCTGTTTGTAAAGTCTGCAAGTGGATATTCAGACATCTTTGAGGCTTTCGTTGGAAACGGGATTTCTTCATATTCTGCTAGGCAGAAGAATTCTCAGTAACTTCCTTGTGTTGTGTGTATTCAACTCACAGAGTTGAACGATTCTTTACACAGAGCAGACTTGAAACACTCTTTTTGTGGAATTTGCAAGTGGAGATTTCAGCCGCTTTCATGTCACTGGTAGAAAAGGAAATATCTTCGTATAAAGACTAGACAGAATGATTCTCAGAAACTCCTTTGTGATGTGTGCGTTCAACTCACAGAGTTCAACCTTTCTTTTCATAGAGCAGTTGGGAAACACTCTGTTTGTAAAGTCTGCAAGTGGATATTCAGACTTCTTTGAGGCCTTCTTTGGAAGCGGGATTTCTTCATGTTCTGCTAGACAGAAGAATTCTCAGTAACTTCCTTGTGTTGTGTGTATTCAACTCACAGAGTTGAATGATCCTTTACACAGAACAGACTTGAAACACTCTTGTTGTGGAATTTGCAAGTGGAGATTTCAGCCGCTTTGTGGTCAACGGTAGAATAGGTAATATCTTCCTATAGAAACTAGACAGAATCATTCTCAGAAACTGCTCTGCGATGTGTGCGTTCAACTCTCACAGTTTAACTTTTCTTTTCATTCAGCAGTTTGGAAACACTCTGTTTGTAAAGTCTGCACGTGGATAATTTGACCACTTAGAGGCCTTCGTTGGAAACGGGTTATTTTCATGTAAGGCTAGACAGAAGAATTCCCAGTAACTTCCTTGTGTTGTGTGCATTCAACTCACAGAGTTGAACGTTCCCTTAGACAGAGCAGATTTGAAACACTCTATTTGTGCAATTTGCAATTGTAGATTTCAAGCGCTTTAAGGTCAATGGCAGAAAAGGAAATATCTTCGTTTCAAAACTAGACAGAATCATTCCCACAAACTGCGTTGTGATGTGTTCGTTCAACTCACAGAGTTTAACCTTTCTGTTCATAGAGCAGTTAGGAAACACTCTATTTCTAAAGTCTGTAAGTGGATATTCTGACATCTTGTGGCCTTCGTTGGAAACTGGGATTTCTTCATATTCTGCTAGACAGAAGAATTCCCAGTAACTTCCTTGTGTTGTGTGCATTCAACTCACAGAGTTGAACGATCCTTTACACAGAGCAGACTTGAAACACTCTTTTTGTGGAATTTGCAAGTGGACATTTCAGCCGCTTTGAGGTCAATAGTAGAAAAGGAAATATCTTCGAAGAAAAACTAGACAGAATGATTCTCAGAAACTCCTTTGTGATGTGTGCGTTCAACTCACACTGTTTAACCTTTCTTTTCATAGAGCAGTTAGGAAACACTCTGTTTGTAAAGTCTGCAAGTGGATATTCAGACCTCCTTGAGGCATTCGTTGGAAACGGGATTTCTTCATATTATGCTAGACAGAAGAATTCCCAGTAACTTCCTTGTGTTGTGTGTGTTCAACTCACAGAGTTGAACTTTCATTTACACAGAGCACATTTGAAACACTCTTTTTGTGGAATTTGCAAATGGAGATTTCAAGCGCTTTGAGGCCAAAGGCAGAAAAGGAAATATCTTCGTTTCAAAACTAGACAGAATCATTCTCAGAAACTGCTGCGTGATGTGTGCGTTCAACTCTCAGAGTTTAACTTTTCTTTTCATTCAGCCGTTTGGAAACACTCTGTTTATAAAGTCTGCACGTGGAAATTTTGACCACTTAGAGGCCTTCGTTGGAAACGGGTTTTTTTCATGTAAGGCTAGACAGAAGAATTCCCAGTAAATTCCTTGTGTTGTGTACATTCAACTCACAGAGTTGAACGTTCCCTTAGACAGAGCAGATTTGAAACACTCTTTTTGTGCAATTGGCAAGTGGAGATTTCAAGCGCTTTAAGGTCAATGGCAGAAAAGGAAATATCTTCGTTTCAAAACTAGACAGAATCATTCCCACAAACTGCGTTGTGATGTGTTCGTTCATCTCACAGAGTTTAACCTTTCTTTTCATAGTGCAGTTAGGAAACACTCTGTTTGTAAATTCTGTAAGTGGATATTCTGACATCTTGTGGCCTTCGTTGGAAACGGGATTTCTTCATATTCTGCTAGACAGAAGAATTCTCAGAATCTTCCTTGTGTTGTGTGTCTTCAACTCACAGAGTTGAACGATGGTTTACACAGAGCAGATTTGAAACACTCTTTTTGTGGAATTTGCAAGTGGAGATTTCAGCCGCTTTGAGGTCAATGGTAGAAAAGGAAATGTCTTCGTATAAAAACTAGACAGAATGATTCTCAGAAACTCCTTTGTGATGTGTGCGTTCAACTCACAGAGTTTAACCTTTCTTTTCATAGAGCAGTTAGGAAACACTCTGTTTGTAAAGTCTGCAAGTGGATATTCAGACCTCTTTGAGGCCTTCGTTGGAAACGGGTTTTTACATATAAGGCTTGACAGAACAATTCCCAGTAACTTCCTTGTGTTGTGTGTGTTCAACTCACAGAGTTAAACTTTCATTTACACAGAGCAGATTTGAAACACTCTTTTTGTGGAATTTGCAAGTGGAGATTTCAAGCGCTTTGAGGCCAAAGGCAGAAAAGGAAATATCTTCGTATAAAAACTAGACAAAATGATTCTCAGAAACTCCTTTGTGATGTGTGCGTTCAACTCGCATAGTTTAACCTTTCTTTTCATAGAGCAGTTAGGAAACACTCGGTTTGTAATGTCTGCACGTGGATATTTGGACTTCTTTGAGGCCTTCTTTGGAAACGGGTTTTTTCCATGTAAGGCTAGACAGAAGAATTCCCAGTAACTTCATTGTGTTGTGTGCATTCAACTCACAGAGTTGAACGTTCCCTTAGAGCAGATTTGAAACACTCTATTTGTGCAATTTGCAAGTGTAGATTTCAAGCGCTTTAAGGTCAATGGCAGAAAAGGAAATATCTTCGTTTCAAAACTAGACAGAATCATTCCCACAAACTGCGTTGTGATGCGTTCGTTCAACTCACAGAGTTTAACCTTTCTGTTCATAGAGCAGTTAGGAAACACTCTGTTTGTAAATTCTGCAAGTGGATATTCAGACCTCCTTGAGGCCTTCGTTGGAAACGGGATTTCTTCATATTCTGCTAGACAGAAGAATTCTCAGTAACTTCCCTTGTGTTGTGTGTATTCAACTCACAGAGTTGAACGATCCTTTACACAGAGCAGACTTGAAACACTCTTTTTGTGGAATTTGCAGGTGGAGATTTCAGCCGCTTTGTGTTCAATGGTAGAATAGGAAATATCTTCCTATAGAAACTAGACAGAATGATTCTCAGAAACTCCTTTGAGATGTGTGTGTTCAACTCACAGAGTTTAACCTTGCTTTTCATAGAGCAGTTAGGAATCACTCTGTTTGTAAAGTCTGCAAGTGGATATTCAGACCTCTTTGAGGCCTTCGCTGGAAACGGGTTTTTTTCATATAAGGCTAGACAGAAGAATTCTCAGAATCTTCCTTGTGTTGTGTGTATTCAACTCACAGAGTTGAACGATCCTTTACACAGAGCAGATTTGAAACACTCTTTTTGTGGAATTTGCAAATGGAGATTTCAAGCGCTTTGAGGCCAAAGGCAGAAAAGGAAATATCTTCGTATAAAAACTAGACAGAATCATTCTCAGAAACTGCTCTGCGATGTGTGCATGCAACTCTAAGAGTTTAACTTTTCTTTTCATTCAGCAGTTTGGAAACACTCTGTTTGTAAAGTCTGCACGTGGATAATTTGACCACTTAGAGGCCTTCGTTGGAAACGGGTTTTTTTCATGTAAGGCTAGACAGAAGAATTCCCAGTAACTTCCTTGTGTTGTGTACATTCAACTCACAGAGTTGAACGTTCCCTTAGACAGAGCAGACTTGTAACACTCTTTTTGTGGAATTTGCAAGTGGAGATTTCAGCCGCTTTGAAATCAAAGGTAGAAAAGGAAATATCTTCCTATAAAAACTAGACAGAATGATTCTCAGAAACTCCTTTTTGATGTGTGCGTTCAACTCACAGAGTTTAACCTTTCTTTTCATAGAGCAGTTAGGAAACACTCTGTTTGTAAAGTCTGCAAGTGGATATTCAGACCTCTTTGAGGCCTTCGTTGGAAACGGGATTTCTTCATATTCTGCTAGACAGAAGAATTCTCAGTAACTTCCTTGTGTTGTGTGTATTCAACTCACAGAGTTGAAAGATCCTTTACACAGAGCATTCTTGAAACACTCTTTTTGTGGAATTTGCAAGTGGAGATTTCAGACGCTTTGAGGTCAATAGTAGAAAAGGAAATATCTTCGTAGAAAAACTAGACAGAATGATTCTCAGAAACTCCTTTGTGATGTGTGCGTTCAACTCACAGAGTTTAAACCTTTCTTTTCATAGAGCAGTTAGGAAACACTCTGTTTGTAAAGTCTGCAAGTGGATATTCAGACCTCCTTGAGACCTTCGTTGGAAACGGGTTTTTTTCATATAAGGCTAGACAGAAGAATTCTCAGTAACTTCCTTGTGTTGTGTGTATTCAACTGACAGCAGTTGAACTTTCATTTAGAGAGAGGAGATTTGAAACACTGTTTTTGTGGAATTTGCAAGTGGAGATTTCAAACGCTTTGGGGCCAAAGGCAGAAAAGGAAATATATTCGTATAAAAACTAGACAGAATCATTCTCAGAAACTGCTGCGTGATGTGTGCGTTCGACTCTCAGAGTTTAACTTTTCTTTTCATTCAGCGGTTTGGAAACACTCTGTTTGTATAGTCTGCACGTGGATATTTTGACCACTTAGAGGCCTTCTTTGGAAACGGGTTTTTTTCATGTAAGGCTAGACAGAAGAATTCCCAGGAACTTCCTTATGTTGTGTACATTCAACTGAGAGAGTTGAACGTTCCCTTAGACAGAGCAGATTTGAAACACTCTTTTTGTGCAATTGGCAAGTGGTGATTTCAGCCGGTTTGAGGTCAATGGTAGAAAAGGAAATATCTTCGTATAAAAACTAGACAGAATCATTACCACAAACTGCGTTGTGATGTGTTCGTTCAACTCACAGAATTTAACCTTTCTGTTCATAGAGCAGTTAGGAAACACTCTGTTTGTAAAGTCTGTAAGTGGATATTCTGACATCTTGTGGCCTTCGTTGGAAACGGGATTTCTTCATATTCTGCTGGACAGAAGAATTCTCAGAATCTTCCTTGTGTTGTGTGTATTCAACTCACAGAGTTGAACGATGGTTTACACAGTAGCAGATTTGAAACACTCTTTTGGTGGAATTTGCAAGTGGAGATTTCAGCCGCTTTGAGGTCAATGGTAGAAAAGGAAATATCTTCGTATAAAAACTAGACAGAATGATTCTCAGAAACTGCTTTGTGATGTGTGCGTTCAACTCACAGAGTTTAACCTTTCTTTTCATAGAGCAGTTAGGAAACACTCTGTTTGTAAAGTCTGCAAGTGGATATTCAGACCTCTTTGAGGCCTTCGTTGGAAACGGGTTTTTTTCATGTAAGGCTAGACAGAAGAATTCTCAGTAACTTCCTTGTGTTGTGTGTATTCAACTGACAGAGTTGAACTTTCATTTAGAGAGAGCAGATTTGAAACACTGTTTTTGTGGAATTTGCAATTGGAGATTTCAAGCGCTTTGGGGCCAAAGGCAGAAAAGGAAATATCTTCGTATAAAAACTACACAGAATCATTCTCAGAAACTGCTCTGCGATGTGTGCGTTCAACTCTCAGAGTTTAACTTTTCTTTTCATTCAGCAGTTTGGAAACACTCTGTTTGTAAAGTCTGCACGTGGATATTTTGACCATTTAGAGGCCTTCGTTGGAAACGGGTTTTTTTCCTGTAAGGCTAGAGAGAAGAATTCCCAGTAACTTCCTTGTGTTGTGTGCATTCAACTCACAGAGTTGAACGTTCCCTTAGACAGAGCAGATTTGAAACACTCTATTTGTGCAATTTGCAAGTGTAGATTTCAAGCGCTTTAAGGTCAATGGCAGAAAAGGAAATATCTTCGTTTCAAAATTAGACAGAATCATTCCCACAAACTGCGTTGTGATGTGTTCGTTCAACTCACAGACTTTAACCTTTCTGTTCATAGAGCAGTTAGGAAACACTCTGTTTGTAAAGTCTGCAAGTGGATATTCAGACCTCCTTGAGGCCTTCGTTGGAAACGGGATTTCTTCATATTCTGCTAGACAGAAAGAATTCTCAGTAACTTCCTTGTGTTGTGTGTATTCAACTCACAGAGTTGAACGATCCTTTACACAGAGCAGACTTGAAACACTCTTTTTGTGGAATTTGCAAGTGGAGATTTCAGCCGCTTTGAGGTCAAAGGTAGAAAAGGAAACTATCTTCATATAAAGACTAGACAGATGATTCTCAGAAACTCCTTTGTGATGTGTGCGTTCAACCCACAGAGTTCAACCTTTCTTTTCATAGAGCAGTTGGGAAACACTCTGTTTGTAAAGTCTGCAAGTGGATATTCAGACTTCTTTGAGGCCTTCGTTGGAAGCGGGATTTCTTCATATTCTGCTAGACAGAAGAATTCCCAGTAACTTCCTTGTGTTGTGTGTATTCAACTCACAGAGTTGAACTTTCATTTACACAGGAGCAGATTTGAAACACTCTTTTTGTGGAATTTGCAAATGGAGATTTCAAGCCCTTTCAGGCCAAAGGCAGAAAAGGAAATATCTTCGTATAAAAACTAGACAGAATCATTCTCAGAAACTGCTGCGTGATGTGTGCGATCAACTCTCAGAGTTTAACTTTTCTTTTCATTCAGCGGTTTGGAAACACTCTGTTTGTAAAGTCTGCACGTGGATATTTTGACCACTTAGAGGCCTTCGTTGGAAACGGGTTTTCTTCATGTAAGGCTAGACAGAAGAATTCCCAGTAACTTCCTTGTGTTGTGTACATTCAACTCACAGAGTTGAACGTTCCCTTAGACAGAGCAGATTTGAAACACTCTTTTTGTGCAATTGGCAAATGGAGATTTCAAGCGCTTTAAGGTCAATGGCAGAAAAGGAAATATTCTTCGTTTCAAAACTAGACAGAATCATTCCCACAAACTGCGTTGTGATGTGTTCGTTCAACTCACAGAAGTTTAACCTTTCTGTTCATAGAGCAGTTAGGAAACACTCTGTTTGTAAAGTCTGCAAGTGGATATTCAGACCTCCTTGAGGCCTTCGTTGGAAACGGGATTTCTTCATATTCTGCTAGACAGAAGAATTCTCAGAATCTTCCTTCTGTTGTGTGTATTCAACTCACAGAGTTGAACGTTCCTTTACACAGAGCAGACTTGAAACACTCTTTTTGTGGAATTTGCAAGTGGAGATTTCAGCCGCTTTGAGGTCCCATGGTAGAAAAGGAAATATCTTCGTATAAAAACTAGACAGATAGATTCTCAGAAACTCCTTTGTGATGTGTGCGTTCAACTCACAGAGTTTAACCTTTCTTTTCATAGAGCAGTTAGGAAACACTCTGTTTGTAAAGTCTGCAAGTGGATATTCAGACCTCTTTGAGGCCTTCGTTGGAAACGGGTTTTTTTCATATAAGGCTAGACAGAAGAATTCTCAGTAACTTCCTTGTGTTGTGTGTATTCAACTGACAGAGTTGAACTTTCATTTAGAGAGAGCAGATTTGAAACAGTGTTTTTGTGGAATTTGCAAGTGGAGATTTCAAGCGCTTTGGGGCCAAAGGCAGAAAAGGAAATATCTTCGTATAAAAACTAGACAGAATCATTCTCAGAAACTGCTGCGTGATGTGTGCGTTCAACTCACAGAGTTTAAGTTTTCTTTTCATTCAGCGGTTTGGAAACACTCTGTTTGTAAAGTCTGCACGTGGATATTTTGACCACTTAGAGGCCTTCGTTGGAAACGGGATTTTTTCATGTAAGGCTAGACAGAAGAATTCCCAGTAACTTCCTTGTGTTGTGTATATTCAACTCACAGAGTTGAACGTTCCCTTAGACAGAGCAGATTTGAAACACTCTTTTTGTGCAATTGGCAAGTGGAGATTTCAAGCGCTTTAAGGTCAATGGCCGAAAAGGAAATATCTTCGTTTCAAAACTAGACAGAATCATTCCCACAAACTGCGTTGTGATGTGTTCGTTCAACTCACAGAGTTTAACGTTTATTTTCATAGAGCCGTTAGGAAACACTCTGTTTGTAAACTCTGCAAGTGGATATTCAGACCTCTTTGAGGCCTTCGTTGGAAACGGGATTTCTTCATATTCTGCTAGACAGAAGAATTCTCAGTAACTTCCTTGTGTTGTGTGTATTCAACTCACAGAGTTGAACGATCCTTTACACAGAGCAGACTTGAAACACTCTTTTTGTGGAATTTGCAAGTGGAGATTTCAGCCGCTTTGAGGTCAATAGTAGAAAACGAAATATCTTCGTAGAAAAACTAGACAAAATGATTCTCAGAAACTTCTTTGTGATGTGTGCGTTCAACTCACAGAGTTTAACCTTTCTTTTCATAGAGCAGTTAGGAAACACTCTGTTTGTAAAGTCTGCAAGTGGATATTCAGACCTCTTTGAGGCCTTCTTTGGAAACGGGTTTTTTTCATATAAGGCTAGACAGAATAATTCTCAGAATCTTCCTTGTGTTGTGTGTATTCAACTGACAGAGTTGAACTTTCATTTAGAGAGAGCAGATTTGAAACACTGTTTTTGTGGAATTTGCAAGTGGAGATTTCAAGCGCTTTGGGGCCAAAGGCAGAAAAGGAAATATCTTCGTATAAAAACTAGACAGAATGATTCTCAGAAACTCCTTTGTGATGTGTCTGTTCAACTCACAGAGTTTAACTTTTCTTTTCATTCAGCGGTTTGGATACACTCTGTTTGTAAAGTCTGCACGTGGATATTTTGACCACTTAGAGGCCTTCGTTGGAAACGGGTTTTTTGAATGTAAGGCTAGACAGAAGAATTCCCAGTAACTTCCTTGTGTTGTCTACATTCAACTCACAGAGTTGAACGTTCCCTTAGACAGAACAGATTTGAAACACTCTTTTTGTGCAATTGGCAAGTGGTGATTTCAGCCGCTTTGAGGTCAATGGTAGAAAAGGAAATATCTTCGTATAAAAACTAGACAGAATCATTCCCACAAACTGCGTTGTGATGTGTTCGTTCAACTCACAGAGTTTAACCTTTCTTTTCATAGAGCAGTGAGGAAACAGTCTGTTTGTCAATTCTGTAAGTGGATATTCTGACATCTTGTGGCCTTAGTTGGAAACGGGATTTCTTCATATTCTGCTAGACAGAAGAATTCTTAGAAACTTCCTTGTGTTGTGTGTTTTCAACTCACAGAGTTGAACGATCCTTTACACAGAGCAGACTTGAAACACTCCTTTTGTGGAATTTGCAAGTGGAGATTTCAGCCGCTTTGAGGTCAATGGTAGAATAGGAAATATCTTCCTATAGAAAGTAGACAGAATGATTCTCAGAAACTCCTTTGTGATGTGTGCGTTCAACTCACAGAGTTTAACCTTTCTTTTCATAGAGCAGTTAGGAAACACTCTGTTTGTAAAGTCTGCAAGTGGATATTCAGACCTCCCTGAGGCCTTCGTTGGAAACGGGATTTCTTCATATTCTGCTACACAGAAGAATTCCCAGTAACTTCCTTGTGTTGTGTGTGTTCAACTCACAGAGTTGAACTTTCATTTACACAGAGCAGATTTGAAACACTCGTTTTGTGGAATTTGCAAGTGGAGATTTCAAGCGCTTTGAGGCCAAAGGCAGAAAAGGAAATATCTTCGTATAAAAACTAGACAGAATCATTCTCAGAAACTGCTCTGTGATGTGTGCGTTCAACTCTCAGAGTTTAACTTTTCTTTTCATTTAGCAGTTTGGAAACACTCTGTTTGTAAAGTCTGCACGTGGATAATTTGACCACTTAGAGGCCTTCGTTGGAAACGGGTTTTTTTCATGTAAGGCTAGACAGAAGAATTCCAAGTAACTTCCTTGTGTTGTGTACATTCAACTCACAGAGTTGAACGTTCCCTTAGACAGAGCAGATTTGAAACACTCTTTTTGTGCAATTGGCAAATGTAGATTTCAAGCGCTTTAAGGTCAATGGCAGAAAAGGAAATATCTTCGTTTCAAAACTAGACAGAATCATTCCCACAAACTGCGTTGTGATGTGTTCGTTCAGCTCACAGAGTTTAACCTTTCTTTTCATAGAGCAGTTAGGAAACAGTCTGTTTGTCAATTCTGTAAGTGGATATTCTGACATCTTGTGGCCTTCGTTGGAAACGGGATTTCTTCATATTCTGCTAGACAGAATAATTCTCAGTAAATTCCTTGTGCTGTGTGTATTCAACTCACAGAGTTGAACGATCCTTTACAGAGAGCAGACTTGAAACACTCTTTTTGTGGAATTTGCAAGTGGAGATTTCAGCCGCTTGGAGGTCAATGGTAGAATAGGAAATATCTTCCTATAGAAACTAGACAGAATGATTCTCAGAAACTCCTTTGTGATGTGTGCGTTCAACTCACAGAGTTTAACCTTTCTTCTCATAGAGCAGTTAGGAAACACTCTGTTTATAAAGGCTGCAAGTGGATATTCAGAACCCTTTGAGGCGTTCGTTGGAAACGGGATTTCTTCATATTATGCTAGACAGAAGAATTCCCAGTAACTTCCTTGTGTTGTGTGTGTTTAACTCACAGAGTTGAACTTTCATTTACACAGAGCAGATTTGAAACACTCTTTTTGTGGAATTTGCAGGTGGAGATTTCAAGCGCTTTGAGGCCAAAGGCAGAAAAGGAAATATCTTCGTATAAAAACTAGACAGAATCATTCTCAGAAACTGCTCTGCGATGTGTGGGTTCAACTCTCAGAGTTTAACTTTTCTTTTCATTCAGCAGTTTGGAAACACTCTGTTTGTAAAGTCTGCACGTGGATATTTTGACCACTTAGAGGCCTTCGTTGGAAACGGGTTTTTTTCCTGTAAGGCTAGACAGAAGAATTCCCAGTAACTTTCCTTGTGTTGTGTGCATTCAACTCACAGAGATGAACGTTCGCTTAGACAGAGCAGATTTGAAACACTCTATTTGTGCAATTTGCAAGTGTAGATTTCAAGCGCTTTAAGGTCAATGGCAGAAAAGGAAATATCTTCGTTTCAAAACTAGACAGAATCATTCCCACAAACTGCGTTGTGATGTGTTCGTTCAACTCACAGAGTTTAACCTTTCTGTTCATAGAGCAGTTAGGAAACACTCTGTTTGTAAAGTCTGTAAGTGGATATTCTGACATCTTGTGGCCTTCGTTGGAAACGTGATTTCTTCATATTCTGCTAGACAGAAGAATTCTCAGAATCTTCCTTGTGTTGTGTGTATTCAACTCACAGAGTTGAACGATCCTTTACACAGAGCAGACTTGAAACACTCTTTTTGTGGAATTTGCAAGTGGAGATTTCAGCCGCTTTGAGGTCCATGGTAGAAAACGAAATATCTTCGTATAAAAACTAGACAGAATGATTCTCAGAAACTCCTTTGTGATGTGTGCGTCCAAGTCACAGAGTTTAACCTTTCTTTTCATAGAGCAGTTAGGAAACACTCTGTTTGTAAAGTCTGCAAGTGGATATTCAGACCTCTTTGAGGCCTTCGTTGGAAACGGGATTTCTTCATATTCTGCTAGACAGAAGAATTCTCAGAATCTTCCTTGTGTTGTGTGTATTCAACTCACAGAGTTGAACGATGGTTTACACAGAGCAGATTTGAAACACTCTTTTTGTGGAATCTGCAAGTGGAGATTTCAGCCGCTTTGAGGTCAATGGTAGAAAAGGAAATATCTTCGTATAAAAACTAGACAGAATGATTCTCAGAAACTCCTTTGTGATGTGTGCGTTCAACTCACAGAGTTTAACCTTTCTTTTAATAGAGCATTTAGGAAACACTCTGTTTGTAAAGTCTGCAAGTGGATAATCAGACCTCTTTGAGGCCTTCGTTAGAAACGGGATTTCTTCATATTCTGCTAGACAGAAGAATTCCCAATAACTTCCTTGTGTTGTGTGTGTTCAACTCACAGAGTTGAACTTTCATTTACACAGAGCAGATTTGAAACACTCTTTTTGTGGAATTTGCAAATGGAGATTTCAAGCGCTTTGAGGCCAAAGGCAGAAAAGGAAATATCTTCGTATACAAAATACACAGAATCATTCTCAGAAACTGCTGCGTGATGTGTGCGTTCAACTCTCAGAGTTTAACTTTTCTTTTCATTCAGCGGTTTGGAAACACTCTGTTTGTAAAGTCTGCACGTGGATATTTTGACCACTTAGAGACCTTCGTTGGAAACGGGTTTTTTTCATGTAAGGCTAGACAGAAGAATTCCCAGTAACTTCCTTGTGTTGTGCGCATTCAACTCACAGAGTTGAACGTTCCCTTAGACAGAGCAGATTTGAAACAGCCTATTTGTGCAATTTGCAAGTGTACATTTCAAGCACTTTAAGGTCAACGGCAGAAAAGGAAATATCTTCCTTTCAAAACTAGACAGAATCATTCCCACAAACTGCGTTGTGATGTGTTCGTTCAACTCACAGAGTTTAACCTTTCTTTTCATAGAGCAGTTAGGAAACAGTCTGTTTGTAAATTCTGTAAGTGGATATTCTGACATCTTGTGGCCTTCGTTGGAAAAGGGATTTCTTCATATTCTGCTAGACAGAAGAATTCTCAGTAACTTCCTTGTGTTGTGTGTATTCAACTCACAGAGTTGAACGATCCTTTACACAGAGCAGACTTGAAACACTCTTTTTGTGGAATTTGCAAGTGGAGATTTCAGCCGCTGTGAGGTCAATAGTAGAAAAGGAAATATCTTCGTAGAAAAACTAGACAGAATGATTCTCAGAAACTCCTTTGTGATGTGTGTGTTCAACTCACAGAGTTTAACCTTTCTTTTCATAGAGCAGTTAGGAAACACTCTGTTTGTAATGTCTGCAAGTGGATATTCAGACCTCTTTGAGGACTTCGTTGGAAACGGGTTTTTTTCATATAAGGCTAGACAGAAGAATTCCCAATAACTTCCTTGTGTTGTGTGTGTTCAACTCACAGAGTTGAACTTTCATTTACACAGAGCAGATTTGAAACACTCTTTTTGTGGAATTTGCAAATGGAGATTTCAAGCGCTTTGAGGCCAAAGGCAGAAAAGGAAATATCTTCGTATAAAAACTACACAGAATCATTCTCAGAAACTGCTCTGCGATGTGTGCGTTCAACTCTCAGAGTTTAACTTTTCTTTTGATTCAGCAGTTTGGAAACACTCTGTTTGTAAAGTCTGCACGTGGATATTTTGACCACTTAGAGGCCTTCGTTGGAAACGGGTTTCTTTCCTGTAAGGCTAGACAGAAGAATTCCCAGTAACTTCCTTGTGTTGTGTAAATTCAACTCACAGAGTTGAACGTTCCCTTAGACAGAGCAGATTTGAAACACTCTTTTTGTGCAATTGGCAAGTGGAGATTTCAAGCGCTTTAAGGTCAATGGCAGAAAAGGAAATATCTTCGTTTCAAAACTAGACAGAATCATTACCACAAACTGCGTTGTGATGTGTTCGTTCATCTCACAGAGTTTAACCTTTCTTTTCATAGAGCAGTTAGGAAACAGTCTGTTTGTAAATTCTGTAAGTGGATATTCTGACATCTTGTGGCCTTCGTTGGAAACGGGATTTCTTCATATTCTGCTAGACAGAAGAATACTCAGTAACTTCCTTGTGTTGTGTGTATTCAACTCACAGAGTTGAACGATCCTTTACACAGAGCAGACTTGAAACACTCTTTTTGTGGAATTTGCAAGTGGAGATTTCAGCCGCTTTGAGGTCAATAGTAGAAAAGGAAATATCTTCCTAGAAAAACTAGACAGAATGATTCTCAGAAACTCCTTTGTGATGTGTGCGTTCAACTCACAGAGTTTAACATTTCTTTTCATAGAGCAGTTAGGAAACACTCTGTTTGTAAAGTCTGCAAGTGGATATTCAGACCTCTTTGAGGCCTTCTTTGGAAACGGGTTTTTTTCATATAAGGCTAGACAGAAGAATTCCCAGTAACTTCCTTTTGTTGTGTGTGTTCAACTCACAGAGTTGAACTTTCACTTACACAGAGCAGATTTGAAACACTCTTTTTGTGGAATTTGCAAGTGGAGATTTCAAGCGCTTTGAGGCCAAAGGCAGAAAAGGAAATATCTTCGTATAAAAACTAGACAGAATCATTCTCAGAAACCGCTCTGTGATGTGTGTGTTCAACTCTCAGAGTTTAACTTTTCTTTCCATTCAGCAGTTTGGAAACACTCTGTTTGTAAAGTCTGCACGTGGATATTTTGACCACTTAGAGGTCTTCGTTGGAAACGGGTTTTTTTCATGTAAGGCTAGACAGAAGAATTCCCAGTAACTTCCTTGTGTTGTGTGCATTCTACTCAGAGAGTTGAACGTTCCCTTAGACAGAGCAGATTTGAAACACTCTATTTGTGCAAATTGCAAGTGTAGATTTCAAGCGCTTTAAGGTCAATGGCAGAAAAGGGAATATCTTCGTTTCAAAACTAGACAGAATCATTCCCTCAAACTGCGTTGTGATGTGTTCGTTCAACTCACAGAGTTTAACCTTTCTGTTCATAGAGCAGTTAGGAAACTCTCTGTTTGTAAAGTCTGTAAGTGGATATTCTGACATCTTGTGGCCTTCGTTGGAAACGGGATTTCTTCATATTCTGCTAGACAGAAGAATTCTCAGTAACTTCCTTGTGTTGTGTGTATTCAACTCACAGAGTTGAACGATTCTTTACACAGAGCAGACTTGAAACACTCTTTTTGTGGAATTTGCAAGTGGAGATTTCAGCCGCTTTGAGGTCAATGGTAGAAAAGGAAATATCTTCGTATAAAGAGTAGACAGAATGATTCTCATAAACTCCTTTGTGATGTGTGCGTTCAACTCACAGAGTTTAACTTTTCTTTTCATAGAGCAGTTAGGAAACACTCTGTTTGTAAAGTCTGCAAGTGGATATTCAGACCTCTTTGAGGCCTTCGTTGGAAACGGGATTTCTTCATATTTTGCTAGACAGAAGAATTCTCAGTAACTTCCTTGTGTGGTGTGTATTCAACTGACAGAGTTGAACTTTCATTTAGAGAGAGCAGATTTGAAACACTGTTTTTGTGGAATTTGCAAGTGGAGATTTCAAGCGCTTTGGGGCCAAAGGCAGAAAAGGAAATATCTTCGTATAAAAAGTAGACAGAATCATTCTCAGAAAATCCTCTGTGATGTGTGCGTTCAACTCTCAGAGTTTAACTTTTCTTTTCATTCAGCAGTTTGGAAACACTCTGTTTGTAAAGTCTGCACGTGGATATTTTGACCACTTAGAGGCCTTCGTTGGAAACGGGTTTTTTCATGTAAGGGTAGACAGAAGAAATCCCAGTAACTTCCTTGTGTTGTGTGCATTCAACTCACAGAGTTGAACGTTCCCTTAGACAGAGCAGATTTGAAACACTCTATTTGTGCAATTTGCAAGTGTAGATTTCAAGTGCTTTAAGGTCAACGGCAGAAAAGGAAATATCTTCGTTTCAAAACTAGACAGAATCATTCTCAGAAACTGCTCTGCGATGTGTGCGTTCAACTCTCAGAGTTTAACTTTTCTTTTCATTCAGCAGTGTGGAAAAACTCTGTTTGTTAAGTCTGCACGTGGATATTTTGACCACTTAGAGGCCTTCGTTGGAAACGGGTTTTTTTCCTGTAAGGCTAGACAGAAGAATTCTCAGTAACTTCCTTGTGCTGTGTGTATTCAACTCACAGAGTTGAACGATCCTTTACAGAGAGCAGACTTTAAACACTCTTTTTGTGGAATTTGCAAGTGGAGACTTCAGCCGCTTTGAGGTCAATGGTAGAAAAGGAAATATCTTCGTATAAAGACTAGACAGAAAGATTCTCAGAAACTCCTTTGTGATGTGTGCGTTCAACTCACAGAGTTTAACCTTTCTTTTCATAGAGCAGTTAGGAAACACTCTGTTTCTAAAGTCTGCAAGTGGATATTCAGACCTCTTTGAGGCCTTCGTTGGAAACGGGTTTTTTTCATATAAGGCTAGACAGAAGAATTCCCAGTAACTTCCATGTGTTGTGTGTGTTCAACTCAGAGAGTTGAACTTTCATTTACACTGAGCAGATTTGAAACACTCTTTTTGTAGAATTTGCAAATGGAGATTTCAAGCGCTTTGAGGCCAGAGGCAGAAAAGGAAATATCTTCGTATAAAAACTAGACAGAATCATTCTCAGAAACTGCTCTGCGATGTGTGCGTTCAACTCTCAGAGTTTAACTTTTCTTTTCATTCAGCAGTTTGGAAACACTCTGTTTGTAAAGTCTGCACGTGGATAATTTGACCACTTAGAGGTCTTCGTTGGAAACGGGTTTTTTTCATGTAAGGCTAGACAGAAGAATTCCCAGTAACTTCCTTGTGTTGTGTGCATTCAACTCACAGAGTTGAACGTTCCCTTAGACAGAGCAGATTTGAAACACTCTATTTGTGCAATTTGCAAGTGTAGTTTTCAAGCTCTTTAAGGTCAACGGCAGAAAAGGAAATATCTTGGTTTCAAAACTAGACAGAATCATTCCCACAAACTGCGTTGTGATGTTTTCGTTCAACTCACAGAGTTTAACCTTTCTGTTCATAGAGTAGTTAGGAAACACTCTGTTTGTAAAGTCTGTAAGTGGATATTCTGACATCTTGTGGCCTTCGTTGGAAACGGGATTTCTTCATATTCTGCTAGACAGAAGAATTCTCAGTAACTTCCTTGTGTTGTGTGTATTCAACTCACAGAGTTGAACGATCCTTTACACAGAGCGGACTTGAAACACTCTTTTTGTGGAATTTGCAAGTGGAGATTTTAGCCGATTTGAGGTCAATGGTAGAATAGGAAATATCTTCCTATAGAAACAAGACAGATAGATTCTCAGAAACTCCTTTGTGATGTGTGCGTTCAACTCACAGAGTTTAACCTTTCTTTTCATAGAGCAGTTAGGAAACACTCTGTTTGTAAAGTCTGCAAGTGGATATTCAGACCTCTTTGGGGCCTTCGTTGGAAACGGGTTTTTTTCATATAAGGCTAGACAGAAGAATTCTCAGTAACTTCCTTGTGTTGTGTGTATTCAACTGACAGAGTTGAACTTTCATTTAGAGAGAGCAGATGTGAAACACTGTTTTTGTGGAATTTGCAAGTGGAGATTTCAAGCGCTTTGGGGCCAAAGGCAGAAAAGGAAATATCTTCGTATAAAAACTAGACAGAATCATTCTCAGAAACTGCTGCGTGATGTGTGCGTTCAACTCTCAGAGTTTAACTTTTCTTTTCATTCAGCGGTTTGGAAACACTCTGTTTGTAAAGTCTGCACGTGGATATTTTGACCACTTAGAGGCCTTCGTTGGAATCGGGTTTTTTGCATGTAAGGCTAGACAGAAGAATTCTTAGTAACTTCCTTGTGTTGTGTGTATTCAACTCACAGAGTTGAACGATCCTTTACACAGAGCAGACTTGTAACACTCTTTTTGTGGAATTTGCAAGTGGAGATTTCAGCCGCTTTGAAGTCAAAGGTAGAAAAGGAAATATCTTCCTATAAAAACTAGACAGAATCATTCCCACAAACTGCGTTGTGATGTGTTCGTTCAACTCACAGAGTTTAACCTTTCTGTTCATAGAGCAGTTAGGAAACACTCTGTTTGTAAAGTCTGTAAGTGGATATTCAGACATCTTGTGGCCTTCGTTGGAAACGGGATTTGTTCATATTCTGCTAGACAGAATAATTCTCAGTAACTTCCTTGTGTTGTGTGTATTCAACTCACAGTAGTTGAAGGATCCTTTACAGACAGCAGGCTTGAAACACTCTTTTTGTCGAATTTGCAAGTGGAGATTTCAGCCGCTTTGTGGTCAATGGTAGAATACGAAACATCTTCTTATAGAAACTAGACAAAATGATTCTCAGAAACTCCTTTGTGATGTGTGCGATCAACTCACAGAGTTTAACCTTTCTTTTCATAGAGCAGTTAGGAAACACTCTGTTTGTAAAGTCTGCAAGTGGATATTCAGACCTCTTTGAGGCCTTCGTTGGAAACGGGTTGTTTTCATATAAGGCTAGACAGAAGAATTCCCAGTAACTTCCTTGTGTTGTGTGTGTTCAACTCACAGAGTTGAACTTTCATTTACACAGAGCAGATTGGAAACACTCTTTTTGTGGAATTTGCAAGTGGAGATTTCAAGCGCTTTGAGGCCAAAGGCTGAAAAGGAAATATCTTCGTATAAAAACTAGACAGAATCATTCTCAGAAACTACTCTGCGATGTTTGCGTTCAACTCTCAGAGTTTAACTTTTCTTTTCATTCAGCAGTTTGGAAACACTCTGTTTGTAAAGTCTGCACATGGATATTTTGACCACTTAGAGGCCTTCGTTGGAAACGGGTTTCTTTCCTGTAAGGCTAGACAGAAGAATTCCCAGTAACTTCCTTGTGTTGTGTGCATTCAACTCACAGAGTTGAACGTTCCCTTAGACAGAGCAGATTTGAAACACTCTATTTGTACAATTTGCAAGTGTAGATTTCAAGCGCTTTAAGGTCAACGGCAGAAAAGGAAATATCTTCGTTTCAAAACTAGACAGAATCATTCCCACAAACTGCATTGTGATGTGTTCGTTCAACTCACAGAGTTTAACCTTTCTGTTCATAGAGCAGTTAGGAAACACTCTGTTTGTAAAGTCTGCAAGTGCATATTCAGACCTCTTTGAGGCCTTCGTTGGAAACGTTATTTCTTCATATTATGCTAGACAGAAGAATTCTCAGTAACTTCCTTGTGTTGTGTGTATTCAACTCACAGAGTTGAACGATCCTTTAAACAGAGCAGACTTGAAACACTCTTTTTGTGGAATTTGCAAGTGGAGATTTCAGCCGCTTTGAGGTCAATGGTAGAAAAGGAAATATCTTCGTATAGAAACAAGACAGAATGATTCTCAGAAACTCCTTTGTGATGTGTGCGTTCAACTCACAGAGTTTAACCTTTCTTTGCATAGAGCACTTAGGAAACACTCTGTTTGTAAAGTCTGCAAGTGGATATTCAGACCTCTTTGAGGCCTTCGTTGGAAACGGGTTTTTTTCATATAAGGCTAGACAGAAGAATTCTCAGTAACTTCCTTGTGTTGTGTGTATTCAACTGACAGAGTTGAACTTTCATTTAGAGAGAGCAGATTTGAAATACTGTTTTTGTGGAATTTGCAAGTGGAGATTTCAAACGCTTTGGGGCCAAAGGCAGAAAAGGAAATATCTTCGTATGAAAACTAGACAGAATCATTCTCAGAAACTGCTGTGTGATGTGTGCGTTCAACTCTCAGAGTTTAACTTTTCTTTTCATTCAGCGGTTTGGAAACACTCTGTTTGTAAAGTCTGCACGTGGATATTTTGACCACTTAGAGCCCTTCGTTGGAAACGGGATTTTTTCATGTAAGGCTAGACAGAAGAATTCCCAGTAACTTCCTTGTGTTGTGTGCATTCAACTCACAGAGTTGAACGTTCTCTTAGACAGAGCAGATTTGAAACACTCTATTTGTGCAATTTGCAAGTGTAGATTTCAAGCGCTTTAAGGTCAATGGCAGAAAAGGAAATATCTTCGTTTCAAAACTAGACAGAATCATTCCCACAAACTGCGTTGTGATGTGTTCGTTCAACTCACAGAGTTTAACCTTTCTGTTCATAGAGCAGTTAGGAAACACGCTCTTTGTAAAGTCCGTAAGTGGATATTCTGACATCTTCTGGCCTTCGTTGGAAACGGGATTTCTTCATATTCCGCTAGACAGAAGAATTCTCAGTAACTTCCTTGTGTTGTGTGTATTCAACTCACAGATTTGAACGATCCTTTACACAGAGCAGACTTGAAACACTCTTTTTGTGGAATTTGCAAGTGGAGATTTCAGCCGCTTTGAGGTCAATGGTAGAAAAGGAAATATCTTCGTATAAAAACTAGACAGAATGATTCTCAGAAACTTCTTTGTGATGTGTGCGTTCAACTCACAGAGTTTAACCTTTCTATTCATAGAGCAGTTAGGAAACACTCTGTTTGTAAACTCTGCAAGTGGATATTCAGACCTCTTTGAGGCCTTCGTTGGAAACGGGATTTCTTCATACTGTGCTAGACAGAAGAATTCTCAGTAACTTCCTTGTGTTGTGTGTATTCCACTCACAGAGTTGAACTTTCATTTAGAGAGAGCAGATTTGCAACACTGTTTTTGTGGAATTTGCAAATGGAGATTTCAAGCGCTTTGGGGCCAAAGGCAGAAAAGGAAATATCTTCGTATAAAAACTAGACAGAATCATTCTCAGAAACTGCTCTGCGCTGTGTGCGTTCAACTCTCAGAGTTTAACTTTTCTTTTCATTCAGCAGTTTGGAAACACTCTGTTTGTAAAGTCTGCACGTGGATAACTTGACCACTTAGAGGCCTTCGTTGGAAACGGGTTTTTTTCCTGTAAGGCTAGACAGAAGAATTCCCAGTAACTTCCTTGTGTTGTGTGCATTCAACTCACAGAGTTGAACGTTCCCTTAGACAGAGCAGATTTGAAACACTCTATTTGTGCAATTTGCAAGTGTAGTTTTCAAGCTCTTTAAGGTCAACGGCAGAAAAGGAAATATCTTCGTTTCAAAACTAGACAGAATCATTCCCACAAACTGCGTTGTGATGTGTTCGTTCAACTCACAGAGTTTAACCTCTCTGTTCATAGAGCAGTTAGGAAACACTCTGTTTGTAAAGTCTGTAAGTGGATATTCTGACATCTTGTGGCCTTCGTTGGAAACGGGATTTCTTCATATTCTGCTAGACAGAAGAATTCTCAGAAACTTCCTGGTGTTGTGTGTTTTCAACTCACAGAGTTCAACGATCCTTTACACAGAGTAGACTTGAAACACTCTTTTTGTGGAATTGGCAAGTGGAGATTTCAGCCGCTTTGAGGTAAAGGGTAGAAAAGGAAATATCTTCGTACAAAAACTAGACAGAATGATTCTCAGAAACTCCTTTGTGATGTGTGCGTTCAACTCACGGAGTTTACCCTTTCTTTTCATAGAGCAGTTAGGAAACACTCTGTTTGTAAAGTCTGCAAGTGGATATTCAGACATCCTTGAGGCTTTCGTTGGAAACGGGATTTCTTCATATTCTGCTAGAAAGAAGAATTCCCAGTAACTTACCTTGTGTTGTGTGTGTTGAACTCACAGAGTTGAACTTTCATTTACACAGAGCAGATTTGAAACACTCTTTTTGTGGAATTTGCAAGTGGAGATTTCAAGCGCTTTCAGGCCAAAGGCAGAAAAGGAAATATCTTCGTATAAAAACTAGACAGAATCATTCTCAGCAAACTGCTCTGCGATGTGTGCATTCAACTCTCAGAGTTTAACTTTTCTTTTCATTCAGCAGTTTGGAAACACTCTGTTTGTAAAGTCTGCACGTGGATAACTTGACCACTTAGAGGCCTTCGTTGGAAACGGGTTTTTTTCATGTAAGGCTAGACAGAAGAATTCCCAGTAACTTCCTTGTGTTGTGTACATTCAACTCACAGAGTTGAACGTTCCCTTAGACAGAGCAGATTTGAAACACTCTTTTTGTGCAATTGGCAAGTGGAGATTTCAAGCGCTTTAAGGTCAATGGCAGAAAAGGAAATATTTTCGTTTCAAAACTAGACAGAATCATTCCCACAAACTGCGTTGTGATGTGTTGGTACAACTCACAGAGTTTAACCTTTCTGTTCATAGAGCAGTTAGGAAACACTCTGTTTGTAAAGTCTGTAAGTGGATATTCAGACATCCTGTGGCCTTCGTTGGAAACGGGATTTCTTCATATTCTGCTAGACAGAAGAATTCTCAGTAACTTCCTTGTGTTGTGTGTATTCAACTCACAGAGTTCAACGATCCTTTACACAGAGCAGTCTTGAAACACTCTTTTTGTGGAATTTGCAAGTGGAGATTTCTGACGCTTTGAGGTCAATGGTAGAATAGGAAATATCTTCCTATAGAAACTAGACAGAATGATTCTCAGAAACTCCTTTGAGATGTGTGTGTTCAACTCACAGAGTTTAACCTTTCTTTTCATAGAGCAGTTAAGAATCACTCTGTTTGTAAAGTCTGCAAGTGGATATTCAGACCTCTTTGAGGCCTTCGTTGGAAACGGGTTTTTTTCATATAAGGCTAGACAGAAGAATTCTCAGAAACTTCCTTGTGTTGTGTGTTTTCAACTCACAGAGTTGAACGATCCTTTACACAGAGCAGACTTGAAACTCTCTTTTTGTGGAATTTGCAATTGGAGATTTCAGCCGCTTTGAGGTCAATGGTAGAATAGGAAATACCTTCCTATAGAAACTAGACAGAATGATTCTCAGAAACTCCTTTGTGATGTGTGCGTTGAACTCACAGAGTTTAACCTTTCTTTTCATAGAGCAGTTAGGAAACACTCTGTTTGTAAAGTCTGCAAGTGGATATTCAGACATCTTTGAGGCTTTCGTTGGAAACGGGATTTCTTCATATTCTGCTAGACAGAAGAATTCCCAGTAACTTCCTTGTGTTGTGTGTGTTCAACTCACAGAGTTGAACTTTCATTTACACAGAGCAGATTTGAAACACTCTTTTTGTGGAATTTGCAAGTGGAGATTTCAAGCGCTTTGAGGCCAAAGGCAGAAAAGGAAATACCTTCGTATAAAAACTAGACAGAATCATTCTCAGAAACTGCTCTGCGATGTGTGCGTTCAACTCTCAGAGTTTAACTTTTCTTTTCATTCAGCAGTTTGGAAACACTCTGTTTGTAAAGTCTGCACGTGGATATTTTGACCACTTAGAGGCCTTCGTTGGAAACGGGTTTTTTTCCTGTAATGCTAGACAGAAGAATTCCCAGTAACTTCCTTGTGTTGTGTGAATTCAACTCACAGAGTTGAACGTTCCCTTAGACAGAGCAGATTTGAAACACTCTATTTGTGCAATTTGCAAGTGTAGATTTCAAGCGCTTTAAGGTCAACGCCAGAAAAGGAAATATCTTCATTTCAAAACTAGACAGAATCATTCCCACAAACTGCGTTGTGATGTGTTCGTTCAACTCACAGAGTTTAACCTTTCTGTTCATAGAGCAGTTAGGAAACACTCTGTTTGTAAAGTCTGTAAGTGGATATTCAGACATCTTGTGGCCTTCGTTGGAAACAGGATTTCTTCATATTCTGCTAGACAGAAGAATTCTCAGAATCTTCCTTGTGTTGTGTGTATTCAACTCACACGGTTGAACGATCCTTTACACAGAGCAGATTTGAAACACTCATTTGGTGGAATTTGCAAGTGGAGATTTCAGCCGCTTTGAGGTCAATGGTAGAAAAGGAAATATCTTCGTATAACAACTAGACAGAATGATTCTCAGAAACTCCTTTGTGATGTGTGCGTTCAACTCACAGAGTTTAACCTTTCTTTTCATAGAGCAGTTAGGAAACACTCTGTTTGTAAAGTCTGCAAGTGGATATTCAGACCTCCTTGAGGTCTTCGTTGGAAACGGGTTTTTTTCATATAAGGCTAGACAGAAGAATTCCCAGTAACTTCCTTGTGTTGTGTGTGTTCAACTCACAGAGTTGAACTTTCATTTACACAGAGCAGATTTGAAACACTCTTTTTGTGGAATATGTAAGTGGAGATTTCAAGCGCTTTGAGGCCAAAGGCAGAAAAGGAAATATCTTCGTTTCAAAACTAGACAGAATCATTCTCAGAAACTGCTGCGTGATGTGTGCGTTCAACTCTCAGAGTTTAACTTTTCTTTTCATTCAGCGGTTTGGAAACACTCTGTTTGTAACATCTGTACGTGGATATTTTGACCACTTAGAGGCCTTCGTTGGAAACGGGTTTTTTTCATGTAAGGCTAGACAGAAGAATTCCCAGTAACTTCCTTGTGTTGTGTGCATTCAACTCACAGAGTTGAACGTTCCCTTAGACAGAGCAGATTTGAAACACTCTATTTGAGCAATTTGCAAGTGTAGTTTTCAAGCTCTTTTAGGTCAACGGCAGAAAAGGAAATATCTTGGTTTCAAAACTAGACAGAATCATTCCCACAAACTGCGTTGTGATGTGTTCGTTCAACTCACAGCGTTTTACCTTTCTGTTCATAGAGCAGTTAGGAAACACTCTGTTTGTCAAGTCTGTAAGTGGATATTCTGACATCTTGTGGCCTTCGTTGGAAATGGGATTTCTTCATATTCTGCTAGACAGAAGAATTCTCAGTAACTTCCTTGTGTTGTGTGTATTCAACTCACAGAGTTGCACGATCCTTTACACAGAGCAGACTTGAAACAATCTTTTTGTGGAATTTGCAAGTGGAGATTTCAGCCGCTTTGAGTTCAATGGTAGAATAGGAAATATCTTCCTATAGAAACTAGACAGAATCATTCCCACAAACTGCGTTGTGATGTGTTCGTTCAACTCACAGAGTTTAACCTTTCTGTTCATAGAGCAGTTAGGAAACACCCTGTTTGTAAAGTCTGCAAGTGGATATTCAGACCTCTTTGAGGCCTTCGTTGGAAACGGGATTTCTTCATATTATGCTAGACAGAAGAATTCTCAGTAACTTCCTTGTGTTGTGTGTATTCAACTGACAGAGTTGAACTATCATTTAGAGAGAGCAGATTTGAAACACTGTTTTTGTGGAATTTGCAAGTGGAGATTTCAAGCGCTTTGGGGCCAAAGGCAGAAAAGGAAATATCTTCGTATAAAAACTAGACAGAATCATTCTCAGAAACTGCTCTGCGATGTGTGCGTTCAACTCTCAGAGTTTAACTTTTCTTTTCATTCAGCAGTTTGGAAACACTCTGTTTGTAAAGTCTGCACGTGGATATTTTGACCACTTAGAGGCCTTCGTTGGAAACGGGTTTTTTTCCTGTAAGGCTAAACAGAAGAATTCCCAGTAACTTCCTTGTGTTGTGTACATTCAACTCACAGAGTTGAACGTTCACTTAGACAGAGCAGATTTGAAACACTCTTTTTGTGCAATTGGCAAATGGAGATTTCAAGCGCTTTAAGGTCAATGGCAGAAAAGGAAATATCTTCGTTTCAAAACTAGACAGAATCATTCCCACAAACTGCGTTGTGATGTGTTCGTTCAACTCACAGAGTTTAACCTTTCTTTTCATAGAGCAGTTAGGAAACAGTCTGTTTGTCAATTCTGTAAGTGGATATTCTGACATCTTGTGACCTTCGTTGGAAACGGGATTTCTTCATATTCTGCTAGACAAAAGAATTCTCAGTAACTTCCTTGTGTTGTGTTTATTCAACTCACAGAGTTGAATGATCCTTTACACAGAGCAGACTTGAAACACTCTTTTTGTGGAATTTGCAAGTGGAGATTACAGCCGCTTTGAGGTCAATGGTAGAAAAGTAAATATCTTCGTATAAAGACTAGACAGAATGATTCTCAGAAACTCCTTTGTGATGTGTGGGTTCAACTCACAGAGTTTAACCTTTCTTTTTCATAGAGCAGTTAGGAAACACTCTGTTTGTAAAGTCTGCAAGTGGATATTCAGACCTCGTTGAGGCCTTCGTTGGAAACGGGATTTCTTCATATTCTGCTAGACAGAAGAATTCTCAGTAACTTCCTTGTGTTGTGTTTATTCAACTCACAGAGTTGAATGATCCTTTACACAGAGCAGACTTGAAACACTCTTTTTGTGGAATTTGCAAGTGGAGATTTCAGCCGCTTTGCGGTCAATGGTAGAAAAGTAAATATCTTCGTATAAAGACTAGACAGAATCATGCTCAGAAACTGCTCTGCGATGTGTGCGTTCAACTCTCAGAGTTTAACTTTTCTTTTCATTCAGCAGTTTGGAAACACTCTGTTTGTAAAGTCTGCACGTGGATAATTTGACCACTTAGAGGCCTTCGTTGGAAACGGGTTTTTTTCATGTAAGGCTAGACAGAAGAATTCCCAGTAACTTCCTTGTGTTGTGTGCATTCAACTCACAGAGTTGAACGTTCCCTTTGACAGAGCAGATTTGAAACACTGTATTTGTGCAATTTGCAAGTGTAGATTTCAAGCGCTTTAAGGTCAATGGCAGAAAAGGAAATTTCTTCGTTTCAAAACTAGACAGAATCATTCCCACAAACTGCGTTGTGATGTGCTCGTTCATCTCACAGAGTTTAACCTTTCTTTTCATAGAGCAGTTAGGAAACACTCTGTTTGTAAATTCTGTAAGTGGATATTCTGACATCTTGTGGCCTTCGCTGGAAACGGGATTTCTTCATATTCTGCTAGACAGAAGAATTCTCAGTAACTTCCCTTGTGTTGTGTGTATTCAACTCACAGAGTTGAACGATCCTTTACACAGAGCAGACTTGAAACACTCTTTTTGTGGAATTTGCAAGTGGAGATTTCAGCCGCTTTGAGGTCAATGGTAGAATAGGAAATATCTTCCTATAGAAAGTAGACAGAATGATTCTCAGAAACTCCTTTGTGATGTGTGCGTTCAACTCACAGAGTTTAACCTTTCTTTTCATAGAGCAGTTAGGAAACACTCTGTAAAGTCTGCAAGTGGATATTCAGACATCTTTGAGGCCTTCGTTGGAAACGGGATTTCTTCATATTATGCTAGACAGAAGAATTCTCAGTAACTTCCTTGTGTTGTGTGTATTCAACTGACAGAGTTGAACTTTCATTTAGAGAGAGCAGATTTGAAACACTGTTTTTGTGGAATTTGCAAGTGGAGATTTCAATCGCTTTGGGGCCAAAGGCAGAAAAGGAAATATCTTCGTATAAAAACTAGACAGAATCATTCTCAAAAACTGCTGCGTGATGTTTGCGTTCAACTCTCAGAGTTTAACTTTTCTTTTCATTCAGCGGTTTGGAAACACTCTGTTTGTAAAGTCTGCACGTGGATATTTTGACCACTTAGAGGCCTTCGTTGGAAACGGGTTTTTTTCATGTAAGGCTAGACAGAAGAATTCCCAGTAACTTCCTTGTGTTGTGTGCATTCAACTCACAGAGTTGAACGTTCCCTTAGACAGAGCAGATTTGAAACACTCTATTTGTGCAATTTGCAAGTGTAGATTTCAAGCGCTTTAAGGTCAACGGCCGAAAAGGAAATATCTTCGTTTCAAAACTAGACAGAATCATTCCCACAAACTGCGTTGTGATGTGTTCGTTCAACTCACAGAGTTTAACCTTTCTGTTCATAGAGCAGTTAGGAAACACTCTGTAAAGTCTGTAAGTGGATATTCTGACATCTTGTGGCCTTCGTTGGAAACGGGATTTCTTCATATTCTGCTAGACAGAAGAATTCCCAGTAACTTCCTTGTGTTGTGTGTGTTCAACTCACAGAGTTGAACTTTCATTTACACAGAGCAGATTTGAAACACCCTTTTTGTGGAATTTGCAAATGGAGATTTCAGCCGCGTTGAGGTCAATGGTAGAAAAGGAAATATCTTCGTTTCAAAACTAGACAGAATGATTCTCAGAAACTCCTTTGTGATGTGTGCCTTCAACTCACAGAGTTCAACCTTTCTTTTTATAGAGCAGTTGGGAAACACTCTGTTTGTAAAGTCTGCATGTGCATATTCAGAGTTCTTTGAGGCCTTCGTTGGAAGCGGGATTTCTTCATATTCTGCTAGACAGAAGAATTCTCAGTAACTTCCTTGTGTTGTGTGTATTCAACTCACAGAGTTGAACGATCCTTTACACAGAGCAGACTTGAAACACTCTTTTTGTGGAATTTGCAATTGGAGATTTCAGCCGCTTTGAGGTCAATGGTAGAATAGGAAATATCTTCCTATAGAAACTAGACAGAATCATTCTCAGAAACTGCTCTGCGATGTGTGCGTTCAAATCTCAGAGTTTAACTTTTCTTTTCATTCAACAGTTTGAAAACACTCTGTTTGTAAAGACTGCACGTGGATATTTTGACCACTTAGAGGCCTTCGTTGGAAACGGGTTTTTTTCCTGTAAGGCTAGACAGAAGAATTCCCAGGAACTTCCTTGTGTTGTGTACATTCAACTCACAGAGTTGAACGTTCCCTTAGACAGAGCAGATTTGAAACACTCTTTTTGTGCAATTGGCAAGTGGTGATTTCAGCCTCTTTGAGGTCAATGGTAGAAAAGGAAATATCTTCGTATAAAAACTAGACAGAATCATTCCCACAAACTGCGTTGTGATGTGTTCGTTCAACTCACAGAGTTTAACATTTCTGTTCATAGAGCAGTTAGGAAACACTCTGTTTGTAAAGTCTGTAAGTGGATATTCTGACATCTTGTGGCCTTCGTTGGAAACGGGATTTCTTCATATTCTGCTAGACAGAATAATTCTCAGTAACTTCCTTGTGTTGTGTGTACTCAACTCACAGAGTTGAACGATCCTTTACAGAGAGCAGACTTGAAACACTCTTTTTGTGGAATTTGCAAGTGGAGATTTCAGCCGCTTTGAGGTCAATGGTAGAAAAGGAAATATCTTTGTATAAAGACTAGACAGAATGATTCTCAGAAACTCCTTTGTGATGTGTGCGTTCAACTCACAGAGTTTAACCTTTCTTTTCATAGAGCAGTTAGGAAACACTCTGGTTGTAAAGTCTGCAAGTGGATATTCAGACCTCTTTGAGGCCTTCGTTGGAAACGGGATTTCTTCATATTCTGCTAGACAGAAGAATTCCCAGTAACTTCCTTGTGTTGTGTGTATTCAACTCACAGAGTTGAACGATCCTTTACACAGAGCAGTCTTGAAACACTCTTTTTGTGGAATTTGCAAGTGGAGATTTCTGCCGGTTTGAGGTCAATGGTAGAATAGGAAAAAACTTCCTATAGAAACTAGACAGAATGATTCTCAGAAACTGCTGCGTGATGTGTGCGTTCAACTCTCAGAGTTTAACTTTTCTTTTCATTCAGCGGTTTGGAAACACTCTGTTTGTAAAGTCTGCACGTGGATATTTTGACCACTTAGAGGCCTTCGTTGGAAACGGGTTTTTTTCATGTAAGGCTAGACAGAAGAATTCCCAGTAACTTCCTTGTGTTGTGTACATTCAACTCACAGAGTTGAACGTTCCCTTAGACACAGCAGATTTGAAACACTCTTTTTGTGCAATTGGCAAGTGGAGATTTCAAGCGCTTTAAGGTCAATGGCAGAAAAGGAAATATCTTCGTTTCAAAACTAGACAGAATCATTCCCACAAACTGCGTTGTGATGTGTTCGTTCAACTCACAGAGTTTAACCTTTCTTTTCATAGAGCAGTTAGGAGACACTCTGTTTGTAAAGTCTGCAAGTGGATATTCAGACCTCTTTGAGGCCTTCATTGGAAACGGGATTTCTTCATATTATGATACACAGAAGAATTCTCAGTAACTTCCTTGTGTTTTGTGTATTCAACTCACAGAGTTGAACGATCCTTTACACAGAGCAGACTTGAAACACTCTTTTTGCGGAATTTGCAAGTGGAGATTTCAGCCGCTTTGAGGTCAATGGTAGAATAGGAAATATCTTCCTATAGAAACTAGACAGAATGATTCTCAGAAACTCCTTTGTGATGTGTGCGTTCAACTCACAGAGTTCAACCTTTCTTTTCATAGAGCAGTTGGGAAACACTCTGTTTGTAAAGTCTGCAAGTGGATATTCAGACTTCTTTGAGGCCTTCGTTGGAAACGGGATTTCTTCATATTATGCTAGACAGAAGAATTCTCAGTAACTTCTTGTGTTGTGTGTATTCAACTGACAGAGTTGAACTTTCATTTAGACAGATCAGATTTGAAACACTGTTTTCGTGGAATTTGCAAGTGGAGGTTTCAAGCGCTTTGAGGCCAAAGGCAGAAAAGGAAATATCTTCCTATAAAAACCAGACAGAATCATTCTCAGAAACTGCTCTGCGATGTGTGCGTTCAACTCTCAGAGTTTAACTTTGCTTTTCATTCAGCAGTTTGGAAACACTCTGTTTGTAAAGTCTGCACGTGGATAATTAGACCACTTAGAGGCCTTCGTTGGAAACGGGTTTTTTTCATGTAAGGCTAGACAGAAGAATTCCCAGTAACTTCCTTGTGTTGTGTGCATTCAACTCACAGAGTTGAACGTTCCCTTAGACAGAGCAGATTTGAAACACTCTATTTCTGCAATTTGCAAGTGTAGATTTCAAGCGCTTTAAGGTCAATGGCAGAAAAGGAAATATCTTCGTTTCAAAACTAGACAGAATCATTCCCACAAACTGCGTTGTGATGTGTTCGTTCAACTCACAGAGTTTAACCTTTCTTTTCATAGAGCAGTTAGGAAACAGTCTGTTTGTAAATTCTGTAAGTGGATATTCTGACATCTTTTGGCCTTCGTTGGAAACGGGATTTCTTCATATTCTGCTAGACAGAAGAATTCTCAGAATCTTCCTTGTGTTGTGTGTATTCCACTCACAGAGTTGAACGATGGTTTACACAGAGCAGATTTGAAACACTCTTTGTGTGGAATTTGCAAGTGGAGATTTCAGCCGCTTTGAGGTCAATGGTAGAAAAGGAAATATCTTCGTATAAAAACTAGACAGAATGATTCTCAGAAACTCCTTTGTGATGTGTGTGTTCAACTCACAGAGTTTAACCTTTCTTTTCATAGAGCAGTTAGTAAACACTCTGTTTATAAAGTCTGCAAATGGATATTCAGACCCCTTTGAGGCCTTCGTTGGAAACGGGATTTCTTCATATTATGCTAGACAGAAGAATTCCCAGTAACTTCCTTGTGTTGTGTGTGTTCAACTCACAGAGTTGAACTTTGATTTACACAGAGCAGATTTGAAACACTCTTTTTGTGGAATTTGCAAGTGGAGATTTCAAGCGCTTTGTGGCCAAAGGCAGAAAAGGAAATATCTTCGTATAAAAACTAGACAGAATGATTCTCAGAAACTCCTTTGTGATGTGTGCGTTCAACTCACAGAGTTTAACCTTTCTTTTCATTCAGCGGTTTGGAAACACTCTGTTTGTAAAGTCTGCACGTGGATATTCAGACCTCTTTGAGGCCTTCGTTGGAAACGGGTTTTTTTCATGTAAGGCTAGACAGAAGAATTCCCAGTAACTTCCTTGTGTTGTGTGCATTCAACTCACAGAGTTGAACGTTCCCTTAGACAGAGCAGATTTGAAACACTCTATTTGTGCAATTTGCAAGTGTAGTTTTCAAGCTCTTTAAGGTCAACGGCAGAAAAGGAAATATCTTGGTTTCAAAACTAGACAGAATGATTCTCAGAAACTCCTCTGTGATGTGTGCGTTCAACTCACAGAGTTTAACCTTTCTTTTCATAGAGCAGTTAGGAAACACTCTGTTTGTAAAGTCTGCATGTGGATATTCAGACCTCCTTGAGGCCTTCTTTGGAAACGGGATTTCTTCATATTATGCTAGACAGAGGAATTCTCAGTAACTTCCTTGTGTTGTGTGTATTCAACTCACAGAGTTGAACGATGCTTTACACAGAGCAGACTTGAAACACTCTTTTTGTGGAATTTGCAAGTGGAGATTTCAGCCGCTTTGAGGTCAATGGTAGAATAGGAAGTATCTTCCTATAGAAACTAGACAGAATGATTCTCAGAAACTACTTTGTGATGTGTGCGTTCAACTCACAGAGTTTAACCTTTCTTTTCATAGAGCAGTTAGGAAACACTCTGTTTGTAAAGTCTGCAAGTGGATATTCAGACCTCCTTGAGGCCTTCTTTGGAAACGGGATTTCTTCATATTATGCTAGACAGAAGAATCCCCAGTAACTTCCCTTGTGTTGTGTGTGTTCAACTCACAGAGTTGAACTTTGATTTACACAGAGCAGATTTGAAACACTCTTTTTGTGGAATTTGCAAGTGGAGATTTCAAGCGCTTTGGGGCCAAAGGCAGAAAAGGAAATATCTTCGTATAAAAACTAGACAGAATCATTCTCAGAAACTGCTCTGCGATGTGTGCGTTCAATTCTCAGAGTTTAACTTTTCTTTTCATTCAGCAGTTTGGAAACACTCTGTTTGTAAAGTCTGCACGTGGATATTTTGACCACTTAGAGGCCTTCGTTGGAAACGGGTTTTTTTCTTGTAAGGCTAGACAGAAGAATTCCTAGTAACTTCCTTGTGTTGTGTACATTCAACTCACAGAGTTGAACGTTCCCTTAGACAGAGCAGATTTGAAACACTCTTTTTGTGCAATTGGCAAGTGGTGATTTCAGCCGCTTTGAGGTCAATGGTATAAAAGGAAATATCTTCGTATTAAAACTAGACAGAATCATTCCCACAAACTGCGTTGTGATGTGTTCGTTCAACTCACAGAGTTTAACCTTTCTGTTCATAGAGCAGTTAGGAAACACTTTGTTTGTAAAGTCTGTAAGTGGATATTCTGACATCTTGTGGCCTTCGTTGGAAACGGGATTTCTTCATATTCTGCTAGACAGAAGAATTCTCAGTAACTTCCTTGTGTTGTGTGTATTCAACTCACAGAGTTGAACGATCCTTTACACAGAGCAGACTTGAAACACACTTTTTGTGGAATTTGCAAGTGGAGATTTCAGCCGTTTTGAGGTCAATGGTAGAAAAGGAAATATCTTCGTATAAAGACTAGACAGAATGATTCTCAGAAACTCCTTTGTGATGTGTGTGTTCAACTCACAAAGTTTAAGCTTTCTTTTCATAGAGCAGTTAGTAAACACTCTGTTTATAAAGTCTGCAAGTGGATATTCAGACCCCTTTGAGGCCTTCGTTGGAAACCGGATTTCTTCATATTATGCTAGACAGAAGAATTCCCAGTAACTTCCTTGTGTTGTGTGTGTTCAACTCACAGAGTTGAACTTTCATTTACACAGAGCAGATTTGAAACACTCTTTTTGTGGAATTTGCAAGTGGAGATTTCAAGCGCTTTGAGGCTAAAGGCAGAAAAGGAAATATCTTCGTATAAAAACTAGACAGAATCATTCTCAGAAACTGCTCTGCGATGTGTGCGTTCAACTCTCAGAGTTTAACTTTTCTTTTCATTCAGCAGTTTGGAAACACTCTGTTTGTAAAGTCTGCACGTGGATATTTTGACCACTTAGAGGCCTTCGTTGGAAACGGGTTTTTTTCCTGTAAGTCTAGACAGAAGAATTCCCAGTAACTTCCTTGTGTTGTGTGCATTCAACTCACAGAGTTGAACGTTCCCTTAGACAGAGCAGATTTGAAACACTCTATTTGTGCAATTTGCAAGTGTAGTTTTCAAGCTCTTTATGGTCAACGGCAGAAAAGGAAATATCTTCGTTTCAAAACTAGACAGAATCATTCCCACAAACTGCGTTGTGATGTGTTCGTTCAACTCACAGAGTTTAACCTTTCTGTTCATAGAGCAGTTAGGAAACACTCTGTTTGTAAAGTCTGTAAGTGGATATTCTGACATCTTATGGCCTTCGTTGGAAACGGGATTTCTTCATATTCTGCTAGACAGAAGAATTCTCAGGAACTTCCTTGTGTTGTGTGTATTCAACTCACAGAGTTGAACGATCCTTTACACAGAGCAGACTTGAAACACTCTTTTTGTGGAATTTGCAAGTGGAGATTTCAGCCGCTTTGAGTTCAATGGTAGAATAGGAAATATCTTCCTATAGAAACTACACAGAATGATTCTCAGAAACTCCTTTGTGATGTGTGTGTTCAACTCACAGAGTTTAACCTTTCTTTTCATAGAGCAGTTAGGAAACACTCTGTTTGTAAAGTCTGCATGTGGATATTTTGACCTCTTTGAGGCCTTCGTTGGAAACGGGTTTTTTCATGTAAGGATAGACAGAAGAATTCCCAGTAACTTCCTTGGGTTGTGTGTGTTCAACTCACAGAGTTGAACTTTCATTTACACAGAGCAGATTTGAAAAACTCTTTTTGTGGAATTTGCAAATGGAGATTTCAAGCGCTTTGAGGCCAAAGGCAGAAAAGGAAATATCTTCGTATAAAAACTAGACAGAATCATTCTCAGAAACTGCTCTGTGATGTGTGCGTTGAACTCTCAGAGTTTAACTTTTCTTTTCATTCAGCAGTTTGGAAACACTCTGTTTGTAAAGTCTGCACGTGGATAATTTGACCACTTAGAGGCCTTCGTTGGAAACGGGTTTTTTTCATGTAAGGCTAGAGAGAAGAATTCCCAGTAACTTCCTTGTGTTGTGTACATTCAACTCACAGAGTTGAACGTTCCCTTAGACAGAGCAGATTTGAAATACTCTTTTTGTGCAATTGGCAAGTGGAGATTTCAAGCGCTTTAAGGTCAATGGCAGAAAAGGAAATATCTTCGTTTCAAAACTAGACAGAATCATTCCCACAAACTGCGTTGTGATGTGTTCGTTCAACTCACAGAGTTTAACCTTTCTGTTCATAGAGCAGTTAGGAAACACTCTGTTTGTAAAGTCTGTAAGTGGATATTCAGACCTCTTTGAGGCCTTCGTTGGAAACGGGATTTCTTCATATTCTGCTAGACAGAATAATTCTCAGTAACTTCCTTGTGTTGTGTGTATTCAACTCACAGAGTTGAAGGATCCTTTACAGAGAGCAGGCTTGAAACACTCTTTTTGTGGAATTTGCAAGTGGAGGTTTCAGCCGCTTTGAGGTCAATAGTAGAAAAGGAAATATCTTCCTAGAAAAACTAGACAGAATGATTCTCAGAATCTCCTTTGTGATGTGTGCGTTCAACTCACAGAGTTTAACCTTTCTTTTCATAGAGCAGTTAGGAAACACTCTGTTTGTAAAGTCTGCAAGTGGATATTCTGACCTCTTTGAGGCCTTCGTTGGAAACGGGTTTTTTCATATAAGACTAGACAGAAGAATTCTCAGTAACTTCCTTGTGTTGTGTGTATTCAACTCACAGAGTTGAACGATCCTTTACACAGAGCAGACTTGAAACACTCTTTTTGTGGAATTTGCAAGTGGAGATTTCAGCCGCTTTGAGGTCAATGGTAGAAAAGGAAATATCTTCGTATATAGACTAGACAGAATGATTCTCAGAAACTCCTTTGTGATGTGTGTGTTCAACTCACAGCAGTTTAACCTTTCTTTTCATAGAGCAGTTAGTAAACACTCTGTTTATAAAGTCTGCAAGTGGATATTCAGACCCCTTTGAGGCCTTCGTTGGAAACGGGAATTCTTCATATTATGCTAGACAGAAGAATTCCCAGTAACTTTCCTTGTGTTGTGTGTGTTCAACTCACAGAGTTGAACTTTCATTTACACAGAGAAGATTTGAAACACTCTTTTTGTGGAATTTGCAAGTGGAGATTTCAAGCGCTTTGAGGCCAAAGGCAGAAAAGGAAATATCTTCGTTTCAAAACTAGACAGAATCATTCTCAGAAGCTGCTGCGTGATGTGTGCGTTCAACTCTCAGAGTTTAACTTTTCTTTTCATTCAGCGGTTTGGAAACACTCTGTTTGTGAAGTCTGCACGTGGATATTTTGACCACTTAGAGGCCTTCGTTGGAAATGGGTTTTTTGCATGTAAGGCTAGATAGAAGAATTCTCAGTAACTTCCTTGTGTTGTGTGTATTCAACTCACAGAGTTGAACGATCCTTTACACAGAGCAGACTTGTAACACTCTTTTTGTGGAATTTGCAAGTGGAGATTTCAGCCGCTATGAAGTCAAATGTAGAAAAGGAAATATCTTCCTATAAAAACTAGACAGAATCATTCCCACAAACTGCGTTGTGATGTGTTCGTTCAACTCACAGAGTTTAACCTTTCTGTTCATAGAGCAGTTAGGAAACACTCTGTTTGTAAAGTCTGTAAGTGGATATTCTGACATCTTGTGGCCTTCGTTGGAAACGGGATTTCTTCATATTCTGCTGGACAGAAGAATTCTCAGTAACTTCCTTGTGTTGTGTGTATTCAACTCACAGAGTTGAACGATCCTTTACACAGAGCAGACTTGAAACGCTCTTTTTGTGGAATTTGCAAGTGGAGATTTCAGCCACGTTGAGGTCAATGGTAGAAAAGGAAATATCTTCGTATAAAAACTAGACAGAATGATTCTCAGAAACTCCTTTGTGATGTGTGCTTTCAACTCACAGAGCTTAACCTTTCTTTTCATAGAGCAGTTAGGAAACACTCTGTTTGTAAAGTCTGCAAGTGGATATTCAGACCTCTTTGAGGCCTTCGTTGGAAACGGGTTTTTTTCATATAAGGCTAGACAGAAGAATTCTCAGTAACTTCCTTGTGTTGTGTGTATTCAACTCACAGAGTTGAACGATCCTTTACACAGAGCAGACTTGAAACACTCTTTTTGTGGAATTTGCAAGTGGAGATTTCAGCCGCTTTGAGGTCAATGGTAGAATAGGAAATATCTTCCTATAGAAGCTAGACAGAATGATTCTCAGAAACTCCTTTGTGATGTGTGCGTTCAACTCACAGAGTTTATCCTTTCTTTTCATAGAGCAGTTAGGAAACACTCTGTTTGTAAAGTCTGCATATGGATATTCAGACATCTTTGAGGCCTTCGTTGGAAACGGGATTTCTTCATGTTCTGCTAGACAGAAGAATTCCCAGTAACTTCCTTGTGTTGTGTGTGTTCAACTGACAGAGTTGAACTTTCATTTAGACAGAGCAGATTTGAAACACTCTTTTTGTGGAATTTGCAATTGGAGATTTCAAGCGCTTTGAGGCCAAAGGCAGAAAAGGAAATATCTTCGTATAAAAACTAGACAGAATCATTCTCAGAAACTGCTGCGTGATGTGTGCGTTCAACTCTCAGACTTTAACTTTTCTTTTCATTCAGCGGTTTGGAAACACTGTGTTTGTAAAGTCTGCACGTGGATATTTTGACCACTTAGAGGCCTTCGTTGGAAACGGGTTTTTTTCATGTAAGGCTAGACAGAAGAATTCCCAGTAACTTCCTTGTGTTCGTGTACATTCAACTCACAGAGTTGAACGTTCCCTTAGACAGAGCAGATTTGAAACACTCTTTTTGTGCAATTGACAAATGGAGATTTCAAGCGCTTTAAGGTCAATGGCAGAAAAGGAAATATCTTCGTTTCAAAACTAGACAGAATCATTCTCAGAAACTGCTCTGCGATGTGTGCGTTCAACTCTCAGAGTTTAACTTTTCTTTTCATTCAGCAGTTTGGAAACACTCTGTTTGTAAAGTCTGCACGTGGATAACTTGACCACTTAGAGGCCTTCGTTGGAAACGGGTTTTGTTCATGTAAGGCTAGACAGAAGAATTCTCAAGTAACTTCCTTGTGTTGTGTGTATTCAACTCACAGAGTTGAACGATCCTTTACACAGAGCAGACTTGTAACACTCTTTTTGTGTAATTTGCAAGTGGAGATTTCAGCCGCTTTGAAGTCAAAGGTAGAAAAGGAAATATCTTCCTATAAAAACTAGACAGAATGATTCTCAGAAACTCCTTTGTGATGTGTGTGTTCAACTCACAGAGTTTAACCTTTCTTTTCATAGAGCAGTTAGAAAACACTCTGTTTCTAAAGTCTGCAAGTGGATATTCAGACCCCTTTGAGGCCTTCGTTGGAAACGGGATTTCTTCATATTATGCTAGACAGAAGAATTCCCAGTAACTTCCCTTGTGTTGTGTGTGTTCAACTCACAGAGTTGAACTTTCATTTACACAGAGCAGATTTGAAACACTCTTTTTGTGGAATTTGCAAATGGAGATTTCAAGCGCTTTGAGGCCAAAGGCAGAAAAGGAAATATCTTCGTATAAAAACTAGACAGAATCATTCTCAGAAACTGCTCTGCGATGTGTGCGTTCAACTCTCAGAGTTTAACTTTTCTTTTCATTCAGAAGTTTGGAAACACTCTGTTTGTAAAGTCTGCACGTGGATAACTTGACCAGTTAGAGGCCTTCGATGGAAACGGGTTTTTTTCATGTAAGGCTAGACAGAAGAATTCCCAGTAACTTCCTTGTGTTGTGTACATTCAACTCACAGAGTTGAACTTTCCCTTAGACAGAGCAGATTTGAAACACTCTTTTTGTGCAATTGGCAAGTGGAGATTTCAAGCGCTTTGAGGTCAATGGCAGAAAAGGAAATATCTTCGTTTCAAAACTACACAGAATGATTCTCAGAAACTCCTTTGTGATGTGTGCGTTCAACTCACAGAGTTTAACCTTTCTTTTCATAGAACAGTTAGGAAACACTCTGTTTGTAAAGTCTGCAAGTGGATATTCAGACCTCCTTGAGGCTTTCGTTGGAAACGGGATTTCTTCATATTCTGCTAGAAAGAAGAATTCTCAGTAACTTCCTTGTGTTGTGTGTATTCAACTCACAGAGTTGAACGATCCTTTACACAGAGCAGACTTGAAACCCTCTTTTTGTGGAATTTGCAAGTGGAGATTTCAGCCGCTTTGAGGTCAATGGTAGAATAGGAAATATCTTCCTATAGAAACTAGACAGAATGATTCTCATAAACTCCTTTGTGATGTGTGCGTTCAACTCACAGTAGTTTAACCTTTCTTTTCATAGAGCAGTTAGGAAACACTCTGTTTGTAAAGTCTGCAAGTCGATATTCAGACCTCTTTGAGGCCTTCGTTGGAAACGGGATTTCTTCATATTCTGCTAGACAGAAGAATTCTCAGAAACTTCCTGGTGTTGCGTGTTTTCAACTCACAGAGTTCAACGATCCGTTACACAGAGTAGACTTGAAAAACTCTTTTTGTTGAATTGGCCAGTGGAGATTTCAGCCGCTTTGAGGTCAATGGTAGAAAAGGAAATATCTTCGTATAAAAACTAGACAGAATGATTCTCAGAAACTCCTTTGTGATGTGTGCGTTCAACTCACAGAGTTTAACCTTTCTTTTCATAGAGCATTTAAGAAACACTCTGGTTGTAAAGTCTGCAAGTGGATATTCAGACCTCGTTGAGGCCTTTGTTGGAAACGGGATTTCTTCATATTATGCTAGACAGAAGAATTCCCAGTAACTTCCTTGTGTTGTGTGTGTTCAACTCACAGAGTTGAACTTTCATTTACACAGAGCAGATTTGAAACACTCTTTTTGTGGAATTTGCAAGTGGAGATTTCAAGCGCTTTGAGGCCAAAGGCAGAAAAGGAAATGTCTTCGTTTCAAAACTAGACAGAATGATTCTCAGAAACTCCTTTGTGATGTGGGCGTTCAACTCACAGAGTTTAACCTTTCTTTTCATAGAGCCGTTAGGAAACACTCTGTTTGTAAATTCTGCACGTGGATATTTGGACTTCTTTGAGGCCTTCGTTGGAAACGGGTTTTTTTCATGTAAGGCTAGACGGAAGAATTCCCAGTAACTTCCTTGTGTTGTGTACATTCAACTCACAGAGTTGAACGTTCCCTTAGACAGAGCAGATTTGAAACACTCTTTTTGTGCAATTGGCAAATGGAGATTTCAAGCGCTTTAAGTTCAATGGCAGAAAAGGAAATATCTTCGTTTCAGAACTAGACAGAATCATTCCCACAAACTGCGTTGTGATGTGTTCGTTCAACTCACAGAGTTTAACCTTTCTTTTCATAGAGCACTTAGGAAACAGTCTGTTTGTCAATTCTGTAAGTGGATATTCTGACATCTTGTGGCCTTCGTTGGAAACGGGATTTCTTCATATTCTGCTAGACAGAAGAATTCTCAGTAACTTCCTTGTGTTGTGTGTATTCATCTCACAGAGTTGAACGATCCTTTACACAGAGCAGACTTGAAACATTCTTTTTGTGGAATTTGCAAGTGGAGATTTCAGCCGCTTTGAGGTCAATGGTAGAATGGGAAATATCTTCCTATAGAAACTAGACAGAATGATTCTCAGAAACTCCTTTGTGATGTGTGCGTTCAACTCACACAGTTCAACCTTTCTTTTCATAGAGCAGTTGGGAAACACTCTGTTTGTAAAGTCTGCAAGTGGATATTCAGACTTCTTTGAGGCCTTCGTTGGAAGCGGGATTTCTTCATGTTCTGCTAGACAGAAGAATTCTCAGTAACTGCCTGTGTTGTGTGTATTCAACTCACAGAGTTGAACGATCCTTTACACAGAGCAGACTTGAAACACTCTTTTTGTGGAATTTGCAAGTGGAGATTTCAGCCGCTTTGAGGTCAATGGTAGAATAGGAAATATCTTCCTATAGAAACTAGACAGAATCATTCTCAGAAACTGCTGCGTGATGTGTGCGTTCAACTCTCAGAGTTTAACTTTTCTTTTCATTCATCGGTTTGGAATCACTCTGTTTGTAAAGTCTGCACGTGGATATTTTGACCACTTAGAGGCCTTCGTTGGAAACGGGTTTTTTCATGTAAGGCTAGACAGAAGAATTCTCAGTAACTTCCTTTTGTTGTGTGTATTCAACTCACAGAGTTGAACGATCCTTTACACAGAGCAGATTTGAAACACTCTTTTTGTGCCATTGGCAAGTGGAGATTTCAAGCGCTTAAAGGTCAATGGCAGAAAAGGAAATATCTTCGTTTCAAAACTAGACAGAATCATTCCCACAAACTGCGTTGTGATGTGTTCGTTCAACTCACAGAGTTTAACCTTTCTTTTCATAGAGCAGTTAGGAAACAGTCTGTTTGTCAATTCTGTAAGTGGATATTCTGACATCTTGTGGCCTTCGTTGGAAACGGGATTTCTTCATATTCTCCTAGACAGAAGAATTCTCAGTAACTTCCCTTGTGTTGTGTGTATTCAACTCACAGAGTTGAACGATCCTTTACACAGAGCAGACTTGAAACACTCTTTTTGTGGAATTTGCAAGTGGAGATTTCAGCCGCTTTGAGGTCAATGGTAGAGTAGGAAATATCTTCGTATAAAGACTAGACAGAATGATTCTCAGAAACTCCTTTGTGATGTGTGCGTTCAACTCACAGAGTTTAACCTTTCTTTTCATAGAGCAGTTAGGAAACACTCTGTTTGTAATGTCTGCCAGTGGATATTCAGACATCTTTGAGGCTTTCGTTGGAAACGGGTTTTCTTCATATTCTGCTATACAGAAGAATTCTCAGTAACTTCCTTGTGGTGTGTGTATTCAACTGACAGAGTTGAACTTTCATTTAGAGAGAGCAGATTTGAAACACTGTTTTTGTGGAATTTGCAAGTGGAGATTTCAAGCGCTTTGGGGCCAAAGGCAGAAAAGGAAATATCTTCGTATAAAAACTAGACAGAATCATTCTCAGAAACTGCTGGGTGATGTGTGCGTTCAACTCTCAGAGTTTAACTTTTCTTTTTATTCAGCGGTTTGGAAACACTCTGTTTGTAAAGTCTGCACATGGATATTTTGACCACTTAGAGGCCTTCGTTGGAAACGGGTTTTTTTCATGTAAGGCTAGACAGAAGAATTCCCAGTAACTTCCTTGTGTTGTGTACATTCAACTCACAGAGTTGAACGTTCCCTTAGACAGAGCAGATTTGAAACACTCTTTTTGTGCAATTGGCAAGTGGTGATTTCAGCCGCTTTGAGGTCAATGGTAGAAAAGGAAATATCTTCGTATAAAAACTAGACAGAATCATTCCCACAAACTGCGTTGTGATGTGTTCGTTCAACTCACAGAGTTTAACCTTTCTTTTCATAGAGCAGTTAGGAAACAATCTGTTTGTCAATTCTGTAAGTGGATATTCTGACATCTTGTGGCCTTCGTTGGAAACGGGATTTCTTCATATTCTGCTAGACAGAAGAATTCTCAGTAACTTCCTTCTGTTGTGTGTATTCAACTCACAGAGTTGAACGATCCTTTACACAGAGCAGACTTGAAACACTCTTTTTGTGGAATTTGCAAGTGGAGATTTCAGCCGCTTTGAGGTCAATGGTAGAAAAGGAAACTATCCTCTTATAAAGACTAGACAGAATGATTCTCAGAAAATCTTTTGTGATGTGTGCGTTCAACTCACAGAGTTTAACTTTTCTTCTCATAGAGCAGTTAGGAAACACTCTGTTTGTAAAGTGTGCAAGTGGATATTCAGACCTCTTTGAGGCCTTCGTTGGAAACGGGATTTCTTCATATTCTGCTAGACAGAAGAATTCTCAGTAACTTCCTTGTGTTGTGTGTATTCAACTGACAGAGTTGAACTTTCATTTAGAGAGAGCAGATTTGAAACACTGTTTTTGTGGAATTTGCAATTGGAGATTTCAAGTGCTTTGGGGCCAAAGGCAGAAAAGGAAATATCTTCGTATAAAAACTAGACAGAATCATTCTCAGAAACTGCTGCATGATGTGTTCGTTCAACTCTCAGAGTTTAACTTTTCTTTTCATTCAGCGGTTTGGAAACACTCTGTTTGTAAAGTCTGCACGTGGAAATTTTGACCACTTAGAGGCCTTCGTTGGAAACGGGATTTTTTCATGTAAGGCTAGACAGAAGAATTCCCAGTAACTTCCTTGTGTTGTGTGCATTCAACTCACAGAGTTGAACGTTCCCTTAGACAGAGCAGATTTGAAACACTCTATTTGTGCAATTTGCAAGTGTAGGTTTCAAGCGCTTTAAGGTCAATGGCAGAAAAGGAAATATCTTCGTTTCAAAACTAGACAGAATCATTCCCACAAACTGCGTTGTGATGTGTTCGTTCAACTCACAGAGTTTAACCTTTCTGTTCATAGAGCAGTTAGGAAACACTCTGTTTGTAAAGTCTGAAAGTGGATATTCTGACATCTTGTGGCCTTCGTTTGAAACGGGATTTCTTCATATTCTGCTAGACAGAAGAATTCTCAGTAACTTCCTTGTGTTGTGTGTATTCAACTCACAGAGTTGAACGATCCTTTACACAGAGCAGACTTGAAACACTCTTTTTGTGGAATTTGCAAGTGGAGATTTCAGCCTCTTTGAGGTCAATGGTAGAATAGGATATATCTTCCTATAGAAACTAGGCAGAATGATTCTCAGAAACTTCTTTGTGATGTGTGCGTTCAACTCACAGAGTTTAACCTTTCTTTTCATAGAGCAGTTAGGAAACACTCTGTTTGTAAACTCTGCAAGTGGATACTCAGACCTGTTTGAGGCCTTCGTTGGAAACGGGATTTCTTCATACTATGCTAGACAGAAGAATTCGCAGTAACTTCCTTGTGTTGTGTGTGTTCAACTCACAGAGTTGAACTTTCATTTACACAGAGCAGATTTGAAACACTCTTTTTGTGGAATTTGCAAGTGGAGATTTCAAGCGCTTTGAGGCCAAAGGCAGAAAAGGAAATATCTTCGTTTGAAAACTAGACAGAATCATTCTCAGAAACTGCTGCGTGATGTGTGCGTTCAACTCTCAGAGTTTAACTTTTCTTTTCATTCAGCGGTTTGGAAATACTCTGTTTGTAAAGTCTGCACGTGGATATTTTGACCACTTAGAGGCCTTCGTTGGAAACGGGTTTTTTTCATGTAAGGCTAGACAGAAGAATTCCCAGTAACTTCCTTGTGTTGTGTGCATTCAACTCACAGAGTTGAACGTTCCCTTAGACAGAGCAGATTTGAAACACTCTATTTGTGCAATTTGCAAGTGTAGATTTCAAGCGCTTTAAGGTCAATGACAGAAAAGGAAATATCTTCGTTTCAAAACTAGACAGAATGATTCTCAGAAACTCCTTTGTGATGTGTGCGTTCAACTCACAGAGTTTTACCTTTCTGTTCATAGAGCAGTTAGGAAACCCTCTGTTTGTAAAGTCTGCAAGTGGATATTCAGACCTCCTTGAGGCCTTCGTTGGAAACGGGATTTCTTCATATTCTGCTAGACAGAAGAATTCTCAGTAACTTCCTTGTGTTGTGTGTATTCAACTCACAGAGTTGAACGATCCTTTGCACAGAGCAGACTTGAAACACTCTTTTTGTGGAATTTGCAAGTGGAGATTTCAGCCGCTTTGAGGTCAATAGTAGAAAAGGAAATATCTTCGTAGAAAAACTAGACAGAATGATTCTCAGAAACTCCCTTGTGATGTGTGCGTTCAACTCACAGAGTTTAACCTTTCTTTTCATAGAGCAGTTAGGAAACACTCTGTTTGTAAAGTCTGCAAGTGGATATTCAGACTTCCTTGAGGCCTTCGTTGGAAACGGGATTTCTTCATATTATGCTAGACAGAAGAATTCCCAGTAACTTCCTTGTGTTGTGTGTGTTCAACTCACAGAGTTGAACTTTCATTTACACAGAACAGATTTGAAACACTCTTTTTGTGGAATTTGCAAATGGAGATTTCAAGCGCTTTGAGGCCAAAGGCAGAAAAGGAAATATCTTCGTATAAAAACTAGACAGAATCATTCTCAGAAACTGCTCTGCGATGTGTGCGTTCAACTCTCAGAGTTTAACTTTTCTTTTCATTCAGCAGTTTGGAAACACTCTGTTTGTAAAGTCTGCACGTGGATATTTTGACCACTTAGAGGCCTTCGTTGGAAACGGGTTTTTTCCTGTAAGGCTAGACAGAAGAATTCTCAGTAACTTCCTTGTGTTGTGTGTATTCAACTCACAGAGTTGAACGTTCCCTTAGACAGAGCAGATTTGAAACACTCTATTTGTGCAATTTGCAAGTGTAGATTTCAAGCGCTTTAAGGTCAATGGCAGAAAAGGAAATATCTTCGTTTCAAAACTAGACAGAATCATTCCCACAAACTGCGTTGTGATGTGTTCGTTCAACTCACAGAGTTTAACCTTTCTGTTCATAGAGCAGTTAGGAAATACTCTGTTTGTAAAGTCTGTAAGTGGATATTCTGACATCTTGTGGCCTTCGTTGGAAACGGGATTTCTTCATATTCTGCTAGACAGAAGAATTCTCAGTAACTTCCTTGTGTTGTGTGTATTCAACTCACAGAGTTGAACGATCCTTTACACAGAGCAGACTTGAAACACTCTTTTTGTGGAATTTGCAAGTGGAGATTTCAGCCGCTTTGAGTTCAATGGTAGAAAAGGAAATATCTTCCTATAGAAACTAGACAGAACGATTCTCAGAAACTCCTTTGTGATGTGTGCGTTCAACTCACAGAGTTTAACCTTTCTTTTCATAGAGCAGTTAGGAAACACTCTGTTTGTAAAGTCTGCAAGTGGATATTCAGACCTCTTTGAGGCTTTCGTTGGAAACGGGATTTCTTCCTATTCTGCTAGACAGAAGAATTCCCAGTAACTTCCTTGTGTTGTGTGTGTTCAACTCACAGAGTTGAACTTTCATTTACACAGAGCAGATTTGAAACACTCTTTTTGTGGAATTTGCAAGTGGAGATTTCAAGCGCTTTGAGGCCAAAGGCAGAAAAGGAAATATCGTCGTTTCAAAACTAGACAGAATGATTCTCAGAAACTCCTTTGTGATGTGTGCGTTCAAGTCACAGAGTTTAACCTTTCTTTTCATAGAGCAGTTAGGAAACACTCTGTTTGTAAAGTCTGCAAGTGGATATTCAGACCTCTTTGAGGCCTTCGTTGGAAACGGGTTTTTTTCATATAAGGGTAGACAGAAGAATTCCCAGTAACTTCCTTGTGTTGTGTACATTCAACTCACAGAGTTGAACGTTCCCTTAGACAGAGCAGATTTGAAACACTCTTTTTGTGCAATTGGCAAGTGGTGATTTCAGCCGATTTGAGGTCAATTGTAGAAAAGGAAATATCTTCGTAGAAAAACTAGACAGAATCATTCCCACAAACTGCGTTGTGATGTGTTCGTCCAACTCACAGAGTTTAACTTTTCTTTTCATAGAGCAGTTAGGAAACAGTCTGTTTGTAAAGTCTGTAAGTGGATATTCTGACCTCTTGTGGCCTTCGTTGGAAACGGGATTTCTTCATATTCTGCTAGACAGAAGAATTCTCAGAAACTTCCTTGTGTTGTGTGTTTTCAACTCACAGAGTTGAACGATGCTTTACACAGAGTAGACTTGAAACACTCTTGTTGTGGAATTTGCAAGTGGAGATTTCAGCCTCTTTGAGGTCAATGGTAGAATAGGAAATATCTTCCTATAGAAACTAGACAGAACGATTCTCAGAAACTCCTTTGTAATGTGTGCGTTCAACTCACAGAGTTTAACCTTTCTTTTCATAGAGCAGTTAGGAAACACTCTGTTTGTAAAGTCTGCAAGTGGATATTCAGACCTCTTTGAGGCCTTCGTTGGAAACGGGATTTCTTCATATTCTGCTAGACAGAAGAATTTCCAGTAACTTCCTTGTGTTGTGTGTGTTCAACTCACAGAGTTGAACTTTCATTTACACAGAGCAGATTTGAAACACTCTTTTTGTGGAATTTGCAAATGGAGATTTCAAGCGCTTTGAGGCCAAAGGCAGAAAAGGAAATATCTTCGTTTCAAAACTAGACAGAATCATTCTCAGAAACTGCTGCGTGATGTGTGCGTTCAACTCTCAGAGTTTAACTTTTCTTTTCATTCAGCGGTTTGGAAACACTCTGTTTGTAAAGTCTGCACGTGGATATTTTGACCACTTAGAGGCCTTCGTTGGAAATGGGATTTTTTCATGTAAGGCTAGACAGAAGAATTCCCAGTAACTTCCTTGTGTTGTGTGCATTCAACTCACAGAGTTGAACGTTCCCTTAGACAGAGCAGATTTGAAACACTCCATTTGTGCAATTTGCAAGGGTAGATTTCAAGCGCTTTAAGGTCAATGGCAGAAAAGGAAATATCTTCGTTTCAAAACTAGACAGAATCATTCCCACAAACTGCGTTGTGATGTGTTCGTTCAACTCACAGAGTTTAACCTTTCTGTTCATAGAGCAGTTAGGAAACACTCTGTTTGTAAAGTCTGTAAGTGGATATTCTGACATCTTGTGGCCTTCGTTGGAAATGGGATTTCTTCATATTCTCCTAGACAGAACAATTCTCAGTAACTTCCTTGTGTTGTGTGTATTCAACTCACAGAGTTGAACGATCCTTTACACAGAGCAGTCTTGAAACACTCTTTTTGTGGAATTTGCAAGTGGAGATTTCTGCCGCTTTGAGGTCAATGGTAGAATAGGAAATATCTTCCTATAGAAACTAGACAGAATGATTCTCAGAAACTCCTTTGAGATGTGTGTGTTCAACTCACAGAGTTTAACATTTCTTTTCATAGAGCAGTTAGGAATCACTCTGTTTGTAAAGTCTGCAAGTGGATATTCAGACCTCTTTGAGGCCTTCGTTGGAAACGGGTTTTTTTCATATAAGGCTAGACAGAAGAATTCCCAGTAACTTCCTTGTGTTGTGTGTGTTCAACTCACAGAGTTGAACTTTCATTTACACAGAGCAGATTTGAAACACTCTTTTTGTGGAATTTGCAAATGGAGATTTCAAGCGCTTTGAGGCCAAAGCAGAAAAGGAAATATCTTCGTATAAAAACTAGACAGAATCATTTTCAGAAACTGCTCTGCGATGTGTGCGTTCAACTCTCAGAGTTTAACTTTTCTTTTCATTCAGGAGTTTGGAAACACTCTGTTTGTAAAGTCTGCACGTGGATAACTTGACCACTTAGAGGCCTTCGTTGGAAACGGGTTTTTTTCATGTAAGGCTAGACAGAAGAATTCCCGGTAACTTCCTTGTGTTGTGTACATTCAACTCACAGAGTTGAACGTTCCCTTAGACAGAGCAGATTTGAAACACTCTTTTTGTGCAATTGGCAAGTGGAGATTTCAAGCGCTTTAAGGTCAATGGCAGAAAAGGAAATATCTTCGTTTCAAAACTCTTCAGAAAGATTCTCATAAACTCCTTTGTGATGTGTGCGTTCAACTCACAGAGTTTAACCTTTCTTTTCATAGAGCAGTTAGGAAACACTCTGTTTGTAAAGTCTGCAAGTGGATATTCAGACCTCTTTGAGGCCTTCGTTGGAAACGGGATTTCTTCATATTATGCTAGACAGAATAATTCTCAGTAACTTCCTTGTGTTGTGTGTATTCAACTCACATAGTTGAAGGATCCTTTACAGAGAGCAGGCTTGAAACACTCTTTTTGTCGAATTTGCAAGTGGAGATTTCAGCCGCTTTGAGGTCAATGGTAGAATAGGAAATATCGTCTTATAGAAACTAGACAGAATGATTCTCAGAAACTCCTTTGTGATGTGTGCGTTCAACTCACAGAGTTTAACCTTTCTTTTCATAGAGCAGTTAGGAAACACTCTGCTTGTAAAGTCTGCAAGTGGATATTCAGACCTCTTTGAGGCCTTCGTTGGAAACGGGTTTTTTTCATATAAGGCTAGACAGAAGAATTCCCAGTAACTTCCTTGTGTTGTGTGTGTTCAACTCACAGAGTTGAACTTTCATTTACACAGAGCAGATTTGAAACACTCTTTTTGTGGAACTTGCAAATGGAGGTTTCAAGCGCTTTGAGGCCAAAGGCAGAAAAGGAAATATCTTCGTATAAAAAATAGACAGAATCATTCTCAGAAACTGCTCTGCGATGTGTGCGTTCAACTCTCACAGTTTAACTTTTCTTTTCATTCAGCAGTTTGGAAACACTCTGTTTGTAAAGTCTGCAAGTGGATATTTTGACCACTTAGAGGCCTTCGTTGGAAACGGGTTTTTTTCCTGTAAGGCTAGACAGAAGAATTCCCAGTAACCTCCTTGTGTTGTGTACATTCAACTCACAGAGTTGAACGTTCCCTTAGACAGAGCAGATTTGAAACACTCTTTTTGTGCAATTGGCAAATGGAGATTTCAAGCGCTTTAAGGTCAATGGCAGGAAAGGAAATATCTTCGTTTCAAAACTAGACAGAATCATTCCCACAAACTGCGTTGTGATGTGTTCGTTCAACTCACAGAGTTTAACCTTTCTTTTCATAGAGCAGTTAGGAAACAGTCTGTTTGTCAATTCTGTAAGTGGATATTCTGACATCTTGTGGCCTTCGTTGGAAACGGGACTTCTTCATATTCTCCTAGACAGAATAATTCTCAGTAACTTCCTTGTGTTGTGTGTATTCAACTCACAGAGTTGAAGGATCCTTTACAGAGAGCAGACTTGAAACACTCTTTTTGTGGAATTTGCAAGTGGAGATTTCAGCCGTTTGAGGTCAATGGTAGAATAGGAAATATCTTCCAATAGAAACTAGACAGAATGATTCTCAGAAACTCCTTTGTGATGTGTGTGTTCAACTCACAGAGTTTAACCTTTCTTTTCATAGAGCAGTTAGGAAACACTCTGTTTGTAAAGTCTGCAAGTGGATATTCAGACCTCTTTGAGGCCTTCGGTTGGAAACGGGTTTTTTTCATATAAGGCTAGACAGAAGAATTCCCAGTAACTTCCTTGTGTTGTGTGTGTTCAACTCACAGAGTTGAACTTTCATTTACACAGAGCAGATTTGAAACACTCTTTTTGTGGAATTTGCAAGTGGAGATTTCAAGCCCTTAGAGGCCAAAGGCAGAAAAGGAAATATCTTCGTTTGAAAACTAGACAGAATCATTCTCAGAAACTGCTCTGTGATGTGTGCGTTCAACTCTCAGAGTTTAACTTTTCTTTTCATTCAGCAGTTTGGAAACACTCTGTTTGTAAAGTCTGCACGTGGATAATTTGACCACTTAGAGGCCTTCGTTGGAAACGGGTTTTTTTCATGTAAGGCTAGACAGAAGAATTCCCAGTAACTTCCTTGTGTTGTGTACATTCAACTCAGAGAGTTGAACGTTCCCTTAGACAGAGCAGATTTGAAACACTCTTTTTGTGCAATTGGCAAGTGGAGATTTCAAGCGCTTTGAGGTCAACGGCAGAAAAGGAAATATCTTCGTTTCAAAACTAGACAGCATCATTCCCACAAACTGCGTTGTGATGTGTTCGTTCAACTCACAGAGTTTAACCTTTGTTTTCATAGAGGAGTTAGGAAACAGTCTGTTTGTAAATTCTGTAAGTGGATATTCTGACATCTTGTGGCCTTCGTTGGAAACGGGATTTCTTCATATTCTGCTAGACAGAAGAATTCTCAGTAACTTCCTTGTGTTGTGTGTATTCAACTCACAGAGTTGAACGATCCTTTACACAGAGCAGACTGGTAACACTCTTTTTGTGGAATTTGCAAGTGGAGATTTCAGCCGCTTTGAAGTCGAAGGTAGAAAAGGAAATAACTTCCTATAAAAACTAGACAGAATGATTCTCAAAAAATCCTTTGTGATGTGTGCGTTCAACTCACAGAGTTTAACTTTTCTTTTCATAGAGCAGTTAGGAAACACTCTGTTTGTAAAGTCTGCAAGTGGATATTCAGACCTCTTTGAGGCCTTCGTTGGAAACGGGAATTTTTCATATTCTGCTAGACAGAAGAATTCTCAGTAACTTCCTTCTGTTGTGTGTATTCAACTCACAGAGTTGAACGATCCTTTACAGAGAGCAGACTTGAAACACTCTTTTTGTGGAATTTGCAAGTGGAGATTTCAGCCGCTTTGAGGTCAATGGTAGAATAGGAAATATCTTCCTATAGAAACTAGACAGAATGATTCTGAGAAACTCCTTTGTGATGTGTGCGTTCAACTCACAGAGTTTAACCTTTCTTTTCATAGAGCAGTTAGTAGACACTCTGTTTGTAAAGTCTGCAAGTGGATATTCAGATCTCTTTGAGGCCTTCGTTGGAAACGGGATTTCTTCATATTATGCTAGACAGAAGAATTCCCAGTAACTTCCTTGTGTTGTGTGTGTTCGACTCACAGAGTTGAACTTTCATTTACACAGAGCAGATTTGAAACACTCTTTTTGTGGAATTTGCAAGTGGAGATTTCAAGCGCTTTGAGGCCAAAGGCAGAAAAGGAAATATCTTCGTTTCAAAACTAGACAGAATCATTCTCAGAAACTGCTCTGCAATGTGTGCGTTCAACTCTCAGAGTTTAACTTTTCTTTTCATTCAGCAGTTTGGAAACACTCTGTTTGTAAAGTCTGCACGTGGATATTTTGACCACTTAGAGGCCTTCGTTGGAAACGGGTTTTTTTCCTGTAAGGCTAAACAGAAGAATTCCCAGTAACTTCCTTGTGTTGTGTACATTCAACTCACAGTGTTGAACGTTCCCTTAGACAGAGCAGATTTGAAACACTCTTTTTGTGCAATTGGCAAGTGGAGATTTCAAGCGCTTTAAGGTCAATGGCAGAAAAGGAAATATCTTCGTTTCAAAACTAGACAGAATCATTCCCACAAACTGCGTTGTGAAGTGCTCGTTCAACTCACAGATTTTAACCTTTCTGTTCATAGAGCAGTTAGGAAACACTCTGTTTGTAAAGTCTGTAAGTGGATATTCTGACATCTTGCGGCCTTCGTTGGAAACGGAATTTCTTCATATTCTGCTAGACAGAAGAATTCTCAGTAACTTCCTTGTGTTGTGTGTATTCAACTCACAGAGATGAACGATCCTTTACACAGAGCAGACTTGAAACACTCTTTTTGTGGAATTTGCAAGTGGAGATTTCAGCCGCTTTGAGTTCAATGGTAGAATAGGAAATATCTTCCTATAGAAACTAGACAGAATGATTCTCAGAAACTCCTTTGTGATGTGTGCGTTCAACTCACAGAGTTTAACCTTTCTTTTCATAGAGCAGTTAGGAAACACTCTGTTTATAAAGTCTGCAGGTGGATATTCAGACCTCTTTCAGGCCTTCGTTGGAAACGGGTTTTTTTCATGTAAGGCTAGACAGAAGAATTCCCAGTAACTTCCTTGTGTTGTGTGTGTCCAACTCACAGAGTTGAACTTTCATTTACACAGAGCAGACTTGAAACACTCTTTTTGTGGAATTTGCAAGTGGAGATTTCAAGCGCTTTGAGGCCAAAGGCAGAAAAGGAAATATCTTCGTTTCAAAACTAGACAGAATCATTCTCAGAAACTGCTCTGTGATGTGTGCGTTCACCTCTCAGAGTTTAAGTTTTCTTTTCATTCAGCAGTTTGGAAACACTCTGTTTGTAAAGTCTGCACGTGGATATTTTGACCACTTAGAGGCCTTCGTTGGAAACGGGTTTTTTTCATGTAAGACCAGACAGAAGAATTCCCAGTAACTTCCTTTTGTTGTGTGCATTCAACTCACAGAGATGAACATTCCCTTAGACAGAGCAGATTTGAAACACTCTATTTGTGTAATTTGCAAGTGTAGATTTCAAGCGCTTTAAGGTCAATGGCAGAAAAGGAAATATCTTCGTTTCAAAACTAGACAGAATCATTCCCACAAACTGCGTTGTGATGTGTTCGTTCAACTCACAGAGTTTAACCTTTCTGTTCATAGAGCAGTTAGGAAACACTCTGTTTGTAAAGTCTGTAAGTGGATATTCTGACATCTTGTGGCCTTCGTTGGAAACGGTATTTCTTCATATTCTGCTAGACAGAAGAATTCTCAGAATCTTCCTTGTGTTGTGTGTATTCAACTCACAGAGTTGAACGATCCTTTACACAGAGCAGACTTGAAACACTCTTTTTGTGGAATTTGCAAGTGGAGATTTCAGCAGCTTTGAGGTCCATGGTAGAAAAGGAAATATCTTCGTATAAAAACTAGACAGAATGATTCTCAGAAACTCCTTTGTGATGTGTGTGTTCAACTCACAGAGTTTAACCTTTCTTTTCATAGAGCAGTTAGTAAACACTCTGTTTATAAAGTCTGCAAGTGGATATTCAGACCCCTTTGAGGCCTTCGTTGGAAACGGAATTTCTTCATATTATGCTAGACAGAAGAATTCTCAGTAACTTCCTTGTGTTGTGTGTATTCAACTCACAGAGTTGAACGATCCTTTACACAGAGCAGACTTGAAACACTCTTTTTGTGGAATTTGCAATTGGAGATTTCAGCCGCTTTGAGTTCAATGGTAGAATAGGAAATATCTTCCTATAGAAACTAGACAGAATGATTCTCAGAAACTCCTTTGTGATGTGTGCGTTCAACTCACAGAGTTCAACCTTTCTTTTCATAGAGCCGTTGGGAAACACTCTGTTTGTAAAGTCTGCAAGTGGATATTCAGACCTCTTTGAGGCCTTCGTTGGAAGCGGGATTTCTTCATATTCTTCTAGACAGAAGAATTCCCAGTAACTTCCTTGTGTTGTGTGTGTTCAACTGACAGAGTTGAACTTTCATTTACACAGAGCAGATTTGAAACACTCTTTTTGTGGAATTTGCAAGTGGAGATTTCAAGCGCTTTGAGGCCAAAGGCAGAAAAGGAAATATCTTCGTATAAAAACTAGACAGAATCATTCTCAGAAGCTGCTCTGCGATGTGTGTGTTCAACTCTCAGAGTTTAACTTTTCTTTTCATTCAGCAGTTTGGAAACACTCTGTTTGTAAAGTCTGCACGTGGATAATTTGACCACTTAGAGGCCTTCGTTGGAAACGGGTTTTTTTCATGTAAGGTTAGACAGAAGAATTCCCAGTAACTTCCTTGTGTTGTGTGCATTCAACTCACAGAGTTGAACGATCCTTTACACAGAGCAGACTTGAAACACTCTTTTTGTGGAATTTGCAAGTGGAGATTTCAGCCGCTTTGAGGTCAATGGTAGAATAGGAAATATCTTCCTATAGAAACTAGACAGAATCATTCCCACAAACTGCGTTGTGATGTGTTCGTTCATCTCACAGAGTTTAACCTTTCTTTTCATAGAGCAGTTAGGAAACACTCTGTTTGTAAATTCTGTAAGTGGATATTCTGACATCTTGTGGCCTTCGTTGGAAACGGGATTTCTTCATACTGTGCTAGACAGAAGAATTCTCAGTAACTTCCTTGTGTTGTGTTTATTCAACTCACAGAGTTGAATGATCCTTTACACAGAGCAGACTTGAAACACTCTTTTTGTGGAATCTGCAAGTGGAGATTTCAGCCGCTTTGAGGTCAATGGTAGAAAAGGAAATATCTTCGTATAAAGACTAGACAGAACGATTCTCAGAAACTCCTTTGTGATGTGTGCGTACAACTCACAGAGTTTAACCTTTCTTTTCATAGAGCAGTTAGGAAACACTCTGTTTGTAAAGTCTGCAAGTGGATATTCAGACCTCTTTGAGGCCTTCGTTGGAAACGGGATTTCTTCATATTCTGCTAGACAGAAGAATTCTCAGTAACTTCCTTGTGTTGTGTGTATTCAACTCACAGAGTTGTACGATCCTTTACACAGAGCAGACTTGAAACACTCTTTTTGTGGAATTTGCAAGTGGAGATTTCAGCCGCTTTGAGGTCAATAGTAGAAAAGGAAATATCTTCGTAGAAAAACTATACAGAATCATTCCCACAAACTGCGTTGTGATGTGTTCGTTCAACTCACAGAGTTTAACCTTTGTGTTCATAGAGCAGTTAGGAAACACTCTGTTTGTAAAGTCTGTAAGTGGATATTCTGACATCTTGTGGCCTTCGTTGGAAACCGGATTTCTTCATATTCTGCTAGACAGAAGAATTCTCAGTAACTTCCTTGTGTTGTGTGTATTAAACTCACAGGGTTGAACGATCCTTTAAACAGAGCAGACTTGAAACACTCTTTTTGTGGAATTTGCAAGTGGAGATTTCAGCCGCTTTGAGGTCAATGGTAGAATAGGAAATATCTTCCTATAGAAACTAGACAGAATGATTCTCAGAAACTCCTTTGTGATGTGTGCGTTCAACACACAGAGTTTAACCTTTCTTTTCATAGAGGAGTTAGTAAACACTCTGTTTATAAAGTCTGCAAGTGGATATTCAGACCCCTTTGAGGCCTTCGTTGGAAACGGGATTTCTTCATATTCTGCTAGACAGAAGAATTCTCAGTAACTTTCCTTGTGTTGTGTGTATTCAACTGACAAAGTTGAACTTTCATTTAGAGGGAGCAGATTTGAAACACTGTTTTTGTGGAATTTGCAAGTGGAGATTTCAAGCGCTTTGGGGCCAAAGGCAGAAAAGGATATATCTTCGTATAAAAACTAGACAGAATCATTTTCAGAAACTGCTGCGTGATGTGTGCGTTCAACTCTCAGAGTTTAACTTTTCTTTTCATTCAGCGGTTTGGAAACACTCTGTTTGTAAAGTCTGCACGTGGATATTTTGACCACTTAGAGGCCTTCGTTGGAAACGGGTTTTTTTCATGTAAGGCTAGACAGAAGAATTCCCAGTAACTTCCTTGTGTTGAGTGCATTCAACTCACAGAGTTGAACGTTCCCTTAGACAGAGCAGATTTGAAACACTCTATTTGTGTAATTTGCAAGTGTAGATTTCAAGCGCTTTAAGGTCAATGGCAGAAAAGGAAATATCTTCGTTTCAAAACTAGACAGAATGATTCTCAGAAACTCCTTTGTGATGTGTGCGTTCAACTCACAGAGTTTAACCTTTCTGTTCATAGAGCAGTTAGGAAACACTCTGTTTGTAAAGTCTGTAAGTGGATATTCTGACATCTTGTGGCCTTCGTTGGAAACGGGATTTCTGCATATTCTGCTAGACAGAAAAATTCTCAGTAACTTCCTTGTGTTGTGTGTATTCAACTCACAGAGTTGAACGATCCTTTACACAGAGCAGACTTGTAACACTCTTTTTGTGGAATTTGCAAGTGGAGATTTCAGCCGCTTTGAAGTCAAAGGTAGAAAAGGAAATATCTTCCTATAAAAACTAGACAGAATGATTCTCAGAAACTCCTTTGTGATGAGTGTGTTCAACTCACAGAGTTTAACCTTTCTTTTCATAGAGCAGTTAGGAAACACTCTGTTTGTAAAGTCTGCAAGTGGATATTCAGACCTCTTTGAGGCCTTCGTTGGAAACGGGTTTTTTTCATATAAGGCTAGACAGAAGGATTCCCAGTAACTTCCTTGTGTTGTGTGTGTTCAACTCACACAGTTGAACTTTCATTTACAAAGAGCAGATTTGAAACACTCTTTTTGTGGAATTTGCAAGTGGAGATTTCAAGCGCTTTGAGGCCAAAGGCAGAAAAGGAAATATCTTCGTATAAAAACTAGACAGAATCATTCTCAGAAACTGCTCTGCGATGTGTGCGTTCAACTCTCAGAGTTTAACTTTTCTTTTCATTCAGTAGTTTGGAAACACTCTGTTTCTAAAGTCTGCACGTGGATAATTTGACCACTTAGAGGCCTTCGTTGGAAACGGGTTTTTTTCATGTAAGGCTAGACAGAAGAATTCCCAGTAACTTCCTTGTGTTGTGTGCATTCAACTCACAGAGTTGAACGTTCCCTTAGAGCAGATTTGAAACACTCTATTTGTGCAATTTGCAAGTGTAGATTTCAAGCGCTTTAAGGTCAATGGCAGAAAAGGAAATATCTTCGTTTCAAAACTAGACAGAATCATTCCGACAAACTGCGTTGTGATGTGTTCGTTGAACTCACAGAGTTTAACCTTTCTGTTCATAGAGCAGTTAGGAAACACTCTGTTTGTAAAGTCTGTAAGTGGATATTCTGACATCTTGTGGCCTTCGTTGGAAACGGGATTTCTTCATATTCTGCTGGACAGAATAATTCTCAGTAAGTCCCTTGTGTTGTGTGTATTCAACTCACAGAGTTGAACGATCCTTTACACAGAGCAGACTTGAAACATTCTTTTTGTGGAATTTGCAACTGGAGATTTCAGCCGCTTTGAGGTCAATGGTAGAATAGGAAATATCTTCCTATAGAAACTAGACAGAATGATTCTCAGAAACTTCTTTGGGATGTGTGCCTTCAACTCACAGAGTTTAACCTTTCTTTTCATAGAGCAGTTAGGAAACACTCTGTTTGTAAAGTCTGCAAGTGGATATTCAGACCTCTTTGAGGCCTTCGTTGGAAACGGGTTTTTTTCATATAAGGCTAGACAGAAGAATTCCCAGTAACTTCCTTGTGATGTGTGTGTTCAACTCACAGAGTTGAACTTTCATTTACACAGAGCACATTTGAAACACTCTTTTTGTGGAATTTGCAAGTGGAGATTTCAAGCGCTTTGAGGCCAAAGGCAGAAAAGGAAATATCTTCGTATAAAAACTAGACAGAATCATTCTCAGAAACTGCTCTGCGATGTGTGCGTTCAACTCTCAGAGTTTAACTTTTCTTTTCATTCAGAAGTTTGGAAACACTCTGTTTGTAAAGTCTGCACGTGGATAACTTGACCACTTAGAGGCCTTCGTTGGAAACGGGTTTTTTTCATGTAAGGCTAGACAGAAGAATTCCCAGTAACTTCCTTGTGTTGTGTGCATTCAACTCACAGAGTTGAACGTTCCCTTAGACAGAGCAGATTTGAAACACTCTATTTGTGCAATTTGCAAGTGTAGATTTCAAGCGCTTTAAGGTCAATGACAGAAAAGGAAATATCTTCGTTTCAAAACTAGACAGAATGATTCTCAGAAACTCCTTTGTGATGTGTGCGTTCAACTCACAGAGTTCTACCTTTCTTTTCATAGAGCAGTTGGGAAACACTCTGTTTGTAAAGTCTGCAAGTGGATATTCAGACTTCTTTGAGGCCTTCGTTGGAAGCGGGATTTCTTCATATTCTGCTAGACAGAAGAATTCTCAGTAACTTCCTTGTGTTGTGTGTATTCAACTCACAGAGTTGAACGATCCTTTACACAGAACAGTCTTGAAACACTCTTTTTGTGGAATTTGCAAGTGGAGATTTCAGCCGCTTTGAGGTCAATGGTAGAATAGGAAATATCTTCCTATAGAAACTAGACAGAATAATTCTCAGAAACTGCTTTGTGATGTGTGCGTTCAACTCACAGAGTTTAAACTTTCTTTTCATAGAGCAGTTAGGAAACACTCTGTTTATAAAGTCGGCAAGTGGATATTCAGACCTCTTTGAGGCCTTCGTTGGAAACGGGATTTCTTCATATTCTGCTAGACAGAAAAATTCTCAGTAACTTCCTTGTGTTGTGTGTATTCAACTCACAGAGTTGAACGATCGTTTACACAGAGCAGACTTGAAACACTCTTTTTGTGGAATTTGCAAGGGGAGATTTCAGCCGCTTTGAGGTCAATAGTAGAAAAGGAAGTATCTTCATATAGAAATTATACAGAATGATTCTCAGAAACTCCTTTGAGCTGTGTGCGTTCAACTCACAGAGTTTAACCTTTCTTTTCATAGAGCAGTTAGGAAACACTCTGTTTGTAAAGTCTGCAAGTGGATATTCAGACATCTTTGAGGCTTTCGTTGGAAACGGGATTTCTTCATATTCTGCTAGACAGAAGAATTCTCAGTAACTTCCTTGTGTTGTGTGTATTCAACTCACAGAGTTGAACGATCCTTTACACAGAGCGGACTTGAAACACTCTTTTTGTGGAATTTGCAAGTGGAGATTTCAGCCGCGTTGAGGTCAATGGTATAAAAGGAAATATCTTCGTATAAAAACTAGACAGAATAATTCTCAGAAACTCCTTTGTGATGTGTGTGTTCAACTCACAGAGTTTAACCTTTCTTTTCATAGAGCAGTTAGTAAACACTCTGTTTATAAAGTCTGCAAGTGGATATTCAGACCCCTTTGAGGCCTTCGTTGGAAACGGGATTTCTTCATATTATGCTAGACAGAAGAATTCCCAGTAACTTCCTTGTGTTGTGTGTGTTCAACTCACAGAGTTGAACGTTCATTTACACAGAGCAGATTTGAAACACTCTTTTTGTGGAATTTGCAAGTGGAGATTTCAAGCGCTTTGAGGCCAAAGGCAGAAAAGGAAATATCTCCGTTTCAAAACTAGACAGAATCATTCTCAGAAACTGCTCTGTGATGTGTGCGTTCAACTCTCAGAGTTTAACTTTTCTTTTCATTCAGCAGTTTGGAAACACTCTGTTTGTAAAGTCTACACGTGGATATTTTGACCACTTAGAGACCTTCGTTGGAAACGGGTTTTTTTCATGTAAGGCTAGACAGAAGAATTCCCAGTAACTTCCTTGTGTTGTGTGCATTCAACTCACAGAGATGAACGTTCCCTTAGACAGAGCAGATTTGAAACACTCTATTTGTGCAATTTGCAAGTGTAGATTTCAAGCACTTTAAGGTCAATGGCAGAAAAGGAAATATCTTCGTTTCAAAACTAGACAGAATCATTCCCACAAACTGCGTTGGGATGTGCTCGTTCAACTCACAGAGTTTAAACTTTCTGTTCATAGAGCAGTTAGGAAACACTCTGTTTGTAAAGTCTGTAAGTGGATATTCTGACATCTTGTGGCCTTCGTTGGAAACGGGATTTCTTCATATTCTGCTAGACAGAAGAATTCTCAGTAACTTCCTTGTGTTGTGTGTATTCAACTCACAGAGTTGAACGATCCTTTACACAGAGCAGACATGTAACACTCTTTTTGTGGAATTTGTAAGTGGAGATTTCAGCCGCGTTGAGGTCAATGGTAGAAAAGGAAATATCTTCGTATAAAAACTAGACAGAATGATTCTCAGAAACTTCATTGTGATGTGTGCGTTCAACTCACAGAGTTTAACCTTTCTTTTCATAGAGAAGTTAGGAAACACTCTGTTTGTAAACTCTGCAAGTGGATATTCAGACCTCTTTGAGGCCTTCGTTGGAAACGGGATTTCTTCATACTGTGCTAGACAGAATAATTCTCAGTAACTTCCTTGTGTTGTGTGTATTCAACTCACAGAGTTGAAAGATCCTTTACAGAGAGCAGGCTTGAAACACTCTTTTTGTCGAATTTGCAAGTGGAGATTTCTGCCGCTTTGAGGTCAATGGTAGAATAGGAAATATCTTCTTATAGAAACTAGACAGAATGATTCTCAGAAACTCCTTTGTGATGTGTGTGTTCAACTCACAGAGTTTAACCTTTCTTTTCATAGAGCAGTTAGGAAACACTCTGTTTGTAATGTCTGCAAGTGGATATTGAGACCTCTTTGAGGCCTTCGTTGGAAACGGGTTTTTTTCATATAAGGCTAGACAGAAGAATTCCCAGTAACTTCCTTGTGTTGTGTACATTCAACTCACAGAGTTGAACGTTCCCTTAGACAGAGCAGATTTGAAACACTCTTTTTGTGCAATTGGCAAGTGGAGATTTCAAGCGCTTTAAGGTCAACGGCAGAAAAGGAAATATCTTCGTTTCAAAACTAGACAGAATCATTCCCACAAACTGCGTTGTGATGTGTTCGTTCAACTCACAGAGTTTAACCTTTCTGTTCATAGAGCAGTTAGGAAACACTCTCTTTGTAAAGTCTGTAAGTGGATATTCTGACATCTTGTGGCCTTCGTTGGAAACGGGATTTCTTCATATTCTGCTAGACAGAAGAATTCTCAGTAACTTCCTTGTGTTGTGTGTATTCAACTCACAGAGTTGAACGATCCTTTACACAGAGCAGACTTGAAACATTCTTTTTGTGGAATTTGCAAGTGGAGATTTCAGCCGCTTTGAGGTCAATGGTAGAATAGGAAATATCTTCCTATAGAAACTAGACAGGAACGATTCTCAGAAACTCCTTTGTGATGTGTGCGTTCAACTCACAGAGTTTAACCTTTCTTTTCATAGAGCAGTTAGGAAACACTCTGTTTGTAATGTCTGCAAGTGGATTTTCAGACCTCCTTGAGGCCTTCGTTGGAAACGGGATTTCTTCCTATTCTGCTAGACAGAAGAATTCTCAGAAACTTCCTTGTGTAGTGTATATTCAACTCACAGAGTTGAACGATCCTTTACACAGAGCAGACTTGAAACACTCTTTTTGTGGATTTTGCAAGTGGAGATTTCAAGCGCTTTTGGGGCCAAAGGCAGAAAAGGAAATATCTTCATATAAAAACTAGACAGAATCATTCTCAGAAACTGCTCTGTGATGTGTGCGTTCAACTCTCAGAGTTTAACTTTTCTTTTCATTCAGCAGTTTGGAAACACTCTGTTTGTAAAGTCTGCACGTGGATATTTTGACCACTTAGAGGCCTTCGTTGGAAACGGGTTTTCTTCATGTAAGGCTAGACAGAAGAATTCCCAGTAACTTCCTTGTGTTGTGTGCATTCAACTCACAGAGTTGAACGTTCCCTTAGACGGAGCAGATTTGAAACACTCTATTTGTGCAATTTGCAAGTGTAGATTTCAAGCGCTTTAAGGTCAATGGCAGAAAAGGAAATATCTTCGTTTCAAAACTAGAGAGAATCATTCCCACAAACTGCGTTGTGATGTGTTCGTACAACTCACAGAGTTTAACCTTTCTGTTCATAGAGCAGTTAGGAAACACTCTGTTTGTAAAGTCTGTAAGTGGATATTCAGACATCTTGTGGCCTTCGTTGGAAACGGGATTTCTTCATATTCTGCTAGACAGAAGAATTCTCAGTAACTTCCTTGTGTTGTGTTTATTCAACTCACAGAGTTGAATGATCCTTTACGCAGAGCAGACTTGAAACACTCTTTTTGTGGAATTTGCAAGTGGAGATTTCAGCCGCTTTGAGGTCAATGGTAGAAAAGTAAATATCTTCGTATAAAGACTAGACAGAATGATTCTCAGAAACTCCTTTGTGATGTGTGCATTCAACTCACAGAGTTTAACCTTTCTGTTCATAGAGCAGTTAGGAAACACTCTGTTTGTAAAGTCTGCAAGTGGATATTCAGACCTCCTTGAGGCCTTCGTTGGAAACGGGATTTCTTCATATTCTGCTAGACAGAAGAATTCCCAGTAACTTCCTTGTGTTGTGTGTGTTCAACTCACAGAGTTGAACTTTCATTTACACAGAGCAGATTTGAAACACTCTTTTTGTGGAATATGCAAGTGGAGATTTCAAGCGCTTTTAGGCCAAAGGCAGAAAAGGAAATATCTTCGTTTCAAAACTAGACAGAATGATTCTCAGAAACTGCTCTGCGATGTGTGCGTTCAACTCTCAGAGTGTAACTTTTCTTTTCATTCAGCAGTTTGGAAACACTCTGTTTGTAAAGTCTGCACGTGGATATTTTGACCACTTAGAGGCCTTCGTTGGAAACGGGTTTTTTTCCTGTAAGGCTAGACAGAAGAATTCCCAGTAACTTCCTTGTGTTGTGTACATTCAACTCACAGAGTTGAACGTTCCCTTAGACAGAGCAGATTTGAAACACTCTTTTTGTGCAATTGGCAAATGGAGATTTCAAGCGCTTTAAGTTCAATGGCAGAAAAGGAAATATCTTCGTTTCAAAACTGGACAGAATCATTCCCACAAACTGCGTTGTGATGTGTTCGTTCAACTCACAGAGTTTAACCTTTCTTTTCATAGAGCAGTTAGGAAACAGTCTGTTTGTCAATTCTGTAAGTGGATGTTCTGACATCTTGTGGCCTTCGTTGGAAACGGGATTTCTTCATATTCTGCTAGACAGAAGAATTCTCAGTAACTTCCTTGTGTTGTGTGTATTTAACTCACAGAGTTGAACGATCCTTTACACAGAGCAGACTTGAAACACTCTTTTTGTGGAATTTGCAAGTGGAGATTTCAGCCGCTTTGAGGTCAATGGTAGAATAGGAAATATCTTCGTATAAAAACTAGACAGAATGATTCTCAGAAACTCCTTTGTGATGTGTGCGTTCAACTCACAGAGTTTAACCTTTCTTTTCATAGAGCAGTTAGGAAACACTCTGTTTGTAAAGTCTGCAAGTGGATATTCAGACCTCCTTGAGGCCTTCGTTGGAAACGGGATTTCTACATATTATGCTAGACAGAAGAATTCTCAGTAACTTCCTTGTGTTGTGTGTATTCAACTCACAGAGTTGAACGATCCTTTACACAGAGCAGACTTGAAACACTCTTTTTGTGGAATTTGCAAGTGGAGATTTCTGCCTCTTTGAGGTCAATGGTAGAATACGAAATATCTTCCTATAGAAACTAGACAGAATCATTCTCAGAAACTGCTGCATGATGCGTGCGTTCAACTCTCAAAGTTTAACTTTTCTTTTCATTCAGCGGTTTGGAAACACTCTGTTTGTAAAGTCTGCACGTGGATATTTTGACCACTTAGAGGCCTTCGTTGGAAACGGGTTTTTTTCATGTAAGGCTAGACAGAAGAATTCCCAGTAATTTCCTTGTGTTGTGTGCATTCAACTCACAGAGTTGAACGTTCCCTTAGACAGAGCAGATTTGAAACACTCTATTTGTGCAATTTGCAAGTGTAGATTTCAAGCGCTTTAAGGTCAATGGCAGAAAAGGAAATATCTTCGTTTCAAAACTAGACAGAATCATTCCCACAAACTGCGTTGTGATGTGTTCGTTCAACTCACAGAGTTTAACCTTTCTGTTCATAGAGCAGTTAGGAAACACTCTGTTTGTAAAGCCTGTAAGTGGATATTCTGACATCTTGTGGCCTTCGTTGGAAACGGGATTTCTTCATATTCTGCTAGACAGAAGAATTCTCAGTAACTTCCTTGTGTTGTGTGTATTCAACTCACAGAGTTGAACGATCCTTTACACAGAGCAGACTTGAAACACTCTTTTTGTGTAATTTGCAAGTGGAGATTTCAGACGATTTGAGGTCAATGGTAGAAAAGGAAATATCTTCGTATAAAGACTAGACAGAATGATTCTCAGAAACTCCTTTGTGATGTGTGTGTTCAACTCACAAAGTTTAACCTTTCTTTTCATAGAGCAGTTAGGAAACACTCTGTTTGTAAAGTCTGCAAGTGGATATTCAGACCTCTTTGAGGCCTTCGTTGGAAACGGGTTTTTTTCATATAAGGCTAGACAGAAGAATTCCCAGTAACTTCCTTGTGTTGTGTGTGTTCAACTCACAGAGTTGAACTTTCATTTACACAGAGCAGATTTGAAACACTCTTTTTGTGGAATTTGCAAATGGAGATTTCAAGCGCTTTGAGGTCAAAGGCAGAAAAGGAAATATCTTCGTATAAAAACTAGACAGAATGATTCTCAGAAACTGCTCTGCGATGTGTGCGTTCAACTCTCAGAGTGTATCTTTTCTTTTCATTCAGCAGTTTGGAAACACTCTGTTTATAAAGTCTGCACGTGGATATTTTGACCACTTAGAGGCCTTCGTTGGAAACGGGATTTTTTCATGTAAGGCTAGACCGAAGAATTCCCAGTAACTTCCTTGTGTTGTGTGCATTCAACTCACAGAGTTGAACGTTCCCTTAGACAGAGCAGATTTGAAACACTCTATTTGTGCAATTTGCAAGTGTAGATTTCAAGCGCTTTAAGGTCAATGGCAGAAAAGGGAATATCTTCGTTTCAAAACTAGACAGAATCATTCCCACAAACTGCGTTGTGATGTGTTCGTTCAACTCACAGAGTTTAACCTTTCTGTTCATAGAGCAGTTAGGAAACACTCTGTTTGTAAAGTCTGTAAGTGGATATTCTGACCTCTTGTGGCCTTCGTTGGAAACGGGATTTCTTCATATTCTGCTAGACAGAAGAATTCTAAGTAACTTCCTTGTGTTGTGTGTATTCAACTCACAGAGTTGAACGATCCTTTACAGAGAGCAGACTTGAAACACTCTTTTTGTGGAATTTGCAAGTGGAGATTTCAGCCGCTTTGAGGTCAATGGTAGAATAGGAAATATCTTCCTATAGAAACTAGACAGAATGATTCTCAGAAACTTCATTGTGATGTGTGCGTTCAACTCACAGAGTTTAACCTTTCTTTTCATAGAGCAGTTAGGAAACACTCTGTTTGTAAACTCTGCAAGTGGATATTCAGACCTCTTTGAGGCCTTCGTTGGAAACGGGATTTCTTCATACTGTGCTAGACAGAAGAATTCTCAGTAACTTCCTTGTGTTGTGTGTATTCAACTCACAGAGTTGAACGATCCTTTACACAGAGCAGACTTGTAACACTCTTTTTGTGGAATTTGCAAGTGGAGATTTCAGCCGCTTTGAATCAAAGGTAGAAAAGGAAATATCTTCCTATAAAAACTAGACAGAATGATTCTCAGAAACTCCTTCGTGATGTGTGCGTTCAACTCACAGAGTTTAACCTTTCTTTTCATAGAGCAGTTAGGAAACACTCTGTTTGTAAAGTCTGCAAGTGGATATTGAGACATCTTTGAGGCCTTCGTTGGAAACGGGATTTCTTCATGTTCTGCTAGACAGAAGAATTCCCAGTAACTTCCTTGTGTTGTGTGCATTCAACTCACAGAGTTGAACGTTCCCTTAGACAGAGCAGATTTGAAACACTCTATTTGTGCAATTTGCAAGTGTAGATGTCAAGCGCTTTAAGGTCAATGGCAGAAAAGGAAATATCTTCGTTTCAAAACTAGACAGAATCATTCCCACAAACTGCGTTGTGATGTGTTCGTTCAACTCACAGAGTTTAACCTTTCTGTTCATAGAGCAGTTAGGAAACACTCTATTTCTAAAGTCTGTAAGTGGATATTCTGACATCTTGTGGCCTTCGTTGGAAACGGGATTTCTTCATATTCTGCTAGACAGAAGAATTCTCAGTAACTTCCTTGTGTTGTGTGTATTCAACTCACAGAGTTGAACGATCCTTTACACAGAGCAGACTTGAAACATTCTTTTTGTGGAATTTGCAAGTGGAGATTTCAGCCGCTTTCAGGTCAATGGTAGAATAGGAAATATCTTCATATAGAAACTAGACAGAATGATTCTCAGAAACTCCTTTGTGATGTGTGCGTTCAACTCACAGAGTTTAACCTTTCTTTTCATAGAGCAGTTGGGAAACACTCTGTTTGTAAAGTCTGCAAGTGGATATTCAGACCTCCTTGAGGCCTTCGTTGGAAACGGGATTTCTTCATATAATGCTAGACAGAAGAATTCTCAGTAACTTCCTTGTGTTGTGTGTATTCAACTCACAGAGTTGAACGATCCTTTACACAGAGCACACTTGAAACACTCTTTTTGTGGAATTTGCAAGTGGAGATTTCAGCCGCTTTGAGGTCAATAGTAGAAAAGGAAATATCTTCGTAGAAAAACTAGACAGAATCATTCTCAGAAACTGCTGCGTGATGTGTGCGTTCAACTCTCAGAGTTTAACTTTTCTTTTCATTCAGCGGTTTGGAAACACTCTGTTTGTAAAGTCTGCACGTGGATATTTTGACCACTTAGAGGCCTTCTTTGGAAACGGGTTTTCTTCATGTAAGGCTAGACAGAAGAATTCCCAGTAACTTCCTTGTGTTGTGTGCATTCAACTCACAGAGTTGAACGTTCCTTTAGACAGAGCAGATTTGAAACACTCTATTTGTGCAATTTGCAAGTGTAGATTTCAAGCGCTTTAAGGTCAACGGCAGAAAAGGAAATATCTTCGTTTCAAAACTAGACAGAATCATTCCCACAAACTGCGTTGTGATATGTTCGTTCAACTCACAGAGTTTAACCTTTCTGTTCATAGAGCAGTTAGGAAACACTGTGTTTGTAAAGTCTGTAAGTGGATATTCTGACATCTTGTGGCCTTCGTTGGAAACGGGATTTCTTCATATTGTGCTAGACAGAAGAATTCTCAGTAACTTCCTTGTGTTGTGTGTATTCAACACACAGAGTTGAACGATCCTTTACACAGAGCAGACTTGAAACACTCTTTTTGTGGAATTTGCAAGTGGAGATTTCAGCCGCTTTGATGTCAATGGTAGAAAAGGAAATATCTTCGTATAAAGACTAGACAGAATGATTCTCAGAAACTCCTTTGTGATGTGTGCGTTCAACTCACAGAGTTTAACCTTTCTTTTCATAGAGCAGTTAGGAAACACTCTGTTTGTAAAGTCTGCAAGTGGATATTCAGACCTCTTTGAGGCCTTCGTTGGAAACAGGTTTTTTTCCTATAAGGCTAGACAGAAGAATTCCCAGTAACATCCTTGTGTTGTGTGTGTTCAACTCACAGAGTTGAACTTTCATTTACACAGATCAGATTTGAAAGACTCTTTTTGTGGAATTTGCAAATGGAGATTTCAAGCGCTTTGAGGCCAAAGGCAGAAAAGGAAATATCTTCGTTTCAAAACTAGACAGAATCATTCCAAGAAACTGCTCTGCGATGTGTGCGTTCAACTCTCAGAGTTTAAATTTGCTTTTCATTCAGCAGTTTGGAAACACTCTGTTTGTAAAGTCTGCACGTGGATAATTTGACCACTTAGAGGCCTTCGTTGGAAACGGGTTTTTTTCATGTAAGGCTAGACAGAAGAATTCTCAGTAACTTCCTTGTGTTGTGTGTATTCAACTCACACAGTTGAACGATCCTTTACACAGAGCAGACTTGGAACACTCTTTTTGTGGAATTTGCAAGTGGAGATTTCAGCCGCTTTGAAGTCAAAGGTAGAAAAGGAAATATCTTCCTATAAAAACTAGACAGAATCATTCCCACAAACTGCGTTGTGATGGTGTTCGTTCAACTCACAGAGTTTAACCTTTCTTTTCATAGAGCAGTTAGGAAACAGTCTGTTTGGTAAATTCTGTAAGGGGATATTCTGACATCTTGTGGCCTTCGTTGGAAACGGGATTTCTTCATATTCTGCTAGACAGAACAATTCTCAGTAACTTCCTTGTGTTGTGTGTATTCAACTCACAGAGTTGAACGATCCTTTACACAGAGCAGACTTGAAACACTCTTTTTGTGGAATTTGCAAGTGGAGATTTCAGCCGCTTTGAGGTCAATAGTAGAAAAGGAAATGTCTTCGTAGAAAAACTAGACAGAATGATTCTCAGAAACTCCTTTGTGGTGTGTGCGTTCAACTCACAGAGTTTAACCTTTCTTTTCATAGAGCAGTTAGGAAACACTCTGTTTGTAAAGTCTGCAAGTGGATATTCAGACCTCTTTGAGGCCTTCGTTGGAAACGGGATTTTTTCATATAAGGCTAGACAGAATAATTCTCAGTAACTTCCTTGTGTTGTGTGTATTCAACTGAGAGAGTTGAACGTTCATTTAGAGAGAGCAGATTTGAAACACTGTTTTTGTGGAATTTGCAATTGGAGATTTCAAGCGCTTTAGGGCCAAAGGCAGAAAAGGAAATATCTTCGTATAAAAACTAGACAGAATCATTCTCAGAAACTGCTGCGTGATGTCTGCGTTCAACTCTCAGAGTTTAACTTTTCTTTTCATTCAGCGGTTTGGAAACACTCTCTTTGTAAAGTCTGCACGTGGATATTTTGACCTCTTAGAGGCCTTCGTTGGAAACGGGTTTTCTTCATGTAAGGCTAGACAGAAGAATTCCCAGTAACTTCCTTGTGTTGTGTACATTCAACTCACAGAGTTGAACGTTCCCTTAGACAGAGCAGATTTGAAAGACTCTTTTTCTGCAATTGGCAAATGGAGATTTCAAGCGCTTTAAGGTCAATGGCAGAAAAGGAAATATCTTCGTTTCAAAACTAGACAGAATCATTCCCACAAACTGCGTTGTGATGTGTTCGTTCATCTCACAGAGTTTAACCTTTCTTTTCATAGAGCAGTTAGGAAACAGTCTGTTTGTAAATTCTGTAAGTGGATATTCTGACATCTTGTGGCCTTCGTTGGAAACGGGATTTCTTCATATTCTGCTAGACAGAAGAATTCTCAGAAACTTCGTTGTGTTGTGTGTTTTCAACTCACAGAGTTGAACGATCCTTTACACAGAGTAGACTTGAAAAACTCTTTTTGTAGAATTTGCAAGTGGAGATTTCAGCCGCTTTGAGGTCAATGGTAGAAAAGGAAATATCTTCGTATAAAAACTAGACAGAATGATTCTCAGAAACTCCTTTGTGATGTGTGCGTTCAACTCACAGAGTTCAACCTTTCTTTTCATAGAGCAGTTGGGAAACACTCTGTTTGTAAATTCTGCAAATGCATATTCAGACTTCTTTGAGGCCTTCGTTGGAAGCGGGATTTCTTCATATTCTGCTAGACAGAAGAATTCTCAGAAACTTCGATGTGTTGTGTGTTTTCAAATCACAGAGTTCAACGATCCTTTACACAGAGTAGACTTGAAACACTCTTTTTGTGGAATTGGCAGGGTGGAGATTTCAGCCGCTTTGAGGTCAATGGTAGAAAAAGAAATATCTTCGTATAAAAACTAGACAGAATGATTCTCAGAAACTCCTTTGTGATGTGTGCGTTCAACGCACAGAGTTCAACCTTTCTTTTCATAGAGCAGTTGGGAAACACTCTGTTTGTAAAGTCTGCAAGTGGATATTCAGACTTCTTTGAGGCCTTCGTTGGAAGCGGGATTTCTTCATATTCAACTAGACAGAAGAATTCCCAGTAACTTCCTTGTGTTGTGTACATTCAACTCACAGAGTTGAACGTTCCCTTAGACAGAGCAGATTTGAAACACTCTTTTTGTGCAATTGGCAAATGGAGATTTCAAGCGATTTAAGGTCAATGGCAGAAAAGGAAATATCTTCGTTTCAAAACTAGACAGAATGATTCTCAGAAACTTCATTGTGATGTGTGCGTTCAACTCACAGAGTTTAACCTTTCTTTTCATAGAGCAGTTAGGAAACAGTCTGTTTGTAAATTCTGTAAGTGGATATTCTGACATCTTGTGGCCTTCGTTGGAAACGGGATTTCTTCATATTCTGCTAGACAGAAGAATTATCAGTAACTTCCTTGTGTTGTGTGTATTCAACTCACAGAGTTGAACGATCCTTTACACAGAGCAGACTTGAAACACTCTTTTTGTGGAATTTGCAAGTGGAGATTTCAGCCGCTTTGAGGTCAATGGTAGAATAGGAAATATCTTCCTATAGAAAATAGACAGAATGATTCTCAGAAACTCCTTTGTGATGTGTGCGTTCAACTCACAGAGTTTAACCTTTCTGTTCATAGAGCAGTTAGGAAACACTCTGTTTGTAAAGTCTGCAAGTGGATATTCAGACCTCTTTGAGGCCTTCGTTGGAAACGGGATTTCTTCATATTCTGCTAGACAGAATAATTCTCAGTAACTTCCTTGTGTTGTGTGTATTCAACTCACAGAGTTGAACTTTCATTTAGAGAGAGCAGATTTGAAACACTGTTTTTGTGGAATTTGCAAGTGGAGATTTCAGCCGCTTTGAGGTCAATGGTAGAATAGGAAATATCTTCCTATAGAAACTAGACAGAATCATTCTCAGAAACTACTCTGCGATGTGTGCGTTCAACTCTCAGAGTTTAACTTTTCTTTTCATTCAGCAGTTTGGAAACACTCTGTTTGTAAAGTCTGCACGTGGATATTTTGACCACTTAGAGGCCTTCGTTGGAAACGGGTTTCTTTCCTGTAAGGCTAGACAGAAGAATTCCCAGTAACTTCCTTGTGTTGTGTGCATTCAACTCACAGAGTTGAACGTTCCCTTAGACAGAGCAGATTTGAAACACTCTATTTGTGCAATTTGCAAGTGTAGATTCCAAGCGCTTTAAGGTCAATGGCAGAAAAGGAAATATCTTCGTTTCAAAACTAGACAGAATCATTCCCACAAACTGCGTTGTGATGTGTTCGTTCAACTCACAGAGTTTAACCTTTCTGTTCATAGAGCATTTAGGAAACACTCTGTTTGTAAAGTCTGCAAGTGGATATTCAGACCTCCTTGAGGCCTTCGTTGGAAACGGGATTTCTTCATATTCTGCTAGACAGAAGAATTCTCAGTAACTTCCTTGTGTTGTGTGTATTCAACTCACAGAGTTGAACGATCCTTTACACAGAGCAGACTTGAAACACTCTTTTTGTGAAATTTGCAAGTGGAGATTTCAGCCGTTTTGAGGTCAATGGTAGAAAAGGAAATATCTTCGTATAAAGACTAGACAGAATGATTCTCAGAAACTCCTTTGTGATGTGTGCGTTCAACTCACAGAGTTCAACCTTTCTTTTCATAGAGCAGTTGGGAAACACTCTGTTTGTAAAGTCTGCAAGTGGATATTCAGACCTCTTTGAGGCCTTCTTTGGAAGCGGGATTTCTTCATATTCTTCTAGACAGAAGAATTCTCAGTAACTTCCTTGTGTTGTGTGTATTCAACTCACAGAGTTGAACGATCCTTTACACAGAGTAGACTTGAAACACTCTTTTTGTGGAATTTGCAAGTGGAGATTTCAGCCGCTTTGAGGTCAATGGTAGAATAGGAAATATCTTCCTATAGAAACCAGACAGAATGATTCTCAGAAACTTCTTTGCGATGTGTGCGTTCAACTCACAGAGTTTAACCTTTCTTTTCATAGAGCAGTTAGGAAACACTCTGTTTGTAAACTCTGCAAGTGGATATTCAGACCTCTTTGAGGCCTTCGTTGGAAACGGGATTTCTTCATACTATGCTAGACAGAAGAATTCCCAGTAACTTCCTTCTGTTGTGTGTGTTCAACTCACAGAGTTGAACTTTCATTTACACAGAGTAGATTTGAAACACTCTTTTTGTGGAATTTGCAAGTGGAGATTTCAAGCGCTTTGAGGCCAAAGGCAGAAAAGGAAATATCTTCGTTTCAAAACTAGACAGAATCATTCTCAGAAACTGCTCTGCGATGTGTGCCTTCAACTCTCAGAGTTTAACTTTTCTTTTCATTCAGCAGTTTGGAAACACTCTGTTTGTAAAGTCTGCACGTGGATATTTTGACCACTTAGAGGCCTTCGTTGGAAACGGGTTTTTTTCCTGTAAGGCTAGACAGAAGAATTCCCAGTAACTTCCTTGTGTTGTGTACATTCAACTCACAGAGTTGAACGTTCCCTTAGACAGAGCAGATTTGAAACACTCTTTTTGTGCAATTGGCAAATGGAGATTTCAAGCGCTTTAAGATCAATGGCAGAAAAGGAAATATCTTCGTTTCAAAACTAGACAGAATCATTCCAACAAACTGCGTTGTGATGTGTTCGTTCAACTCACAGAGTTTAACCTTTCTGTTCATAGAGCAGTTAGGAAACACTCTGTTTGTAAAGTCTGTAAGTGGATATTCTGACATCTTGTGGCCTTCGTTGGAAACGGGATTTCTTCATATTCTGCTAGACAGAAGAATTCTCAGAAACTTCGTTCTGTTGTGTGTTTTCAACTCACAGAGTTCAACGATCCTTTACAGAGAGTAGACTTGAAACACTCTTTTTGTGGAATTGGCAGGGTGGAGATTTCAGCCGCTTTGAGGTCAATGGTAGAAAAGGAAATATCTTCGTATAAAAACTAGACAGAATGATTCTCAGAAACTCCTTTGTGATGTGTGCGTTCAACTCACAGTGTTTAACCTTTCTTTTCCTAGAGTAGTTAGGAAACACTCTGTTTTTAAAGTCTGCAAGTGGATATTCAGACCTCTTTGAGGCCTTCGTTGGAAACGGGATTTCTTCATATTATGCTAGACAGAAGAATTCTCAGTAACTTCCTTGTGTTGTGTGTATTCAACTGACAGAGTTGAACTTTCATTTAGAGATAGCAGATTTGAAACACTGTTTTTGTGGAATTTGCAAGTGGAGATTTCAAGCGCTTTGGGGCCAAAGGAAGAAAAGGAAATATCTTCGTATAAAAACTAGACAGAATCATTCTCAGAAACTGCTGCGTGATGTGTGCGTTCAACTCTCAGAGTTTAACTTTTCTTTTCATTCAGCGGTTTGGAAACACTCTGTTTGTAAAGTCTGCACTTGGATATTTTGACCACTTAGAGGCCTTCGTTGGAAACGGGTTTTTTTTCATGTAAGGCTAGACAGAAGAATTCCCAGTAACTTCCTTGTGTTGTGTGCATTCAACTCACAGAGTTGAACGTTCCCTTAGACAGAGCAGATTTGAAACACTCTATTTGTGCAATTTGCAAGTGTAGATTTCAAGCGCTTTAAGGTCAATGGCAGAAAAGGAAATTTCTTCGTTTCAAAACTAGACAGAAATCATTCCCACAAACTGCGTTGTGATGTGTTCGTTCAACTCACAGAAGTTTAACCTTTCTTTTCATAGAGCAGTTAGGAAACAGTCTGTTTGTAAATTCTGTAAGTGGATATTCTGACATCTTGTGGCCTTCGTTGGAAACGGGATTTCTTCATATTCTGCTAGACAGAAGAATTCTCAGAATCTTCCCTTGTGTTGTGTGTATTCAACTCACAGAGTTGAACGATCCTTTACACAGAGCAGACTTGAAACACTCTTTTTGTGGAATTTGCAAGTGGAGATTTCAGCCGCTTTGAAGTCAAAGGTAGAAAAGGAAATATCTTCCTATAAAAACTAGACAGAGTGATTCTCAGAAACTCCTTTGTGATGTCTGCGTTCAACTCACAGAGTTTAACCTTTCTTTTCATAGAGCAGTTAGGAAACACTCTGTTTGTAAAGTCTGCAAGTGGATATTCAGACCTCCTTGAGGCCTTCGTTGGAAACGGGATTTCTTCATATTATGCTAGACAGAAGAATTCTCAGTAACTTCCTTGTGTTGTGTTTATTCAACTGACAGAGTTGAACTTTCATTTAGAGAGAGCAGATTTGAAACACTGTTTTTGTGGAATTTGCAAGTGGAGATTTCAAGCGCTTTGGGGCCAAAGGCAGAAAAGGAAATATCTTCGTATAAAAACTAGACAGAAATCATTCTCAGAAACTGCTCTGTGATGTGTGCGTTCAACTCTCAGAGTTTAACTTTTCTTTTCATTCAGCAGTTTGGAAACACTCTGTTTGTAAAGTCTGCACGTGCATAATTTGACCACTTAGAGGTCTTCGATGGAAACGGGTTTTTTTCATGTAAGGCTAGACAGAAGAATTCTCAGTAACTTCCTTGTGTTGTGTGTATTCAACTCACAGAGTTGAACGATCCTTTACACAGAGCAGTCTTGTAACACTCTTTTTGTGGAATTTGCAAGTGGAGATTTCAGCCGCTTTGAAGTCAAAGGTAGAAAAGGAAATATCTTCCTATAAAAACTAGACAGAATCATTCCCACAAACTGCGTTGTGATGTGTTTGTTCAACTCACAGAGTTTAACCTTTCTTTTCATAGAGCAGTTAGGAAACAGTCTGTTTGTAAATTCTGTAAGTGGATATTCTGACATCTTGTGGCCTTCGTTGGAAACGGGATTTCTTCATATTCTGCTAGACAGAAGAATTCTCAGAAACTTCCTTGGGTTGTGTGTATTCAACTCACAGAGTTGAACGATCGTTTACACAGAGCAGACTTGAAACACTCTTTTTGTGGAATTTGCAAGTGGAGATTTCAGCCGCTTTGAGGTCAATGGTAGGAAAGGAAATATCTTCGTATAAAAATTAGACAGAATGATTCTCAGAAACTCCTTTGTGATGTGTGCGTTCAACTCACAGAGTTTAACCTTTCGTTTCATAGAGCAGTTAGGAAACACTCTGTTTGTAAAGTCTGCAAGTGGATATTAAGACCTCTTTGAGGCCTTCGTTGGAAACGGGATTTCTTCATATTCTGCTAGACAGAAGAATTCTCAGTAACTTCCTTGTGTTGTGTGTATTCAACTGACAGAGTTGAACTTTCATTTAGAGAGAGCAGATTTGAAACACTGTTTTTGTGGAATTTGCAAGTGGAGATTTCCAGCGCTTTGGGGCCAAAGGCAGAAAAGGAAATATCTTCGTATAAAAACTAGACAGAATCATTCTCAGAAACTGCTCTGCGATGTGTGCGTTCAACTCTCAGAGTTTAACTTTTCTTTTCATTCAGCAGTTTGGAAACACTCTGTTTGTAAAGTCTGCACGTGGATAACTTGACCACTTAGAGGCCTTCGTTGGAAACGGGTTTTTTTAATGTAAGGCTAGACAGAAGAATTCCCAGTAACTTCCTTGTGTTGTGTACATTCAACTCACAGAGTTGAACGTTCCCTTAGACAGAGCAGATTTGAAACTCTCTTTTTGTGCAATTGGCAAGTGGAGATTTCAAGCGCTTTAAGGTCAATGGCAGAAAAGGAAATATCTTCGTTTCAAAACTAGACAGAATCATTCCCACAAACTGCGTTGTGATGTGTTCGTTCGACTCACAGAGTTTAACCTTTCTGTTCATAGAGCAGTTAGGAAACACTCTGTTTGTAAAGTCTGCAAGTGGATATTCAGACCTCCTTGAGGCCTTCGTTGGAAACGGGATTTCTTCATTTTCTGGTAGACAGAAGAGTTCTCAGTAACTTCCTTGTGTTGTGTGTATTCAACTCACAGAGTTGAACGATCCTTTACACAGAGCAGACTTGAAACACTCTTTTTGTGGAATTTGCAAGTGGAGATTTCAGCCGCTTTTAGGTCAATAGTAGAAAAGGAAATATCTTCGTAGAAAAACTAGACAGAATGATTCTCAGAAACTCCTTTGTGATGTGTGCGTTCAACTCACAGAGTTTAACTTTTCTTTTCATAGAGCAGTTAGGAAACACTCTATTTGTAAAGTCTGCAAGTGGATATTCAGACCTCTTTGAGGCCTTCGTTGGAAACGGGATTTCTTCATATTATGCTAGACAGAAGAATTTTCAGTAACTTCCTTGTGTTGTGTGTAGTCAACTGACAGAGTTGAACTCTCATTTAGACAGAGCAGATTTGAAACACTCTTTTTGTGGAATTTGCAAGCGGAGATTACAAGCGCTTTGAGGCCAAAGGCAGAAAAGGAAATATCTTCGTATAAAAACTAGACAGAATCATTCTCAGAAACTGCTCTGCGATGTGTGCGTTCAACTCTCAGAGTTTAACTTTTCTTTTCATTCAGCAGTTTGGAAACACTCTGTTTGTAATGTCTGCACGTGGATATTTTGACCACTTAGAGGCCTTCGTTGCAAACGGGTTTTTTTCCTGTAAGGCTAGACAGAAGAATTCCCAGTAACTATCCTTGTGTTGTGTACATTCAACTCACAAGCAGTTGAACGTTCCCTTAGACAGAGCAGATTTGAAACACTCTTTTTGTGCAATTGGCAAGTGGAGATTTCAAGCGCTTTAAGGTCAATGGCAGAAAAGGAAACATCTTCGTTTCAAAACTAGACAGAATGATTCTCAGAAACTCCTTTGTGATGTGTGCGTTCAACTCACAGAGTTTAACCTTTCTTTTCATAGAGCAGTTAGGAAACACTCTGCTTGTAAAGTCTGCAAGTGGATATTCAGACCTCTTTGAGGCCTTCGTTGGAAACGGGATTTCTTCATACTGTGCTAGACAGAAGAATTCTCAGTAACTTCCTTGTGTTGTGTGTATTCAACTCACAGAGTTGAACGATCCTTTACACAGAGCGGACTTGAAACACACTTTTTGTGGAATTTGCAAGTGGAGATTTCAGCCGCGTTGAGGTCAATGGTAGAAAAGGAAATATCTTCGTATAAAAACCAGACAGAATGATTCTCAGAAAATCTTTTGTGATGTGTGCGTTCAACTCACAGAGTTTAACTTTTCTTCTCATAGAGCAGTTAGGAAACACTCTGTTTGTAAAGTCTGCATGTGGATATTCAGACCTCTATGAGGCCTTCGTTGGAAACGGGATTTCTACATATTATGCTAGACAGAAGAATTCTCAGAAACTTCCTTGTGTTGTGTGTTTTCAACTCACAGAGTTGAACGATCCTTTACACAGAGCAGACTTGAAACACTCTTTTTGTGGAATTTGCAAGTGGAGATTTCAGCCGCTTTGAGGTCAATGGTAGAATAGGAAATATCTTCATATAGAAACTAGACAGAATGATTCTCAGAAACTTCTTTGTGATGTGTGCGTTCAACTCACAGAGTTTAACCTTTCTTTTCATAGAGCAGTTAGGAAACACTCTGTTTGTAAACTCTGCAAGTGGATATTCAGACCTCTTTGAGGCCTTCGTTGGTAACGGGATTTCTTCATACTATGCTAGACAGAAGAATTCCCAGTAACTTCCTTGTGTTGTGTGTGTTCAACTCACAGAGTTGAACTTTCATTTACACAGAGCAGATTTGAAACACTCTTTTTGTGGAATTTGCAAGTGGAGATTTCAAGCGCTTTGAGGCCAAAGGCAGAAAAGGAAATATCTTTGTTTCAAAACTAGACAGAATCATTCTCAGAAACTGCTCTGCGATGTGTGCGTTCAAGTCTCAGAGTTTAACTTTTCTTTTCATTCAGCAGTTTGGAAACACTCTGTTTGTAAAGTCTGCACGTGGATAATTTGACCACTTAGAGGCCTTCGTTGGAAACGGGTTTTGTTCATGTAAGGCTAGACAGAAGAATTCCCAGTAACTTCCTTGTGTTGTGTACATTCAACTCACAGAGTTGAACGTTCCCTTTGACAGAGCAGATTTGAAACACTCTTTTTGTGCAATTGGCAAGTGGAGATTTCAAGCGCTTTAAGGTCAATGGCAGAAAAGGAAATATCTTCGTTTCAAAACTAGACAGAATGATTCTCAGAAACTCCTTTGTGATGTGTGCGTTCAACTCACAGAGTTCAACCTTTCTTTTCATAGAGCAGTTGGGAAACACTCTGTTTGTAAAGTCTGCAAGTGGATATTCAGACTTCTTTGAGGCCTTCGTTGGAAGCGGGATTTCTTCATATTCTGCTTGACAGAAGAATTCTCAGTAACTTCCTTGTGTTGTGTGTATTCAACTCACAGAGTTGAACGATCCTTTACACAGAGCATACTTGAAACACTCTTGTTGTGGAATTTGCAAGGGGAGATTTCAGCCGCTTTGAGGTCAATGGTAGAATAGGAAACATCTTCCTATAGAAACTAGACAGAATAATTCTCAGAAACTCCTTTGTGATGTGTGCGTTCAACTGACAGAGTTTAACCTTTCTTTTCATAGAGCAGTTAGGAAACACTCTGTTTGTAAAGTCTGCAAGTGGATATTCAGACCTCTTTGAGGCCTTCGTTGGAAACGGGTTTTTTTCATATAAGGCTAGACAGAAGAATTCTCAGTAACTTCCTTGTGTTGTGTGTATTTAACTCACAGAGTTGAATGATCCTTTACACAGAACAGTCTTGAAACACTCTTTTTGTGGAATTTGCAAGTGGAGATTTCAGCCGCTTTGAGGTCAATGGTAGAATAGGAAATATCTTCCTATAGAAACTAGACAGAATGATTCTCAGAAACTCGTTTGTGATGTGTGTGTTCAACTCACAGAGTTTAACCTTTCTTTTCATAGAGCAGTTAGTAAACACTCTGTTTATAAAGTCTGCAAGTGGATATTCAGACCCCTTTGAGGCCTTCGTTGGAAACGGGATTTCTTCATATTATGCTAGACAGAAGAATTCTCAGTAACTTCCTTGTGTTGTGTGTATTCAACTGACAGAGTTGAACTTTCATTTGGAGAGAGCAGATTTGAAACACTGTTTTTGTGGAATTTGCAAGTGGAGATTTCAAGCGCTTTGGGGCCAAAGGCAGAAAAGGAAATATCTTCGTATAAAAACTAGACAGAATCATTCTCAGAAACTGCTGCGTGATGTGTGCGTTCAACTCTCAGAGTTTAACTTTTCTTTTCATTCAGCCGTTTGGAAACACTCCGTTTGTAAAGTCTGCACGTGGAAATTTTGACCACTTAGAGGCCTTCGTTGGAAACGGGTTTTTTTCATGTAAGGCTAGACAGAAGAATTCCCAGTAACTTCCTTGTGTTGTGTACATTCAACTCACAGAATTGAACGTTCCCTTAGACAGAGCAGATTTGAAACACTCTTTTTGTGCAATTGGCAAGTGGAGATTTCAAGCGCTTTAAGGTCAATGGCAGAAAAGGAAATATCTTCGTTTCAAAACTAGACAGAACGATTCTCAGAAACTCCTTTGTGATGTGTGCGTTCAACTCACAGAGTTTAACCTTTCTTCTCATAGAGCAGTTAGGAAACACTCTGTTTGTAAAGTCTGCAAGTGGATATTCAGACATCTTCGAGGCTTTCGTTGGAAACGGGATTTCTTCATATTCTGCTATACAGAAGAATTCTCAGTAACTTCCTTGTGTTGTGTGTATTCAAATCACAGAGTTGAATGATCCTTTACACAGAACAGACTTGAAACACTCTTTTTGTGGAATTTGCAAGTGGAGATTTCAGCCGCTTTGAGGTCAATGGTAGAATAGGAAATATCTTCCTATAGAAACTAGACAGAATGATTCTCAGAAACTCCTTTGTGATGTGTGCGTTCAACTCACAGAGTTTAACCTTTCTTTTCATAGAGCAGTTAGGAAACACTCTGTTTGTAAAGTCTGCAAGTGGATATTCAGACCTCCTTGAGGCCTTCGTTGGAAACGGGATTTCTTCCTATTCTGCTAGACAGAAGAATTCCCAGTAACTTCCTTGTGTTGTGTGTGTTCAACTCACAGAGTTGAACTTTCATTTACACAGAGCAGATTTGAAACACTCTTTTTGTGGAATTTGCAAATGGAGATTTTAAGCGCTTTGAGGCCAAAGGCAGAAAAGGAAATATCTTCGTATAAAAACTAGACAGAATCATTCTCAGAAACTGCTCTGCGATGTGTGCGTTCAACTCTCAGAGTTTAACTTTTCTTTTCATTCAGAAGTTTGGAAACACTCTGTTTGTAAAGTCTGCACGTGGATATTTTGACCATTTAGAGGCCTTCGTTGGAAACGGGTTTTTTTCTTGTAAGGCTAGACAGAAGAATTCCCAGTAACTTCCTTGTGTTGTGTAGATTCAACTCACAGAGTTGAACGTTCCCTTAGACAGAGCAGATTTGAAACACTCTTTTTGTGCAATCGGCAAGTGGAGATTTCAAGCGCTTTAAGGTCAATGGCAGAAAAGGAAATATCTTCGTTTCAAAACTAGACAGAATCATTCCCACAAACGGCGTTGTGATGTGTTCGTTCAACTCACAGAGTTTAACCTTTCTGTTCATAGAGCAGTTAGGAAACACTCTGTTTGTAAAGTCTGCAAGTGGATATTCAGACCTCCTTGAGGCCTTCGTTGGAAACGGGATTTCTTCATATTCTGCTAGACAGAAGAATTCTCAGTAACTTCCTTGTGTTGTGTGTATTCAACTCACACAGTTGAACGATCCTTTACACAGAGCAGACTTGAAACACTCTTTTTGTGGAATTTGCAAGTGGAGATTTCAGCCGCTTTGAGGTCAATGGTTGAAAAGGAAACTATCTTCATATAAAGACTAGACAGAATGATTCTCAGAAACTCCTTTGTGATGTGTGTGTTCAACTCACAGAGTTTAACCTTTCTTTTCATAGAGCAGTTAGGAAACACTCTGTTTATAAAGTCTGCAAGTGGATATTCAGACCCCTTTGAGGTCTTCGTTGGAAACGGGATTTCTTCATATTATGCTAGACAGAAGAATTCTCAGTAACTTCCTTGTGTTGTGTGTATTCAACTCACAGAGTTGAAGGATCCTTTACAGAGAGCAGGCTTGAAACACTCTTTTTGTCGAATTTGCAAGTGGAGATTTCAGCCGCTTTGAGGTCAATGGTAGAATAGGAAATATCTTCTTATACAAACTAGACAGAATGATTCTCAGAAACTCCTTTGTGATGTGTGCGTTCAACTCACAGAGTTTAACCTTTCTTTTCATAGAGCAGTTAGGAAACACTCTGTTTGTAAAGTCTGCAAGTGGATATTGAGACCTCCTTTAGGACTTCGTTGGAAACGGGATTTCTTCATATTATGCTAGACAGAAGAATTCCCAGTAACTTCTTTGTGTTGTGTACATTCTACTCACAGAGTTGAACGTTCCCTTAGACAGAGCAGATTTGAAACACTCTTTTTGTGCAATTGGCAAGTGTTGATTTCAACCGCTTTGAGGTCAATGGTAGAAAAGGAAATATCTTCGTATAAAAACTAGACAGAATCATTCCCGCAAACTGCGTTGTGATGTGTTCGTTCAACTCACAGAGTTTAACCTTTCTTTTCATAGAGCAGTTAGGAAACAGTCTGTTTGAAAATTCTGTAAGTGGATATTCTGACATCTTGTGGCCTTCGTTGGAAACGGGATTTCTTCATATTCTGCTAGACAGAAGAATTCTCAGTAACTTCCTTGTGTTGTGTGTATTCAACTCACAGAGTTGAACGATCCTTTACACAGAGCAGACTTGAAACACCCTTTTTGTGGAATTTGCAAGTGGAGATTTCAGCCGCGTTGAGGTCAATGGTAGAAAAGGAAATATCTTCGTATAAAAACTGGACAGAAGGATTCTCAGAAACTCCTTTGTGATGTGTGCATTCAACTCACAGAGTTTAACCTTTCTTTTCATAGAGCAGTTAGGAAACACTCTGTTTGTAAAGTCTGCAAGTGGATATTCAGACCTCTTTGAGGCCTTCGTTGGAAACGGGATTTCTTCATATTCTGCTAGACAGAAGAATTCTCAGTAACTTCCTTGTGTTGTGTGTATTCAACTCACAGAGTTGAACGATCCTTTTCACAGAGCAGACTTGAAACACTCTTTTTGTGGAATTTGCAAGTGGAGATTTCAGCCGCTTTGAGGTCAATGGTAGAATAGGAAATATCTTCGTAGAAAAACTAGACAGAATGATTCTGAGAAACTCCTTTGTGATGTGTGCGTTCAACTCACACAGTTTAACCTTTCTTTTCATATAGCAGTTAGGAAACACTCTGTTTGTAAAGTCTGCAAGTGGATATTCAGACCTCCTTGAGGCCTTCGTTGGAAACGGGATTTCTTCAAATTCTGCTAGACAGAAGAATTCCCAGTAACTTCCTTGTGTTGTGTACATTCAACTCACAGAGTTGAACGTTTCCTTAGACAGAGCAGATTTGAAACACTCTTTTTGTGCAATTGGCAAGTGGTGATTTCAGCCGCTTTGTGGTCAATGGTAGAAAAGGAAATATCTTCATATAAAAACTAGACAGAATCATTCCCACAAACTGCGTTGTGATGTTTTCGTTCAACTCACAGGGTTTAACCTTTCTTTTCATAGAGCAGTTAGGAAACACTCTGTTTGTAAAGTCTCTAAGTGGATATACTGACATCTTGTTGCCTTCTTTGGAAACGGGATTTCTTCATATTCTGCTATACAGAAGAATTCTCAGTAACTTCCTTGTGTTGTGTGTATTCAACTCACAGAGTTAAATGATCCTTTACACAGAGCAGACTTGAAAAACTCTTTTTGTGGAATTTGCAAGTGGAGATTTCAGCCGCTTTGTGGTCAATGGTAGAATAGGAAATATCTTCCTATAGAAACTAGACAGAATGATTCTCAGGAACTCCTATGTGATGTGTGCGTTCAACTCACAGAGTTTAACTTTTCTTTTCATAGAGCAGTTAGGAAACACTCTGTTTGTAAAGTCTGCAAGTGGATATTCAGACCTCTTGAGGCCTTCGTTGGAAACGGGATTTCTTCATATTATGCTAGACAGAAGAATTCTCAGTAACTTACCTTGTGTTGTGTGTATTCAACTGACAGAGTTGAACTTTCATTTAGAGAGAGCAGATTTGAAACACTGTTTTTGTGGAATTTGCAAGTGGAGATTTCAAGCGCTTTGCGGCCAAAGGCAGAAAAGGAAATATCTTCGTATAAAAACTAGACAGAATCATTCTCAGAAACTGCTGCGTGATGTATGCGTTCAACTCTCAGAGTTTAACTTTTCTTTTCATTCAGCGGTTTGGAAACACTCTGTTGTAAAGTCTGCACGTGGATATTTTGACCACTTAGAGGCCTTCGTTGGAAAGGGGTTTTTTTCATGTAAGGCTAGACAGAAGAATTCCCAGTAACTTCCTTGTGTTGTGTGCATTCAACTCACAGAGTTGAACGTTCCCTTAGACAGAGCAGATTTGAAACACTCTATTTGTGCAATTTGCAAGTGTAGATTTCAAGCGCTTTAAGGTCAATGGCACAAAAGGAAATATCTTCGTTTCAAAACTAGACAGAATCATTCCCACAAACTGCGTTGTGATGTGTTCGTTCAACTCACAGAGTTTAACCTTTCTGTTCATAGAGCAGTTAGGAAACACTCTGTTTGTAAAGTCTGCAAGTGGATATTCAGACCTCCTTGAGGCTTTCTTTGGAAACGGGATTTCTTCATATTCTGGTAGACAGAAGAATTCTCAGAAACTTCCTTGTGTTCTGTGTATTCAACTCACAGAGATGAACGATCCTTTACACAGAGCAGATTTGACACACTCTTTTTGTGGAATTTGCAAGTGGAGATTTCAGCCGCTTTGAGGTCCATGGTAGAAAAGGAAATATCTTCGTATAAAAACTAGACAGAATGATTCTCAGAAACTCCTTTGTGATGTGTGCGTTCAACTCACAGAGTTTAACTTTTCTGTTCATAGAGCAGTTAGGAAACACTCTGTTTGTAAAGTCTGCAAGTGGATATTCAGACCTCTTTGAGGCCTTCGTTGGAAACGGGATTTCTTCATATTATTCTAGACAGAAGAATTCCCAGTAACTTCCTTGTGTTGTGTGTGTTCAACTCACAGAGTTAAACTTCCATTTACACAGAGCAGATTTGAAACACTCTTTTTGTGGAATTTGCAAGTGGAGATTTCAAGCGCTTTGAGGCCAAAGGCAGAAAAGGAAATATCTTCGTTTCAAAACTAGACAGAAATCATTCTCAGAAACTGCTCTGCGATGTGTGCGTTCAACTCTCAGCAGTTTAACTTTTCTTTTCATTCAGCAGTTTGGAAACACTCTGTTTTTAAAGTCTGCACGTGGATAATTTGACCACTTAGAGGCCTTCGTTGGAAACGGGTTTTTTTCATGTAAGGCTAGACAGAAGAATTCTCAGTAACTTCCTTGTGTTGTGTGTATTCACCTCACAGAGTTGAACGATCCTTTACACAGAGCAGACTTGTAACACTCTTTTTGTGGAATTTGCAAGTGGAGATTTCAGCCGCTTTGAAGTCAAAGGCAGAAAAGGAAATATCTTCCTATAAAAACTAGACAGAATCATTCCCACAAACTGCGTTGTGATGTGTTCGTTCAACTCACAGAGTTTAACCTTTCTATTCATAGAGCAGTTAGGAAACACTCTGTTTGTAAAGTCTGCAAGTGGATATTCAGACCACCTTGAGGCCTTCGTTGGAAACGGGATTTCTTGATATTCTGCTAGACAGAAGATTTCTCAGTAACTTCCTTGTGTTGTGTGTATTCAACTCACAGAGTTGAACGATCCTTTACACAGAGCAGACTTGAAACACTCTTTTTGTGGAATTTGCAAGTGGAGATTTCAGCCGCTTTGAGGTCAATGGTAGAATAGGAAATATCTTCGTATAGAAACTAGACAGAATGATTCTCAGAAACTCCTTTGTGATGTGTGCGTTCAACTCACAGAGTTCAACCTTTCTTTTCATAGAGCAGTTGGGAAACACTCTGTTTGTAAAGTCTGCAAGTGGATATTCAGACTTCTTTGAGGCCTTCGTTGGAAGCGGGATTTCTTCATATTCTGCTAGAAAGAAGAATTCCCAGTAACTTCCCTTGTGTTGTGTGTGTTCAACTCACAGAGTTGAACTTTCATTTACACAGAGCAGATTTGAAACACTCTTTTTGTGGAATTTGCAGGTGGAGATTTCAAGCGCTTTGAGGCCAAAGGCAGAAAAGGAAATATCTTCGTATAAAAACTAGACAGAATCATTCTCAGAAACTGCTCTGCGATGTGTGCGTTCAACTCTCAGAGTTTAACTTTTCTTTTCATTCAGCAGTTTGGAAACACTCTGTTTGTAAAGTCTGCACGTGGATAACTTGACCACTTAGAGGCCTTCGTTGGAAACGGGTTTTTTTCCTGTAAGGCTAGACAGAAGAATTCCCAGTAACTTCCTTGTGTTGTGTGCATTCAACTCACAGAGTTGAACGTTCCCTTAGACAGAGCAGATTTGAAACACTCTATTTGTGCAATTTGCAAGTGTAGATTTCAAGCGCTTTAAGGTCAATGGCAGAAAAGGAAATATCTCCGTTTCAAAACTAGACAGAATCATTCCCACAAACTGCGTTGTGATGTGCTCGTTCAACTCACAGAGTTTAACCTTTCTGTTCATAGAGCAGTTAGGAAACACTCTGTTTGTAAAGTCTGTAAGTGGATATTCTGACATCTTGTGGCCTTCGTTGGAAACGGGATTTCTTCATATTCTGCTAGACAGAAGAATTCTCAATAACTTCCTTGTGTTGTGTGTATTCAACTCACAGAGTTGAACGATCCTTTACACAGAGCAGACTTGAAACACTCTTTTTGTGGAATTTGCAAGTGGAGATTTCAGCCGCTTTGAGGTCAATGGTAGAAAAGGGAATATCTTCGTATCGAAACTAGACAGAATGATTCTCAGAAACTCCTTTGTGATGTGTGCGTTCAACTCACAGAGTTTAACCTTTCTGTTCATAGAGCAGTTAGGAAACACTCTGTTTGTAAAGTCTGCAAGTGGATATTCAGACCTCCTTGGGGCCTTCGTTGGAAACGGGATTTCTTCATATTCTGCTAGACAGAAGAATTCCCAGTAACTTCCTTGTGTTGTGTGTGTTCAAATCACAGAGTTGAACTTTCATTTACACAGAGCAGATTTGAAACACTCTTTTTGTGGAATTTGCAAGTGGAGATTTCAAGCGCTTTGAGGCCAAAGGCAGAAAAGGAAATATCTTCGTTTCAAAACTAGACAGAATCATTCTCAGAAACTGCTCTGCGATGTGTGCGTTCAACTCTCAGAGTTTAACTTTTCTTTTCATTCAGCAGTTTGGAAACACTCTGTTTGTAAAGTCTGCACGTGGATAACTTGACCACTTAGAGGCCTTCGTTGGAACCGGGTTTTTTTCATGTAAGGCTAGACAGAAGAATTCCCAGTAACTTCCTTGTGTTGTGTGCATTCAACTCACAGAGTTGAACGTTCCCTTAGACAGAGCAGATTTGAAACACTCTATTTGTGCAATTTGCAAGTGTAGATTTCAAGCGCTTTAAGGTCAGTGGCAGAAAAGGAAATATCTTCGTTTCAAAACTAGACAGAATCATTCCCACAAACTGCGTTGTGATGTGTTCGTTCAACTCACAGAGTTTAACCTTTCTTTTCATAGAGCAGTTAGGAAACAGTCTGTTTGTCAATTCTGTAAGTGGATATTCTGACATCTTGTGGCCTTCGTTGGAAACGGGATTTCTTCATATTCTCCTAGACAGAAGAATTCTCAGTAACTTCCTTGTGTTGTGTGTATTCAACTCACAGAGTTGAACGATCCTTTACACAGAGCAGACTTGAAACACTCTTTTTGTGGAATTTGCAAGTGGAGATTTCAGCCACTTTGAGGTCAATGGTAGAAAAGGAAATATCTTCGTAGAAAAACTAGACAGAACGATTCTCAGAAACTCCTTTGTGATGTGAGCGTTCAACTCACACAGTTTAACCTTTCTTTTCTTAGAGCAGTTAGGAAACACTCTGTTTGTAAAGTCTGCAAGTGGATATTCAGACCTCTTTGAGGCCTTCGTTGGAAACGGGATTTCTTCGTATTCTGCTAGACAGAAGAATTCTCAGTAACTTCTTGGTGTTGTGTGTATTCAACTCACAGAGTTGAACGATGCTTTACACAGAGCAGACTTGAAACACTCTTTTTGTGGAATTTGCAAGTGGAGATTTCAGCCGCTTTGAGGTCCATGGTAGAAAAGGAAATATCTTCGTATAAAAACTAGACAGAATGATTCTCAGAAACTCCTTTGTGATGTGTGCGTTCAACTCACAGAGTTTAAACTTTCTTTTCATAGAGCAGTTAGGAAACACTCTGTTTGTAAAGTCTGCAGGTGGATATTCAGACATCATTGAGGCTTTCGTTGGAAAAGGGATTTCTTCATATTCTGCTAGACAGAGAATTCCCAGTAACTTCCTTGTGTTGTGTGTGTTCAACTCACAGAGTTGAACTTTCATTTACACAGAGCAGATTTGAAACACTCTTTTTGTGGAATTTGCAAGTGGAGATTTCAAGCGCTTTGAGGCCAAAGGCAGAAAAGGAAATATCTTCGTTTCAAAACTAGACAGAATCATTCTCAGAAACTGCTCTGCGATGTGTGCGTTCAACTCTCAGAGTTTAACTTTTCTTTTCATTCAGCAGTTTGGAAACACTCTGTTTGTAAAGTCTGCACGTGGATATTTTGACCACTTAGAGGCTTTCGTTGGAAACGGATTTTTTTCCTGTAAGGCTAGACAGAAGAATTCCCAGTAACTTCCTTGTGTTGTGTACATTCAACTCACAGAGTTGAACGTTCCCTTAGACAGAGCAGATTTGAAACACTCTTTTTGTGCAATTGGCAAGTGGAGATTTCAAGCGCTTTAAGGTCAATGGAAGAAAAGGAAATATCTTCGTTTCAAAACTAGACAGAATCATTCCCACAAACTGCGTTGTGATGTGTTCTTTCAACTCACTGAGTTTAACCTTTCTTTTCATAGAGCAGTTAGGAAACAATCTGTTTGTAAATTCTGTAAGTGGATATTCTGACATCTTGTGGCCTTCGTTGGTAACGGGATTTCTTCATATTCTGTTAGACAGAAGAATTCTCAGTAACTTCCTTGTGTTGTGTGTATTCAACTCACAGAGTTGAACGATTCTTTACACACAGCAGACTTGAAACACTCTTTTTGTGGAATTTGCAAGTGGAGATTTCAGCCGCTTTCAGGTCAATGGTAGAATAGGAAATATCTTCCTATAGAAACTAGACAGAATGATTCTCAGAAACTCCTTTGTGATGTGTGCGTTCAACTCACAGAGTTTTACCATTCTTTTCATAGAGCAGTTAGGAAACACTCTGTTTGTAAAGTCTGCAAGTGGATATTCAGACCTCTTTGAGGCCTTCGTTGGAAACGGGATTTCTTCATATTCTGCTAGAGAGAAGAATTCTCAGTAACTTCCTTGTGTTGTGTGTATTCAACTCACAGAGTTCAACGATCCTTTACACAGAGCAGACTTGAAACACTCTTTTTGTGGAATTTGCAAGTGGAGATTTCAGCCGCTTTGAAGTCAATGGTAGAAAAGGAAATATCTTCGTATAAAAAGTAGACAGAATGATTCTCAGAAACTCCTTTGTGATGTGTGCATTCAACTCACAGAGTTTAACCTTTCTTTTCATAGAGCAGTTAGGAAACACTCTGTTTGTAAAGTCTGCAACTGGATATTCAGACCTCCTTAAGGCCTTCGTTGGAAACGGGATTTCTTCATATTATGCTAGACAGAAGAATTCCCAGTAACTTCCCTTGTGTTGTGTGTGTTCAACTCACAGAGTTGAACTTTCATTTACACAGAGCAGATTTGAAACACTCTTTTTGTGGAATTTGCAAGTGGAGATTTCAAGCGCTTTGAGGTCAAAGGCAGAAAAGGAAATATCTTCGTATAAAAACTAGACAGAGTCTTTCTCAGAAACTGCTCTGTGATGTGTGCGTTCAACTCTCAGAGTTTAACTTTTCTTTTCATTCAGCAGTTTGGAAACACTCTGTTTGTAAAGTTTGCACGTGGACATTGTGACCACTTAGAGGCCTTCGTTGGAAACGGGTTTTTTTCATGTAAGGCTAGACAGAAGAATTCCCAATAACTTCCTTGTGTTGTGTGCACTCAAGTCACAGAGATGAATGTTCCCTTAGACAGAGCAGATTTGAAACACTCTATTTGTGCAATTTGCAAGTGTAGATTTCAAGCGCTTTAAGGTCAATGGCAGAAAAGGAAATATTTTCGTTTCAAAACTAGACAGAATGATTCTCAGAAACTCCTTTGTGATATGTGCGTTCAACTCACAGAGTTTAACCTTTCTTTTCATAGAGCAGTTAGGAAACACTCTGTTTGTAATGTCTGCAAGTGGATATTCAGACATCTTTGAGGCTTTCGTTGGAAACGGGATTTCTTCATATTCTGCTAGACAGAAGAATTCTCAGAAACTTCCTTGTGTTGTGTGTTTTCAACTCACAGAGTTGAACGATCCTTTACCACAGAGCAGACTTGAAACACTCTTTTTGTGGAATTTGCAAGTGGAGATTTCAGCCGCTTTGAGGTCAATGGTAGAAAAGGAAATATCTTCGTATAAAAACTAGACAGAATGATTCTCAGAAACTCCTTTGTGATGTGTGCGTTCAACACACAGAGTTAAACTTTTCTTTTCATAGAGCAGTTAGGAAACACTCTGTTTGTAAAGTCTGCAAGTGGATATTCAGACCTCTTTGAGGCCTTCGGTGGAAACGAGATTTCTTCATATTATGCTAGACAGAACAATTCTCAGTAACTTCCTTGTGTTGTGTGTATTCAACTCACAGAGTTGAACGATCCTTTACAGAGAGCACACTTGAAACACTCTTTTTGTGGAATTTGCAAGTGGAGATTTCAGCCGCTTTGAGGTCAATGGTAGAATAGGAAATATCTTCCAATAGAAACTAGACAGAATCATTCTCAGAAACTGCTCTGCGATGTGTGCGTTCAACTCTCAGAGTTTAACTTTTCTTTTCATTCAGCAGTTTGGAAACACTCTGTTTGTAAAGTCTGCACGTGGATAATTTGACCACTTAGAGGCCTTCGTTGGAAACGGGTTTTTTTCATGGAAGGCTAGACAGAAGAATTCCCAGTAACTTCCTTGTGTTGTGTACATTCAACTCACAGAGTTGAACGTTCCCTTAGACAGAGCAGATTTGAAACACTCTTTTTGTGCAATTGGCAAATGGAGATTTCAAGCGCTTTAAGGTCAATGGTAGAATAGGAAATATCTTCGTTTGAAAACTAGACAGAATCATTCCCACAAACTGCGTTGTGATTGTGTTCGTTCAACTCACAGAGTTTAACCTTTCTGTTCATAGAGCAGTTAGGAAACACTCTGTTTGTAAAGTCTATAAGTGGATATTCTGACATCTTGTGGCCTTCGTTGGAAACGGGATTTCTTCATATTCTGCTAGACAGAAGAATTCTCAGTAACTTCCTTGTGTTGTGTGTATTCAACTCACAGAGTTGAACGATACTTTACACAGAGCAGACTTGTAACACTCTTTTTGTGGAATTTGCAAGTGGAGATTTCAGCCGCTTTGAAGTCAAAGGTAGAAAAGGAAATATCTTCCTATAAAAACTAGACAGAATGATTCTCAGAAACTCCTTTGTGATGCGTGCGTTCAACTCACAGAGTTTAACCTTTCTTTTCATAGTGCAGTTAGGAAACACTCTGTTTGTAAAGTCTGCAAGTGGATATTCAGACCTCCTTGAGGCCTTCGTTGGAAACGGGATTTCTACATATTATGCTAGACAGAAGAATTCTCAGTAACTTCCTTGTGTTGTGAGTATTCAACTCACAGATTTGAACGATCCTTTACACAGAGCAGACTTGAAACAGTCTTTTTGTGGAATTTGCAAGTGGAGATTTCAGCCTCTTTGAGGTCAATGGTAGAATAGGAAATATCTTCCTATAGAAACTAGACAGAATCATTCTCAGAAACTGCTCTGCGATGTGTGCGTTCAACTCTCAGAGTTTAACTTTTCTTTTCATTCAGCAGTTTGGAAACACTCTGTTTGTAACGTCTGCACGTGAATAATTTGACCACTTAGAGGCCTTCGTTGGAAGCGGGTTTTTTTCATGTAAGGCTAGACAGAAGAATTCCCAGTAACTTCCTTGTGTTGTGTGCATTCAACTCACACAGTTGAACGTTCCCTTAGACAGAGCAGATTTGAAACACTCTATTTGTGCAATTTGCAAGTGTAGATTTCAAGCGCTTTAAGGTCAATGGCAGAAAAGGAAATTTCTTCGTTTCAAAACTAGACAGAATCATTCCCACAAACTGCGTTGTGATGTGTTCGTTCAACTCACAGAGTTTAACCTTTCTGTTCATAGAGCAGTTAGGAAACACTCTGTTTGTACAGTCTGCAAGTGGATATTCAGACCTCCTTGAGGCCTTCGTTGGAAACGGGATTTCTTCATATTCTGCTAGACAGAAGAATTCTCAGAATCTTCCTTGTGTTGGGTGTATTCAACTCACAGAGTTGAACGATCCTTTACACAGAGCAGACTTGAAACACTCTTTTTGTGGAATTTGCAAGTGGAGATTTCAGCCGCTTTGAGGTCCATGGTAGAAAAGGTAATATCTTCGTATAAAAACTAGACAGAATGATTCTCAGAAACTCCTTTGTGATGTGTGCGCTCAACTCACAGAGTTTAACCTTTCTTTTCATAGAGTAGTTAGGAAACACTCTGTTTGTAAAGTCTGCAAGTGGATATTCAGACCTCTTTGAGGCCTTCGTAGGAAACGGGATTTCTTCATATTATGCTAGACAGAAGAATTCCCAGTAACTTCCTTGTGTTGTGTGTGTTCAACTCACAGAGTTGAACTTTCATTTACACAGAGCAGATTTGAAACTCTCTTTTTGTGGAATTTGCAAATGGAGATTTCAAGCGCTTTGAGGTCAAAGGCAGAAAAGGAAATATCTTCGTATAAAAACTAGACAGAATCATTCTCAGAAACTGCTCTGCGATGTGTGCGTTCAACTCTCAGAGTTTAACTTTTCTTTTCATTCAGCAGTTTGGAAACACTCTGTTTGTAAAGTCTGCACGTGGATAATTTGACCACTTAGAGGCCTTCGTTGGAAACGGGTTTTTTTCATGTAAGGCTAGACGGAAGAATTCCCAGTAACTTCCTTGTGTTGTGTACATTCAACTCACAGAGTTGAACGTTCCCTTAGACAGAGCAGATTTGAAATACTCTTTTTGTGCAATTGGCAAGTGGAGATTTCAAGCGCTATAAGGTCAATGGCAGAAAAGGAAATATCTTCGTTTCAAAACTAGACAGAATCATTCCCACAAACTACGTTGTGATGTGTTCGTTCAACTCACAGAGTTTAACCTTTCTTTTCATAGAGCAGTTAGGAAACAGTCTGTTTGTAAATTCTGTAAGTGGATATTCTGACATCTTGTGGCCTTCGTTGGAAACGGGATTTCTTCATATTCTGCTAGACAGAAGAATTCTCAGAATCTTCCTTGTGTTGTGTGTATTCAACTCACAGAGTTGAACGACGGTTTACACAGAGCAGATTTGAAACACTCATTTGGTGGAATTTGCAAGTGGAGATTTCAGCCGCTTTGAGGTCAATGGTAGAAAAGGAAATATCTTCGTATAACAACTAGACAGAATGATTCTCAGAAACTCCTTTGTGATGTGTGTGTTCAACTCACAGAGTTTAACTTTTCTTTTCATAGAGCAGTTAGTAAACACTCTGTTTATAAAGTCTGCAAGTGGATATTCAGACCCCTTTGTGGCCTTCGTTGGAAACGGGATTTCTTCATATTATGCTAGACAGAAGAATTCTCAGTAACTTCCCTTGTGTTGTGTGTATTCAACTGACAGAGTTGAACTTTCATTTAGAGAGAGCAGTTTTGAAACACTGTTTTTGTGGAATTTGCAAGTGGAGATTTCAAGCGCTTTGGGGCCAAAGGCAGAAAAGGAAATATCTTCGTATAAAAACTAGACAGAATCATTCTCAGAAACTGCTCTGCGATGTGTGCGTTCAACTCTCAGAGTTTAACTTTTCTTTTCATTCAGCAGTTTGGAAACACTCTCTTTGTAAAGTCTGCACGTGGATATTTTGACCACTTAGAGGCATTCGTTGGAAACGGGTTTTTTTCCTGTAAGGCTAGACAGAAGAATTCCCAGTAACTTCCTTGTGTTGTGTGCATTCAACTCACAGAGTTGAACGTTCCCTTAGACAGAGCAGATTTGAAACACTCTATTTGTGCAATTTGCAAGTGTAGATTTCAAGCGCTTTAAGGTCAATGGCAGAAAAGGAAATATCTTCGTTCAAAACTAGACAGAATCATTCCCACAAACTGCGTTGTGATGTGTTCGTTCAACTCACAGAGATTAACCTTTCTGTTCATAGAGCAGTGAGGAAACACTCTGTTTGTAAAGTCTGTAAGTGGATATTCTGACATCTTGTGGCCTTCGTTGGAAACGGGATTTCTTCATATTCTGCTAGACAGAAGAATTCTCAGTAACTTCCTTGTGTTGTGTGTATTCAACTCACAGAGTTGAACGATCCTTTACACAGAGCATAGTTGAAACACTCTTGTTGTGGAATTTGCAAGTGGAGATTTCAGCCGCTTTGAGGTCAATGGTAGAATAGGAAATATCTTCCTATAGAAACTAGACAGAATGATTCTCAGAAACTCCTTTGTGATGTCTGCGTTCAACTCACAGAGTTAAACTTTCTTTTCATAGAGCAGTTAGGAAACACTCTGTTTGTAAAGTCTGCAAGTGGATATTCAGACCTCCTTGAGGCCTTCGTTGGAAAAGGGATTTCTTCATATTATGCTAGACAGAAGTATTCCCAGTAACTTCCTTGTGTTGTGTGTGTTCAACTCACAGAGTTGAACTTTCATTTACAATGAGCAGATTTGAAACACTCTTTTTGTGGAATTTGCAAGTGGAGATTTCAAGCGCTTTGAGGCCAAAGGCAGAAAAGGAAATATCTTCGTATAAAAACTAGACAGAATCATTCTCAGAAACTGCTCTGCGATGTGTGCGTTCAACTCTCAGAGTTTAACTTTTCTTTTCATTCAGCAGTTTGGAAACACTCTGTTTGTAAAGTCTGCACGTGGATATTTTGACCACTTAGAGGCCTTCGTTGGAAACGGGTTTTTTTCCTGTAAGGCTAGACAGAGAATTCCCAGTAACTTCCTTGTGTTGTGTGCATTCAACTCACAGAGTTGAACGTTCCCTTAGACAGAGCAGATTTGAAACACTCTGTGCAATTTGCAAGTGTAGATTTCAAGCGCTTTAAGGTCAATGGCAGAAAAGGAAATATCTTCGTTTCAAAACTAGACAGAATCATTCCCACAAACTGCGTTGTGATGTGTTCGTTCAACTCACAGAGTTTAACCTTTCTTTTCATAGAGCAGTTAGGAAACACTCTGTTGGTAAATTCTGTAAGTGGATATTCTGACATCTTGTGGCCTTCGTTGGAAACGGGATTTCTACATATTCTGCTAGACAGAAGAATTCTCAGTAACTTCCTTGTGTTGTGTGTATTCAACTCACAGAGTTGAAAGATCCTTTACACAGAGCAGACTTGAAACACTCTTTTTGTGGAATTTGCAAGTGGAGATTTCAGCCGCTTTGAGGTCAATGGTAGAAAAGGAAATATCTTCGTATAAAGACTAGACAGAATGATTCTCAGAAACTCCTTTGTGATGTGTGCGTTCAACTCACAGAGTTTAACCTTTCTTTTCATAGAGCAGTTAGGAAACACTCTGTTTGTAAAGTCTGCAAGTGGACATTCAGACCTCTTTGAGGCCTTCGTTGGAAACGGGTTTTTTTCATATAAGGCTAGACAGAAGAATTCTTAGTAACTTCCTTGTGTTGTGTGTATTCAACTCACAGAGTTGAATGATCCTTTACACAGAACAGTCTTGAAACACTCTTTTTGTGGAATTTGCAATTGGAGATTTCAGCCGCTTTGAGGTCAATGGTAGAATAGGAAATATCTTCCTATAGAAACTAGACAGAATGATTCTCAGAAACTCCTTTGTGATGTGTGTGTTCAACTCTCAGAATTTAACCTTTCTTTTCATAGAGCAGTTAGTAAACACTCTGTTTATAAAGTCTGCAAGTGGATATTCAGATCCCTTTGTGGCCTTCTTTGGAAACGGGATTTCTTCATATTATGCTAGACAGAAGAATTCTCAGTAACTTCCTTCTGTTGTGTGTATTCAACTGACAGAGTTGAACTTTCATTTAGAGAGAGCAGATTTGAAACACTGTTTTTGTGGAATTTGCAAGTGGAGATTTCAAGCGCTTTGGGGCCAAAGGAAGAAAAGGAAATATCTTCGTATAAAAACTAGACAGAATCATTCTCAGAAACTGCTCTGCGATGTGTGCGTTCAACTCTCAGAGTTTAACTTCGCTTTTCATTCAGCAGTTTGGAAACACTCTGTTTGTAAAGTCTGCACGTGGATAATTTGACCACTTAGAGGCCTTCGTTGGAAACGGGTTTTTTTCATGTAAGGCTAGACAGAAGAATTCTCAGTAACTTCCTTGTGTTGTGTGTATTCAACTCACACAGTTGAAGGATCCTTTACACAGAGCAGACTTGTAACACTCTTTTTGTGGAATTTGCAAGTGGAGATTTCAGCCGCTTTGAAGTCAAAGGTAGAAAAGGAAATATCTTCCTATAAAAACTAGACAGAATCATTCCCACAAACTGCGTTGTGATGTGTTCGTTCATCTCACAGAGTTTAACCTTTCTTTTCATAGAGCAGTTAGGAAACAGTCTGTTTGAAAATTCTGTAAGTGGATATTCTGACATCTTGTGGCCTTCGTTGGAAACGGGATTTCTTCATATTCTGCTAGACAGAAGAATTCTCAGTAACTTCCCTTGTGTTGTGTGTATTCAACTCACAGAGTTGAACGATCCTTTACACAGAGCAGACTTGTAACACTCTTTTTGTGGAATTTGCAAGTGGAGATTTCAGCCGCTTTGAAGTCAAAGGCAGAAAAGGAAATGTCTTCGTTTCAAAACTAGACAGAATGATTCTCAGAAACTCCTTTGTGATGTGTGCGTTCAACTCAAAGAGTTTAACCTTTCTTTTCACAGAGCAGTTAGGAAACACTCTGTTTGTAAAGTCTGCAAGTGGATATTCAGACCTCCTTGAAGCCTTCGTTGGAAAAGGGATTTCTTCATATTATGCTAGACAGAAGAATTCCCAGTAACTTCCTTGTGTTGTGTGTGTTCAACTCACAGAGTTGAACTTTCATTTACACAGAGCAGATTTGAAACACTCTTTTTGTGGAATTTGCAAGTGGAGATTTCAAGCGCTTTGAGGCCAAGAGGCGAGAAAAGGAAATATCTTCGTTTCAAAACTAGACAGAATCATTCTCAGAAACTGCTCTGCGATGTGTGCGTTCAACTCTCAGAGTTTAACTTTGCTTTTCATTTAGCAGTTTGGAAACACTCTGTTTGTAAAGTCTGCACGTGGATATTTTGACCACTTAGAGGCCTTCGTTGTAAACGGGTTTCTTTCCTGTAAGGCTAGACAGAAGAATTCCCAGTAACTTCCTTGTGTTGTGTGCATTCAACTCACAGAGTTGAACGTTCCCTAGACGGAGCAGATTTGAAACACTCTATTTGTGCAATTTGCAAGTGTAGATTTCAAGGGCTTTAAGGTCAATGGCAGAAAAGGGAATATCTTCGTTTCAAAACTAGACAGAATGATTCTCAGAAACTACTTTGTGATGTGTGCGTTCAACTCACAGAGTTTAACCTTTCTTTTCATAGAGCAGTTAGGAAACACTCTGTTTGTAAAGTCTGCAAGTGGATATTCAGACCTCTTTGAGGCCTTCGTTGGAAACGGAATTTCTTCATACTGTGCTAGACAGAAGAATTCTCAGTAACTTCCTTGTGTTGTGTGTATTCAACTCACAGAGTTGAACGATCCTTTACACAGAGCGGACTTGAAACACACTTTTTGTGGAATTTGCAAGTGGAGATTTCAAGCGCTTTGAGGCCAAAGGCAGAAAAGGAAATATCTTCGTATAAAAACTAGACAGAATGATTCTCAGAAACTCCTTTGTGATGTGTGCGTTTAACTCACAGAGTTTAACCTTTCTCTTCATAGAGCAGTTTGGAAACACTCTGTTTGTAAAGTCTGCAAGTGGATATTCAGACCTCCTTGAGGTCTTCGTTGGAAACGGGATTTCTTCATATTATGCTAGACAGAAGAATTCTCAGTAACTTCCTTGTGTTGTGTGTATTCAACTGACAGAGTTGAACTTTCATTTAGAGAGAGCAGATTTGATACACTGTTTTTGTGGAATTTGCAAGTGGAGATTTCAAGCGCTTTGCGGCCAAAGGCAGAAAAGGAAATATCTTCGTATAAAAACTAGACAGAATCATTCTGAGAAACTGCTCTGCGATGTGTGCGTTCAACTCTCAGAGTTTAACTTTTCTTTTCATTCAGCAGTTTGGAAACACTCTGTTTGTAAAGTCTGCACGTGGATATTTTGACCACTTAGAGGCCTTCGTTGGAAACGGGTTTTTTTCCTGTAAGGCTAGACAGAAGAATTCCCAGTAACTTCCTTGTGTTGTGTACATTCAACTCACATAGTTGAACGTTCCCTTAGACAGAGCAGATTTGAAACACTCTTTTTGTGCAATTGGCAAATGGAGATTTCAAGCGCTTTAAGGTCAATGGCAGAAAAGGAAATATCTTCGTTTCAAAACTAGACAGAATGATTCTCAGAAACTCCTTTGTGATGTGTGCATTCAACTCACAGAGTTTAACCTTTCTTTTCATAGAGCAGTTAGGAAACACTCTGTTTGTAAAGTCTGCAAGTGGATATTCAGACCTCTTTGAGGCCTTCGTTGGAAACGGGATTTCTTCATATTCTGCTAGACAGAAGAATTCTCAGTAACTTCCTTGTGTTGTGTGTATTGAACTCGCAGAGTTGAACGATCCTTTACACAGAGCAGACTTGAAACACTCTTTTTGTGGAATTTGCAAGTGGAGATTTCAGCCGCTTTGAGGTCAATAGTAGAAAAGGAAATATCTTCGTAGAAAAACTAGACAGAATGATTCTCAGAATCTCCTTTGTAATGTGTGCGTTCAACTCACAGAGTTTAACCTTTCTTTTCATAAAGCAGTTAGGAAACACTCTGTTTGTAATGTCTGCAAGTGGATATTCAGACCTCTTTGAGGCCTTCGTTGGAAACGGGATTTCTTCATATTCTGCTAGACAGAAGAATTCCCAGTAACTTCTTTGTGTTGTGTGTGTTCAACTCACAGAGTTGAACTTTCATTTACACAGAGCAGATTTGAAACACTCTTTTTGTGGAATTTGCAAGTGGAGATTTCAAGCGCTTTGAGGCCAAAGGCAGAAAAGGAAATATCTTCGTATAAAAACTGGACAGAATCATTCTCAGAAACTGCTCTGCGATGTGTGCGTTCAACTCTCAGAGTTTAACTTTTCTTTTCATTCAGCAGTTTGGAAACACTCTGTTTGTAAAGTCTGCACGTGGATAATTTGACCACTTGGAGGCCTTCTTTGGAAACGGGTTTTTTTCCTGTAAGGCTAGACAGAAGAATTCCCAGTAACTTCCTTGTGTTGTGTGCATTCAACTCACAGAGTTGAAAGTTCCCTTAGACAGAGCAGATTTGAAACACTCTATTTGTGCAATTTGCAAGTGTAGATTTCAAGCGCTTTAAGGTCAACGGCAGAAAAGGAAATATCTTGGTTTCAAAACTAGACAGAATGATTCTCAGAATCTTCTTTGTGATGTGTGCGTTCAACTCACAGAGTTTAACCTTTCTTTTCATAGAGCAGTTAGGAAACACTCTGTTTGTAAACTCTGCAAGTGGATATTCAGACCTCTTTGAGGCCTTCGTTGGAAACGGGATTTCTTCATACTGTGCTATACAGAAGAATTCTCAGTAACTTCCTTGTGTTGTGTGTATTCAACTCACAGAGTTGAACGACCCTTTACACAGAGCGGACTTGAAACACTCTTTTTGTGGAATTTGCAAGTGGAGATTTCAGCCGCGTTGAGGTCAATGGTAGAAAAGGAAATATCTTCGTATAAAAACTAGACAGAATGATTCTCAGAAACTTCATTGTGATGTGTGCGTTCAACTCACAGAGTTTAACCTTTCTTTTCATAGAGCAGTTAGGAAACACTCTGTTTGTAAACTCTGCAAGTGGATATTCAGACCACTTTGAGGCCTTCGTTGGAAACGGGATTTCTCCATACTGTGCTAGACAGAAGAATTCTCAGTAACTTCCTTGTGTTGTGTGTATTCAACTCACAGAGTTGAACGATGCTTTACACAGAGCGGACTTGAAACACTCGTTTTGTGGAATTTGCAAGTGGAGATTTCAGCCGATTTGAGGTCAATGGTAGAAAAGGAAATATCTTCGTATAAAAACTAGACAGAATGATTCTCATAAACTCCTTTGTGATGTGTATGTTCAACTCACAGAGTTTAACTTTTCTATTCATAGAGTAGTTAGGAAACACTCTGTTTGTAAAGTCTGCAAGTGGATATTTTGACCTCTTTGAGGCCTCCGTTGGAAACGGGTTTTCTTCATGTAAGGCTAGACAGAAGAATTCTCAGTAACTTCCTTCTGTTGTGTACATTCAACTCACAGAGTTGAACGTTCCCTTAGACAGAGCAGATTTGAAACACTCTTTTTGTGCAATTGGCAAGTGGAGATTTCAAGCGCTTTAAGGTCAATGGCAGAAAAGGAAATATCTTCGTTTCAAAACGAGACAGAATCATTCTCAGAAACTGCTCTGCGATGTGTGCGTTCAACTCTCAGAGTTTAACTTTTCTTTTCATTCAGCAGTTTGGAAACACTCTGTTTGTAAAGTCTGCACGTGGATAATTTGACCACTTAGAGGCCTTCTTTGGAAACGGGTTTTTTTCATGTAAGGCTAGACAGAAGAATTCTCAGTAACTTTCCTTGTGTTGTGTGTATTCAACTCACAGAGTTGAACGATCCTTTACACAGAGCAGACTTGTAACACTCTTTTTGTGGAATTTGCAAGTGGAGATTTCTGCCGCTTTGAAGTCAAAGGTAGAAAAGGAAATATCTTCCTATAAAAACTAGACAGAATGATTCTGAGAAACTCCTTTGTGATGTGTGCATTCAACTCACAGAGTTTAACCTTTCTTTTCATAGAGCAGTTAGGAAACACTCTGTTTGTAAAGTCTGCAAGTGGATATTCAGACCTCCTTGAGGCCTTCGTTGGAAACGGGATTTAATCATATTCTGCTAGACAGAAGAATTCTCAGTAACTTCCTTTTGTTGTGTGTATTCAACTCACAGAGTTGAATGATCCTTTACACAGAGCAGACTTGAAACACTCTTTTTGTGGAATTTGCAAGTGGAGATTTCAGCCGCTTTGAGTTCAATGGTAGAATAGGAAATATCTTCCTATAGAAACTAGACAGAATCATTCTCAGAAGCTGCTCTGCGATGTGTGCGTTCAACTCTCAGAGTTTAACTTTTCTTTTCATTCAGCAGTTTGGAAACACTCTGTTTGTAAAGTCTGCACGTGGATAATTTGACCACTTAGAGGCCTTCGTTGGAAACGGGTTTTTTTCATGTAAGGCTAGACAGAAGAGTTCTCAGTAACTTCCCTTGTGTTGTGTGTATTCAACTCACACAGTTGAACGATCCTTTACAGAGAGCAGACTTGTAACACTCTTTTTGTGGAATTTGCAAGTGGAGATTTCAGCCGCTTTGAAGTCAAAGTAGAAAAGGAAATATCTTCCTATAAAAACTAGACAGAATCATTCCCACAAACTGCGTTGTGATGTGTTCGTTCAACTCACAGAGTTTAACCTTTCTTTTCATAGAGCATTTAGGAAACACTCTGTTTGTAAAGTCTGCAAGTGGATATTCAGACCTCTTTGAGGCCTTCGTTGGAAACGGGTTTTTTTCATATAAGGCTAGACAGAAGAATTCTCAGAAACTTCCTTGTGTTGTGTGTCTTCAACTCACAGAGTTGAACGATCCTTTACACATAGCAGACTTGAAACACACTTTTTTTGGTATTTTCAAGTGGAGATTTCAGCCGCTTTGAGGTCAATGGTAGAAAAGGAAATATCTTCGTATAAAGACTAGACAGAATGATTCTCAGAAACTCCTTTGTGATGTGTGCGTTGAACTCACAGAGTTTAACGTTTCTTTTCATAGAGCAGTTAGGAAACACTCTGTTTGTAAAGTCTGCAAGGGGATATTCAGACCTCTCTGAGGCCTTCGTTGGAAACGGGATTTCTTCATATTCTGCTTCACAGAAGAATTCTCAGTAACTTCCTTGTGTTGTGTGTATTCAACTGACAGAGTTGAACTTTCATTTAGACAGAGCAGATTTGAAAAGCTCTTTATGTGGAATTTGCAATTGGAGATTTCAAGCGCTTTGAGGCCAAAGACAGAAAAGGAAATATCTTCGTATAAAAACTAGACAGAATCATTCTCAGAAACTGCTCTGCGATGTGTGCGTTCAACTCTCAGAGTTTAACTTTTCTTTTCATTCAGCAGTTTGGAAACACTCTGTTTGTAAAGTCTGCACGTGGATAACTTGACCACTTAGAGGCCTTCGTTGGAAACGGGTTTTTTTCATGTAAGGCTAGACAGAAGAATTCCCAGTAACTTCCTTGTGTTGTGTGCATTCAACTCACAGAGTTGAACGTTCCCTTAGACAGAGCAGATTTGCAACACTCTATTTGTGCAATTTGCAAGTGTAGATTTCAAGCGCTTTAAGGTCAATGGCAGAAAAGGAAATATCTTCGTTTCAAAACTAGACAGAATCATTCCCACAAACTGCGTTGTGATGTGTTCGTTCAACTCACAGAGTTTAACCTTTCCGTTCATAGAGCAGTTAGGAAACACACTGTTTGTAAAGTCTGTAAGTGGATACTCTGACATCTTGTGGCCTTCGTTGGAAACGGGATTTCTTCATATTCTGCTAGACAGAAGAATTCTCAGTAACTTCCTTGTTTTGTGTGTATTCAACTCACAGAGTTGAACGATCCTTTACACAGAGCATACTTGAAACACTCTTCTTGTGGAATTTGCAAGTGGAGATTTCAACCGCTTTGAGGTCAATGGTAGAATAGGAAATATCTTCCTATAGAAACTAGACAGAATGATTCTCAGAAACTTCTTTGTGATGTGTGCGTTCAACTCACAGAGTTTAACCTTTCTTTTCATAGAGCAGTTAGGAAACACTTTGTTTGTAAAGTCTGCAAGTGGATATTCAGACCTCTTTGAGGCCTTCGTTGGAAACGGGATTTCTTCATACTATGCTAGACAGAAGAATTCCCAGTAACTTCCTTGTGTTGTGTGTGTTCAACTCACAGAGTTGAACTTTCATTTACACAGAGCAGATTTGAAACACTCTTTTTGTGGAATTTGCAAATGGAGATTTCAAGCGCTTTGAGGTCAAAGGCAGAAAAGAAAATATCTTCGTATAAAAACTAGACAGAATCATTCTCAGAAACTGCTGCGTGATGTGTGCGTTCAACTCTCAGAGTTTAACTTTTCTTTTCATTCAGCGGTTTGGAAACACTCTGTCTGTAAAGTCTGCACGTGGATATTTTGACCACTTAGAGGCCTTCGTTGGAAACGGGTTTTTTTCATGTAAGGCTAGACAGAAGAATTCCCAGTAACTTCCTTGTGTTGTGTGCATTCAACTCACAGAGCTGAACATTCCCTTGACAGAGCAGATTTGAAACACTCTATTTGTGCAATTTGCAAGTGTAGATTTCAAGCGCTTTAAGGTCAATGGCAGAAAAGGAAATATCTTCGTTTCAAAACTAGACAGAATGATTCTCAGAAACTCCTTTGTGATGTGTGCGTTCAGCTAACAGAGTTTAACCTTTCTTTTCATAGAGCAGTTCGGAAACACTCTGTTTGTAAAGTCTGCAAGTGGATATTCAGACCTCTTTGAGGCCTTCGTTGGAAACGGGATTTCTTCATATTCTGCTAGACAGAAGAATTCTCAGTAACTTCCTTGTGTTGTGTGTATTCAACTCACAGAGTTGAACGATTCTTTACACAGAGCAGACCTGAAACACTCTTTTTGTGGAATTTGCAAGTGGAGATTTCAGCCGCTTTGAGGTCAATGGTACAAAAGGAAATATCTTCGTATAAAGACTAGACAGAATGATTCTCAGAAACTCCTTTGTGATGTGTGTGTTCAACTCACAGAGCTTAACCTTTCTTTTCATAGAGCAGTTAGTAAACACTCTGTTTATAAAGTCTGCAAGTGGATATTCAGACCCCTTTGAGGCCTTCGTTGGAAGCGGGATTTCTTCATATTATGCTAGACAGAAGAATTCTCAGTAACTTCCTTGTGTTGTGTGTATTCAACTGACAGAGTTGAACTTTTATTTAGAGAGAGCAGATTTGAAACACTGTTTTTGTGGAATTTGCAAGTGGAGATTTCAAGCGCTATGGGGCCAAAGGCAGAAAAGGAAATATCTTTGTATAAAAACTAGACAGAATGATTCTCAGAAACTGCTGCGTGATGTGTGCGTTCAACTCTCAGAGTTTAACTTTTCTTTTCATTCAGCGGTTTGGAAACACTCTGTTTGTAAAGTCTGCACGTGGATATTTTGACCACTTAGAGGCCTTCGTTGGAAACGGGTATTTTTCATGTAAGGCTAGACAGAAGAATTCCCAGTAACTTTCCTTGTGTTGTGTACATTCAACTCACAGAGTTGAACGTTCCCTTAGACAGAGCAGATTTGAAACACTCTTTTTGTGCAATTGGCAAGTGGTGATTTCAGCCGCTTTGAGGTCAATGGTAGAAAAGGAAATATCTTCGTATAAAAACTAGACAGAATCATTCCCACAAACTGCGTTGTGATGTGTTCGTTCAACTCACAGAGTTTAACCTTTCTTTTCATAGAGCAGTTAGGAAACAGTCTGTTTGTCAATTCTTTAAGTGGATATTCTGACATCTTGTGGCCTTCGTTGGAAACGGGATTTCTTCATATTCTGCTAGACAGAAGAATTCTCAGAATCTTCCTTGTGTTGTGTGTATTCAACTCACAGAGTTGAACGATCCTTTACACAGAGCAGACTTGAAACACTCTTTTTGTGCAATTTGCAAGTGGAGATTTCAACCGCTTTGAGGTCCATGGTAGAAAAGGAAATATCTTCGTATAAAAACTAGACAGAATGATTCTCAGAAACTCCTTTGTGATGTGTGCGTTCAACTCACAGAGTTTAACCTTTCTTTTCATAGAGCAGTTAGGAAACACTCTGTTTGTAAAGTCTGCAAGTGGATATTCAGACCTCCTTGACGCCTTCGTTGGAAACGGGATTTCTTCATATTATGCTAGACAGAAGAATTCTCAGTAACTTCCTTGTGTTGGGTGTATTCAACTGACAGAGTTGAACTTTCCTTTAGACAGATCAGATTTGAAACACTCTTTTTGTGGAATTTGCAAGGTGAGATTTCAACCGCTTTGAGGCCAAAGGCAGAAAAGGAAATATCTTCCTTTAAAAACTAGACAGAATCATTCTCAGAAACTGCTCTGTGATGTGTGCGTTCAACTCTCAGAGTTTAACTTTTCTGTTCATTCAGCAGTTTGTAAACACTCTGTTTGTAAAGTCTCCACGTGGATATTTTGACCACTTAGAGGCCTTCGTTGGAAACGGGTTTTTTTCATGTAAGGCTAGACAGAAGAATTCCCAGTAACTTCCTTGTGTTGTGTGCATTCAACTCACAGAGTTGAACGTTCCCTTAGACAGAGCAGATTTGAAACACTCTATTTGTGCAATTTGCAAGTGTAGATTTCAAGCGCTTTAAGGTCAACGGCAGAAAAGGAAATATCTTGGTTTCAAAACTAGACAGAATGATTCTCAGAAACTTCTTTGTGATGTCTGCGTTCAACTCACAGAGTTTAACATTTCTTTTCATAGAGCAGTTAGGAAACACTCTGTTTGTAAAGTCTGCAATTGGATATTCAGACCTCTTTGAGGCCTTCGTTGGAAACGGGATTTCTTCATACTATGCTAGACAGAAGAATTCTCAGTAACTTCCTTGTGTTGTGTGTATTCAACTCACAGAGTTGAACGATCCTTTACACAGAGCAGACTTGTAACACTCTTTTTGTGGAATTTGTAAGTGGAGATTTCAGCCGCTTTGAAGTCAAAGGTAGAAAAGGAAATATCTTCCTATAAAAACTAGACAGAATGATTCTCACAAACTCCTTTGTGATGTGTGCGTTCAACTCACAGAGTTTAACCTTTCTTTTCATAGAGCAGTTAGGAAACACTCTGTTTGTAAAGTCTGCAAGTGGATATTCAGACATCTTTGAGGCCTTCGTTGGAAACGGGATTTCTTCATGTTCTGCTAGACAGAAGAATTCTCAGTAACTTCCTTGTGTTGTGTGTATTCAACTCACAGAGTTGAACGATCCTTTACACAGAGCAGACTTGTAACACTCTTTTTGTGGAATTTGCAAGTGGAGATTTCTGCCGCTTTGAGGTCAATGGTAGAAAAGGAAATATCTTCCTATAAAAACTACACAGAATGATTCTCAGAAACTCCTTTGTGATGTGTGCGTTCAACTCACAGAGTTTAACTTTTCTTTTCATAGAGCAGTTAGCAAACACTCTGTTTGTAAATTCTGCAAGTGGATATTCAGACCTCTTTGAGGCCTTCGTTGGAATCGGGATTTCTTCAAATTCTGCTAGGCAGAAGAATTCCCAGTAACTTCCTTGTGTTGTGTGTGTTCAACTCACAGAGTTGAACTTTGATTTACACAGAGCAGATTTGAAACACTCTTTTTGTGGAATTTGCAAGTGGAGATTTCAAGCGCTTTGAGGCCAGAGGCAGAAAAGGAAATATCTTCGTATAAAAACTAGACAGAATCATTCTCAGAAACTGCTCTGCGATGTGTGCGTTCAACTCTCAGAGTTTAACTTTTCTTTTCATTCAGCAGTTTGGAAACACTCCGTTTGTAAAGTCTGCACGTGGATATTTTGACCACTTAGAGGCCTTCGTTGGAAACGGGTTTTTTTCCTGTAAGGCTAGACAGAAGAATTCCCAGTAACTTCCTTGTGTTGTGTACATTCAACTCACAGAGTTGAACGTTCCCTTAGACAGAGCAGATTTGAAACACTCTTTTTGTGCAATTGGCAAATGGAGATTTCAAGCGCTTTAAGTTCAATGGCAGAAAAGGAAATATCTTCGTTTCAAAACTAGACAGAATCATTCCCACAAACTGCGTTGTGATGTGTTCGTTCAACTCACAGAGTTTAACCTTTCTGTTCATAGAGCAGTTAGGAAACACTCTGTTTGTAAAGTCTGACAGTGGATATTCTGACATCTTGTGGCCTTCGTTGGAAACAGGATTTCTTCATATTCTGCTAGACAGAAGAATTCTCAGTAACTTCCTTGTGTTGTGTGTATTCAACTCACAGAGTTTAATGATCCTTTACGCAGAGCAGACTTGAAACAATCTTTTTGTGGAATTTGCAAGTGGAGATTTCAGCCGCTTTGATGTCAATGGTAGAATAGGAAATATCTTCCTATAGAAACTAGACAGAATGATTCTCAGAAACTCCTTTGTGATGTGTGCGTTCAACTCACAGAGTTTAACCTTTCTTTTCATAGAGCAGTTAGGAAACACTCTGTTTGTAATGTCTGCAAGTGGATATTCAGACCTCTTTGAGGCCTTTGTTGGAAACGGGATTTCTTCATATTGTGCTAGACAGAAGAATTCCCAGTAACTTCCTTGTGTTGTGTGTGTTCAACTCACAGAGTTGAACTTTCATTTACACAGAGCAGATTTGAAACACTCTTTTTGTGGAATTTGCAAATGGAGGTTTCAAGCGCTTTGAGGCCAAAGGCAGAAAAGGAAATATCTTCGTATAAAAACTAGACAGAACCATGCTGAGAAACTGCTCTGCGATGTGTGCGTTCAACTCTCAGAGTTTAACTTTTCTTTTCATTCAGCAGTTTGGAAACACTCTGTTTGTAAAGTCTGCACGTGGATAACTTGACCACTTAGAGGCCTTCGTTGGAAACGGGTTTTTTTCATGTAAGGCTAGACAGAAGAATTCCCAGTAACTTCCTTGTGTTGTGTACATTCAACTCACAGAGTTGAACGTTCCCTTAGACAGAGCAGATTTGAAACACTCTTTTTGTGCAATTGGCAAATGGAGATTTCAAGCGCTTTAAGTTCAATGGCAGAAAAGGAAATATCTTCGTTTCAAAACTAGACAGAATCATTCCCACAAACTGCGTTGCGATGTGTTCGTTCAACTCACAGAGTTTAACATTTCTTTTCATAGAGCACTTAGGAAACAGTCTGTTTGTAAATTCTGTAAGTGGATATTCTGACATCTTGTGGCCTTCGTTGGAAACAGGATTTCTTCATATTCTGCTAGACAGAAGAATTCCCATTAACTTCCTTGTGTTGTGTGTGTTCAACTCACAGAGTTGAACTTTCATTTACACAGAGCAGATTTGAAACACTCTTTTTGTGGAATTTGCAAATGGAGATTTCAGCCGCGTTGAGGTCAATGGTAGAAAAGGAAATATCTTCGTTTCAAAACTAGACAGAATGATTCTCAGAAACTCCTTTGTGATGTGTGCGTTCAACTCACAGAGTTTAACCTTTCTTTTCATAGAGCAGTTAGGAAACACTCTGTTTGTAAAGTCTGCAAGTGGATATTCAGACCTCTTTGAGGCCTTCGATGGAAACGGGTTTTTTTCATATAAGGCTAGACAGAAGAATTCCCAGTAACTTCCTTGTGTTGTGTGTGTTCAACTCACAGAGTTGAACTTTCATTTACACAGAGCAGATTTGAAACACTCTTTTTGTGGAATTTGCAAATGGAGATTTCAAGCGCTTTGAGGCCAAAGGCAGAAAAGGAAATGTCTACGTTTCAAAACTAGACAGAATCATTCTCAGAAACTGCTGCTTGATGTGTGCGTTCAACTCTCAGAGTTTAACTTTTCTTTTCATTCAGCGGTTTGGAAACACTCTGTTTGTAAAGTCTGCACGTGGATATTTTGACCACTTAGAGGCCTTCGTTGGAAACGGGTTTTTTTCATGTAAGGCTAGACAGAAGAATTCCCAGTAACTTCCTTGTGTTGTGTACATTCAACTCACAGAGTTGAACGTTCCCTTAGACAGAGCAGATTTGAAACACTCTTTTTGTGCAATTGGCAAGTGGAGATTTCAAGCGCTTTAAGGTCAATGGCAGAAAAGGAAATATCTTCGTTTCAAAACTACACAGAATGATTCTCAGAAACTTCATTGTGATGTGTGCGTTCAACTCACAGAGTTTAACCTTTCTTTTCATAGAGCAGTTGGGAAACAGTCTGTTTGTAAATTCTATAAGTGGATATTCTGACATCTTGTGGCCTTCGTTGGAAACGGGATTTCTTCATATTCTGCTAGACAGAAGAATTCTCAGTAACTTCGTTGTGTTGTGTGTATTCAACTCACAGAGTTGAACGATCCTTTACACAGAGCAGACTTGAAACACGCTTTTTGTGGAATTTGCAAGTGGAGATTTCAGCCGCTTTGAGGTCAATGGTAGAAAAGGAAATATCTTCGTATAAAGACTAGACAGAATGATTCTCAGAAAATCTTTTGTGATGTGTGCGTTCAACTCACAGAGTTTAACTTTTCTTCTCATAGAGCAGTTAGGAAATACTCTGTTTGTAAAGTCTGCAAGTGGATATTCAGACCTCTTTGAGGCCTTCGTTGGAAACGGGATTTCTTCATATTATGCTAGACAGAAGAATTCTCAGTAACTTCCTTGTGTTGTGTGTATTCAACTGACAGCGTTGAACTTTCATTTAGAGAGAGCAGATTTGAAACACTGTTTTTGTGGAATTTGCAAGTGGAGATTTCAAGCGCTTTGGGGCCAAAGGCTGAAAAGGAAATATCTTCGTATAAAAACTAGACAGAAATCATTCTCAGAAACTGCTGCGTGATGTGTGCGTTCAACCCTCAGAGTTTAACTTTTCTTTTCATTCAGCGGTTTGGAAACACTCTGTTTGTAAAGTCTGCACGTGGATATTTTGACCACTTAGAGGCCTTCGTTGGAAACGGGATTTTTTCATGTAAGGCTAGACAGAAGAATTCCCAGTAACTTCCTTGTGTTGTGTGCATTCAACTCACAGAGTTGAACGTTCCCTTAGACAGAGCAGATTTGAAACACTCTATTTGTGCAATTTGCAAGTGTAGTTTTCAAGCTCTTTAAGGTCAACGGCAGAAAAGGAAATATCTTGGTTTCAAAACTAGACAGAATCATTCCCACAAACTGCGTTGTGATGTGTTCGTTCAACTCACAGAGTTTAACCTTTCTGTTCATAGAGCAGTTAGGAAACACTCTGTTTGTAAAGTCTGCAAGTGGATATTCTGACATCTTGTGGCCTTCGTTGGAAACGGGATTTCTTCATATTCTGCTAGACAGAAGAATTCTCAGTAACTTCCTTGTGTTGTGTGTATTCAACTCACAGAGTTGAACGATCCTTTACACAGAGCAGACTTGAAACACTCCTTTTGTGGAATTTGCAAGTGGAGATTTCAGCCGCTTTGAGGTCAAAGGTAGAATAGGAAATATCTTCCTATAGAAACTAGACAGAATGATTCTCAGAAACTCCTTTGTGATGTGTGTGTTCAACTCACAGAGTTTAACCTTTCTTTTCATAGAGCAGTTAGGAAACACTCTGTTTGTAAAGTCTGCAAGTGGATATTCAGACCCCTTTGAGGCCTTCGTTGGAAACGGGATTTCTTCATATTATGCTAGACAGAAGAATTCTCAGTAACTTCCTTCTGTTGTGTGTATTCAACTGACAGAGTTGAACTTTCATTTAGAGAGAGCAGATTTGAAACACTGTTTTTGTGGAATTTGCAAATGGAGATTTCAAGCGCTTTGGTGCCAAAGGCAGAAAAGGAAATATCTTCGTATAAAAACTAGACAGAATCATTCTCAGAAACTGCTGCGTGATGCGTGCGTTCAACTCTCAGAGTTTAACTTTTCTTTTCATTCAGCGGTTTGGAAACACTCTGTTTGTAAAGTCTGCAAGTGGATATTCAGACCTCTTTGAGGCCTTCGTTGGAAACGGGATTTCTTCCTATTATGCTCAACAGAAGAATTCCCAGTAACTTCCTTGTGTTGTGTGCATTCAACTCACAGAGTTGAACGTTCCCTTAGACAGAGCAGATTTGAAACACTCTCTTTGTGCAATTTGCAAGTGTAGATTTCAAGCGCTTTATGGTCAACGGCAGAAAAGGAAATATCTTCGTTTCAAAACTAGACAGAATCATTCCCACAAACTGCGTAGTGATGTGTTCGTTCAACTCACAGAGTTTAACCTTTCTTTTCATAGAGCAGTTAGGAAACAGTCTGTTTGTCAATTCTGTAAGTGGATATTCTGACATCTTGTGGCCTTAGTTGGAAACGGGATTTCTTCATATTCTGCTAGACAGAAGAATTCCCAGTAACTTCCTTGTGTTGTGTGTATTCAACTCACAGAGTTGAAAGATCCTTTACACAGAGCAGACTTGTAACACTCTTTTTGTGGAATTTGCAAGTGGAGATTTCAGCCGCTTTGAAGTCAAAGGTAGAAAAGGAAATATCTTCCTATAAAAACTAGACAGAATGATTCTCAGAAACTCCTTTGTGATGTGTGCGTTCAACCCACAGAGTTTAACCTTTCTTTTCATAGAGCAGTTAGGAAACACTCTGTTTGTAAAGTCTGCAAGTGGATATTCAGACCTCTTTGAGGCCTTCGTTGGAAAAGGGATTTCTTCATATTCTGCTGGACAGAAGAATTCCCCGTAACTTCCTTGTGTTGTGTGTGTTCAACTCACAGAGTTGAACTTTCATTTACACAGAGCAGATTTGAAACACTCTTTTTGTGGAATTTGCAAGTGGAGATTTCAAGCGCTTTGAGGCCAAAGGCAGAAAAGGAAATATCTTCGTATAAAAACTAGACAGAATCATTCTCAGAAACTGCTCTGTGATATGTGCGTTCAACTCTCAGAGTTTAACTTTTCTTTTCATTCAGCAGTTTGGAAACACTCTGTTTGTAAAGTCTGCACGTGGATATTTTGACCACTTAGAGGCCTTCGTTGGAAACGGGTTTTTTTTCATGTAAGGCTAGACAGAAGCATTCCCAGTAACTTCCTTGTGTTGTGTGCATTCAACTCACAGAGATGAACGTTCCCTTAGACAGAGCAGATTTGAAACACTCTATTTGTGCTATTTGCAAGTGTAGATTTCCAGCGCTTTAAGGTCAATGGCAGAAAAGGAAATATCTTCGTTTCAAAACTAGACAGAATGATTCTCAGAAACTCCTTTGTGATGTGTGCGTTCAACTCACAGAGTTTAACTTTTCTTTTCATAGAGCAGTTAGGAAACACTCTGTTTGTAAAGTGTGCAAGTGGATATTCAGACCTCCTTGAGGCCTTCTTTGGAAAAGGGATTTCTTCATATTATGCTAGACAGAATAATTCTCAGTAACTTCCTTGTGTTGTGTGTATTCAACTCACAGAGTTGAAGGATCCTTTACAGAGAGCAGACTTGAAACACTCTTTTTGTCGAATTTGCAAGTGGAGATTTCAGCCGCTTTGAGGTCAATGGTAGAATAGGAAATATCTTCTTATAGAACCTAGACAAAATGATTCTCAGAAACCCCTTTGTGATGTGTGCGTTCCACTCACAGAGTTTAACCTTTCTTTTCATAGAGCAGTTAGGAAACACTCTGTTTGTAAAGTCTGCAAGGGGATATTTAGACCTCTTTGAGGCCATCGTTGGAAGCGGGATTTCTTAATATTCTGCTAGACAGAATAATTCTCAGTAACTTCCTTGTGTTGTGTGTATTCAACTGACAGAGTTGAACTTTCATTTAGAGAGAGCAGATTTGAAACACTGTTTTTGTGGAATTTGCAAGTAGAGATTTCAAGCGCTTTGGGGCCAAAGGCAGAAAAGGAAATATCTTCGTATAAAAACTAGACAGAATCATTCCCACAAACTGCGTTGTGACGTGTTCGTTCAACTCACAGAGTTTAACCTTTCTTTTCATAGAGCAGTTAGGAAACACTCTGTTGGTAAATTCTGTAAGTGGATATTCTGACATCTTGTGGCCTTCAGTGGAAACGGGATTTCTTCATATTCTGCTAGACAGAAGAATTCCCAGTAACTTCCTTGTGTTGTGTACATTCAACTCACAGAGTTGAACGTTCCCTTAGACAGAGCAGATTTGAAACACTCTTTTTGTGCAATTGGCAAGTGGAGATTTCAAGCGCTTTGAGGTCAATGGCAGAAAAGGAAATATCTTCGTTTCAAAACTAGACAGAATCATTCCCACAAACTGCGTTGTGATGTGTTCGTTCAACTCACAGAGTTTAACCTTTCTGTTCATAGAGCAGTTAGGAAACACTCTGTTTGTAAAGTCTGTAAGTGGATATTCTGACATCTTGTGGCCTTCGTTGGAAACGGGATTTCTTCATTTTCTGCTAGACAGAAGAATTCTCAGTAACTTCCTTGTGTTGTGTGTATTCAACTCGCAGAGTTGAACGATCCTTTACACAGAGCAGACTTGAAACACTCTTTTTGTGGAATTTGCAAGTGGAGATTTCAGCCGCTTTGAGGTCAGTGGTAGAAAAGGAAATATCTTCGTATAAAGACTAGACAGAATGATTCTCAGAAACTCCTTTGTGATGTGTGTGTTCAACTCACAGAGTTTAACCTTTCTTTTCATAGAGCAGTTAGTAAACACTCTGTTTATAAAGTCTGCAAGTGGATATTCAGACCTCCTTGAGGCCTTCGTTGGAAACGGGATTTCTTCATATTATGCTAGACAGAAGAATTCTCAGTAACTTCCTCGTGTTGTGTTTATTCAACTGACAGAGTTGAACTTTCATTTAGAGAGAGCAGATTTGAAACACTGTTTTTGTGGAATTTGCAAGTGGAGATTTCAAGCGCTTTGGGGCCAAAGGCAGAAAAGGAAATATCTTCGTATAAAAACTAGACAGAATCATTCTCAGAAACTGCTGCGTGATGGGTGCGTTCAACTCTCAGAGTTTAACTTTTCTTTTCATTCAGCGGTTTGGAAACACTCTGTTTGTAAAGTCTGCACGTGGATATTTTGACCACTTAGAGGCCTTCGTTGGAAACGGGTTTTTTTCATGTAAGGCTAGACAGAAGAATTCCCAGTAACTTCCTTGTGTTGTGTACATTCAACTCACAGAGTTGAACGTTCTCTTAGACAGAGCAGATTTGAAACACTCTTTTTGTGCAATTGGCAAATGGAGATTTCAAGCGCTTTAAGGTCAATGGCAGAAAAGGAAATATCTTCGTTTCAAAACTAGACAGAATCATTCCCACAAACTGCGTTGTGATGTGTTCGTTCAACTCACAGAGTTTAACCTTTCTGTTCATAGAGCAGTTAGGAAACACTCTGTTTTGTAAAGTATGCAAGTGGATATTCAGACCTCCTTGAGGCCTTCGTTGGAAACGGGATTTCTTCATATTCTGCTAGACACGAAGAATTCTCAGTAACTTCCTTGTGTTGTGTGTATTCAACTCACAGAGTTGAACGATCCTTTACACAGAGCAGACTTGAAACACTCTTTTTGTGGAATTTGCATGTGGAGATTTCAGCCGCTTTGAGGTCAATGGTAGAAAAGGAAATATCTTCGTATAAAAACTAGACAGAATGATTCTCATAAACTCCTTTGTGATGTGTGCGTTCAACTCACAGAGTTTAACCTTTCTTTTCATAGAGCAGTTAGGAAACACTCTGTTTGTAAAATCTGCAAGTGGATATTCAGACCCCTTTGAGGCCTTCGTTGGAAACGGGATTTCTTCATATTCTGCTAGACAGAAGAATTCCCAGTAACTTCCTTGTGTTGTGTGTGTTCAACTCACAGAGTTGAACTTTCATTTACACAGAGCAGATTTGAAACACTCTTTTTGTGGAATTTGCAAGTGGAGATTTCAAGCGCTTTGAGGCCAAAGGCAGAAAAGGAAAATATCTTCGTTTCAAAACTAGACAGAATCATTCTCAGAAACTGCTCTGCGATGTGTACATTCAACTCTCAGAGTTTAATTTTTCTTTTCATTCAGCAGTTTGGAAACACTCTCTTTGTAAAGTCTGCACGTGGATATTTTGACCACTTAGAGGCCTTCGTTCGAAACGGGTTTTATTCTTGTAAGGCTAGACAGAAGAATTCCCAGTAACTTCCTTGTGTTGTGTGCATTCAACTCACAGAGTTGAACGTTCCCTTAGACAGAGCAGATTTGAAACACTCTATTTGTGCAATTTGCAAGTGTAGATTTCAAGCGCTTTAAGGTCAACGGCAGAAAAGGAAATATCTTCGTTTTAAAACTAGACAGAATCATTCCCACAAACTGCGTTGTGATGTGTTCGTTCAACTCACAGAGTTTAACCTTTCTGTTCATAGAGCAGTTAGGAAACACTCTGTTTGTAAAGTCTGTAAGTGGATATTCTGACATATTGTGGCCTTCGTTGGAAACGGGATCTCTTCATATTCTGCTAGACAGAAGAATTCTCAGTAACTGCCTTGTGTTGTGTGTATTCAACTCACAGAGTTGAACGATCCTTTACACAGAGCAGACTTGAAACACTCCTTTTGTGGAATTTGCAAGTGGAGATTTCAGCCGCTTTGAGGTCAATGGTAGAATAGGAAATATCTTCCTGTAGAAACTAGACAGATTGATTCTCAGAAACTCCTTTGTGATGTGTGCGTTCAACTCACAGAGTTTAACCTTTCTTTTCATAGAGCAGTTAGGAAACACTCTGTTTGTAAAGTCTGCAAGTGGATATTCAGACCTCCTTGAGACCTTCGTTGGAAACGGGATTTCTTCCTATTATGCTAGACAGAAGAATTCCCAGTAACTTCCTTGTGTTGTGTGTGTTCAACTCACAGAGTTGAGCTTTCATTTACACAGAGCAGATTTGAAACACTCTTTTTGTGGAATTTGCAAATGGAGATTTCAAGCGCTTTGAGGCCAAAGGCAGAAAAGGAAATATCTTCGTATAAAAACTAGACAGAATCATTCTCAGAAACTGCTCTGTGATGTGTGCGTTCAACTCTCAGAGTTTAACTTTTCTTTTCATTCAGCAGTTTGGAAACACTCTGTTTGTAAAGTCTGCACGTGGATAATTTTACCACTTAGAGGCCTTCGTTGGAAACGGGTTTTTTTCATGTAAGGCTAGACAGAAGAGTTCTCAGTAACTTCCTTGTGTTGTGTGTATTCAACTCACAGAGTTGAACGATCCTTTACACAGAGCAGACTTGTAACACTCTTTTTGTGGAATTTGCAAGTGGAGATTTCAGCCGCTTTGAAGTCAAAGTAGAAAAGGAAATATCTTCCTATAAAAACTAGACAGAATCATTCCCACAAACTGCGTTGTGATGTGTTCGTTCAACTCACAGAGTTTAAACTTTCTGTTCATAGAGCAGTTAGGAAACACTCTGTTTGTAAAGTCTGCAAGTGGATATTCAGACCTCCTTGAGGCCTTCGTTGGAAACGGGATTTCTTCATATTCTGCTAGACAGAAGAATTCTCAGTAACTTCCTTGTGTTGTGTGTATTCAACTCACAGAGTTGAACGATCCTTTACAGAGAGCAGACTTGAAACACTCTTTTTGTGGAATTTGCAAGTGGAGATTTCAGCCGCTTTGAGGTCAATAGTAGAAAAGGAAATAACTTCGTAGAAAAACTAGACAGAATGATTCTCAGAAACTCCTTTGTGATGTGTGTGTTCAACTCACAGAGTTTAACCTTTCTTTTCATAGAGCAGTTAGTAAACACTCTGTTTATAAAGTCTGCAAGTGGATTTTCAGACCCCTTTGAGGCCTTCGTTGGAAACGGGATTTCTTCATATTATGCTAGACAGAAGAATTCCCAGTAACTTCCTTGTGTTGTGTGTGTTCAACTCACAGAGTTGAACTTTGATTTACACAGAGCAGATTTGAAACACTCTTTTTGTGGAATTTGCAAGTGGAGATTTCAAGCGCTTTGAGGCCAAAGGCAGAAAAGGAAATACCTTCGTATAAAAACTAGACAGAATCATTCTCAGAAACTGCTCTGTCATGTGTGCGTTCAACTCTGAGAGTTTAAATTTTCTTTTCATTCAGCAGTTTGGAAACACTCTGTTTGTAAAGTCTGCACGTGGATATTTTGACCACTTAGAGGCCTTCGTTGGAAACGGGTTTTTTTCATGTAAGGCTAGACAGAAGAATTCCCAGTAACTTCCTTGTGTTGTGTGCATTCAACTCACAGAGTTGAACGTTCCCTTAGACAGAGCAGATTTGAAACACTCTATTTGTGCAATTTGCAAGTGTAGTTTTCAAGCTCTTTTAGGTCAACGGCAGAAAAGGAAATATCTTGGTTTCAAAACTAGACAGAATCATTCCCACAAACTGCGTTGTGATGTGTTCGTTCAACTCACAGAGTTTAACCTTTCTGTTCATAGAGCAGTTAGGAAACACTCTGTTTGTAAAGTCTGTAAGTGGATATTCTGACATCTGGTGGCCTTCGTTGGGAACGGGATTTCTTCATATTCTGCTAGACAGAAGAATTCTCAGTAACTTCCTTGTGTTGTGTGTATTCAACTCACAGAGTTGAACGATCCTTTACACAGAGCAGACTTGAAACACTCTTTTTGTGGAATTTGTAAGTGGAGATTTCAGCCGCTTTGAGGTCAATGGTAGAATAGGAAATATCTTCCTATAGAAACTAGACAGAATGATTCTCAGAAACTCCTTTGTGATGTGTACTTTCAACTCACAGAGTTTAACCTTTCTTTTCATAGAGCAGTTAGGAAACACTCTGTTTGTAAAGTCTGCAAGTGGATATTCAGACCTCTTTGAGGCCTTCGTTGGAAACGGGTTTTTTTCATATAAGGCTAGACAGAAGAATTCTCAGTAACTTCCTTGTGTTGTGTGTATTCAACTGACAGAGTTGAACTTTCATTTAGAGAGAGCAGATTTGAAACACTGTTTTTGTGGAATTTGCAAGTGGAGATTTCAAGCGCTTTGGGGCCAAAGGCAGAAAAGGAAATATCTTCGGATAAAAACTAGACAGAATCATTCTCAGAAACTGCTGCGTGATGTGTGTGTTCAACTCTCAGAGTTTAACTTTTCTTTTCATTCAGCGGTTTGGAAACACACTGTTTGTAAAGTCTGCACGTGGATATTTTGACCACTTAGAGGCCTTCGTTGGAAACGGGTTTTTTGCATGTAAGGCTAGACAGAAGAATTCCCAGTAACTTCCTTGTGTTGTGTACATTCAACTCACAGAGTTGAACGTTCCCCTTAGACAGAGCAGATTTGAAACACTCTTTTTGTGCAATTGGCAAGTGGAGATTTCAAGCGCTTTAAGGTCAATGGCAGAAAAGGAAATATCTTCGTTTCAAAACTAGACAGAATGATTCTCAGAATCTCCTTTGTGATGTGTGCGTTCAACTCACAGAGTTTAACCTTTCTTTTCATAGAGCAGTTAGGAAACACTCTGTTTGTAAAGTCTGCAAGTGGATATTCAGACATCCTTGAGGCTTTCGTTGGAAACGGGATTTCTTCATATTCTGTTTGAAAGAAGAATTCTCAGTAACTTCCTTGTGTTGTGTGTATTCAAGTCACAGAGTTGAACGATCCTTTACACAGAGCAGACTTGAAACACTCTTTTTGTGGAATTTGCAAGTGGAGATTTCAGCCGCTTTGAGGTCAATGGTAGAATAGGAAATATCTTCCTATAGAAACTAGACAGAGTGATTCTCATAAACTCCTTTGTGATGTGTGCGTTCAACTCACAGAGTTTAACCTTTCTTTTCATAGAGCAGTTAGGAAACACTCTGTTTGTAAAGTCTGCAAGTGGATATTCAGACCTCCTTGAGGCCTTCGTTGGAAACGGGATTTCTTCATATTCTGCTAGACTGAAGAATTCTCAGTAACTTCCTTGTGTTGTGTGTATTCAACTCACAGAGTTGAACGATCCTTTACACAGAGCAGACATGAAACACTCTTTTTGTGGAATTTGCAAGTGGAGATTTCAGCCGCTTTGAGGTCAATGGTAGAATAGGAAATATCTTCCTATAGAAACTAGACAGAATGATTCTCAGAAACTCCTTTGTGATGTGTGCGTTCAACTCACAGAGTTCAACCTTTCTTTTCATAGAGCAGTTAGGAAACACTCTGTTTGTAAAGTCTGCAAGTGGATATTCAGACCTCTTTGAGGCCTTCGTTGGAAACGGGATTTCTTCATATTATGCTAGACAGAAGAATTCTCAGTAACTTCCTTGTGTTGTGTGTATTCAACTCACAGAGTTGAACTTCCATTTACACAGAGCAGATTTGAAACACTCTTTTTGTGGAATTTGCAAGTGGAGATTTCAAGCGCTTTGAGGCCAAAGGCAGAAAAGGAAATATCTTCGTTTCAAAACTAGACAGAATCATTCTCAGAAACTGCTCTGCGATGTGTGCGTTCAACTCTCAGAGTTTAACTTTTCTTTTCATTCAGCAGTTTGGAAACACTCTGTTTGTAAAGTCTGCACGTGGATAATTTGACCACTTAGAGGCCTTCGTTGGAAACGGGTTTTTTTATGTAAGGCTAGACAGAAGAATTCCCAGTAACTTCCTTGTGTTGTGTACATTCAACTCACAGAGTTGAACGTTCCCTTAGACAGAGCAGATTTGAAACACTCTTTTTGTGCAATTGGCAAGTGGAGATTTCAAGCGCTTTGAGGTCAATGGCAGAAAAGGAAATATCTTCGTTTCAAAACTAGACAGAATCATTCCCAAAAACTGCGTTGTGATGTGTTCGTTCATCTCACAGAGTTTAACCTTTCTTTTCATAGAGCAGTTAGGAAACAGTCTGTTTGAAAATTCTGTAAGTGGATATTCTGACATCTTGTGGCCTTCGTTGGAAACGGGATTTCTTCATATTCTGCTAGACAGAAGAATTCTCAGTAACTTCCTTGTGTTGTGTGTATTCAACTCACAGAGTTGAACGATCCTTTACACAGAGCAGACTTGAAACACTCTTTTTGTGGAATTTGCAAGTGGAGATTTCAGCCGCTTTGAGGTCAATAGTAGAAAAGGAAATATCTTCGTAGGAAAACTAGACAGAATGATTCTCAGAAACTCCTTTGTGATGTGTGCGTTCAACTCAAAGAGTTTAACTTTTCTTTTCATAGAGCAGTTAGGAAACACTCTGTTTGTAAAGTCTGCAAGTGGATATTCAGACCTCTTTGAGGCCTTCGTTGGAAACGGGATTTCTTCATATTATGCTAGAGAGAAGAATTCTCAGTAACTTCCTTTTGTTGTGTGTATTCAACTGACAGAGTTGAACTTTCATTTAGACAGAGCAGATTTGAAACACTCTTTTTCTGGAATTTGCAGGTGGAGATTTCAAGCGCTTTGAGGCCGAAGGCAGAAAAGGAAATATCTTCGTATAAAAACTAGACAGAATCATTCTCAGAAACTGCTCTGCGATGTGTGCCTTCAGCGCTCAGAGTTTAACTTTTCTTTTCATTCAGCAGTTTGGAAACACTCTGTTTGTAAAGTCTGCACGTGGATATTTTGACCACTTAGAGGCCTTCGTTGGAAGCGGGTTTTTGTCATGTAAGGTTAGACAGAAGAATTCCCAGTAACTTCCTTGTGTTGTGTGCATTCAACTCACAGATTTGAGCGTTCCCTTAGACAGAGCAGATTTAAAACACTCTATTTGTGCAATTTGCAAGTGTAGATTTCAAGCGCTTTAAGGTCAATGGCAGAAAAGGAAATATCTTCGTTTCAAAACTAGACAGAATCATTCCCACAAACTGCGTTGTGAGGTGTTCCGTAAACTCACAGAGTTTAACCTTTCTTTTCATAGAGCAGTTAGGAAACAGTCTGTTTGTAAATTCTGTAAGTGGATATTCTGACATCTTGTGGCCTTCGTTGGAAACGGGATTTCTTCATATTCTGCTAGACAGAAGAATTCTCAGTAACTTCCTTGTGTTGTGTGTATTCAACTCACAGAGTTGAACGATCCTTTACACAGAGCAGACTTGAAACACTCTTTTTGTGGAATTTGCAAATGGAGATATCAGCCGCTTTGAGGTCAATGGTAGAATAGGAAATATCTTCCTATAGAAACTAGACAGAATGATTCTCAGAAACTCCTTTGTGATGTGTGCGTTCAACTCACAGAGTTTAACCTTTCTTTTCATAGAGCAGTTAGGAAACACTCTGTTTGTAAAGTCTGCAAGTGGATATTCAGACCTCCTTGAGGCTTTCGTTGGAAACGGGATTTCTTCATATTCTGCTAGAAAGAAGAATTCCCAGTAACTTCCTTGTGTTGTGTGTGTTCAACTCACAGAGTTGAACTTTCATTTACACAGAGCAGATTTGAAACACTCTTTTTGTGGAATTTGCAAGTGGAGATTTCAAGCGATTTGAGGCCAAAGGCAGAAAAGGAAATATCTTCGTTTCAAAACTAGACAGAATCATTCTCAGAAACTGCTCTGCGATGTGTGCGTTCAACTCTCAGAGTTTAACTTTTCTTTTCATTCAGCAGTTTGAAAACACTCTGTTTGTAAAGTCTGCACGTGTATATTTTGACCACTTAGAGGCCTTCGTTGGAAACGGGTTTTTTTCCTGTAAGGCTAGACAGAAGAATTCCCAGTAACTTCCCTTGTGTTGTGTGCATTCAACTCACAGAGTTGAACGTTCCCTTAGACAGAGCAGATTTGAAACACTCTATTTGTGCAATTTGCAAGTGTAGTTTTCAAGCTCTTTAAGGTCAACGGCAGAAAAGGAAATATCTTCGTTTCAAAACTAGACAGAATCATTCTCACAAACTGCGTTGTGATGTGTTCGTTCATCTCACAGAGTTTAACCTTTCTTTTCATAGAGCAGTTAGGAAACAGTCTGTTTGTAAATTCTGTAAGTGGATATTCTGACATCTTGTGGCCTTCGTTGGAAACGGGATTTCTTCATATTCTGCTAGACAGAAGAATTCTCAGTAACTTCCTTGTGTTGTGTGTATTCAACTCACAGAGTTGAACGATCCTTTACACTGAGCAGACTTGAAACATTCTTTTTGTGGAATTTGCAAGTGGAGATTTCAGCCGCTTTGGGGTCAATGGTAGAATAGGAAATATCTTCGTAGAAAAACTAGACAGAATGATTCTCAGAAACTTCTTTGTGATGTGTGCGTTCAACTCACAGAGTTTAACCTTTCTTTTCATGGAGCAGTTAGGAAACACTCTGTTTGTAAACTCTGCAAGTGGATATTCAGACCTCTTTGAGGCCTTCGTTGGAAACGGGATTTCTTCATACTATGCTAGACAGAAGACTTCTCAGTAACTTCCTTGTGTTGTGTGTATTCAACTCACAGAGTTGAACGATCCTTTACACAGAGCGGACTTGAAACACTCTTTTTGTGGAATTTGCAAGTGGAGATTTCAGCCGCGTTGAGGTCAATGGTAGAAAAGGAAATATCTTCTTATAAAAACTAGACAGAATGATTCTCAGAATCTCCTTTATAATGTGTGCGTTCAACTCACAGAGTTTAACCTTTCTTTTCATAAAGCAGTTAGGAAACACTCTGTTTGTAATGTCTGCAAGTGGATATTCAGACCTCTTTGAGGCCTTCGTTGGAAACGGGATTTCTTCATATTCTGCTAGACAGAAGAATTCCCAGTAACTTCCTTGTGTTGTGTGTGTTCAACTCACAGAGTTGAACTTTCATTTACACAGAGCAGATTTGAAACACTCTTTTTGTGGAGTTTGCATGTGGAGATTTCAAGCACTTTGAGGCCAAAGGCAGAAAAGGAAATATCTTCGTATAAAAACTAGACAGAATCATTCTCAGAAACTGCTGCGTGATGTGTGTGTTCAACCCTCAGAGTTTAACTTTCCTTTTCATTCAGCGGTTTGGAAACACTCTGTTTGTAAAGTCTGCACGTGGATATTTTGACCACTTAGAGGCCTTCGTTGGAAACGGGTTTTTTTCATGTAAGGCTAGACAGAAGAATTCCCAGTAACTTCCTTGTGTTGTGTGCATTCCACTCACAGAGTTGAACGTTCCCTTAGACAGAGCAGATTTGAAACACTCTATTTGTGCAATTTGCAAGTGTAGATTTCAAGCTCTTTAAGGTCAATGGCAGAAAAGGAAATATCTTCGTTTCAAAACTAGACAGAATCATTCCCACAAACTGCGTTGTGATGTGTTCGTTCAACTCACAGAGTTTAACCTTTCTGTTCATAGAGCAGTTAGGAAACACTCTGTTTGTAAAGTCTGTAAGTGGATATTCTGACATTTTGTGGCCTTCGTTGGAAATGGGATTTCTTCATATTCTCCTAGACAGAAGAATTCTCAGTAACTTCCTTGTGCTGTGTGTATTCAACTCACAGAGTTGAACGATCCTTTACACAGAGCATACTTGAAACACTCTTCCTGTGGAATTTGCAACTGGAGATTTCAGCCGCTTTGAGGTCAATGGTAGAATAGGAAATATCTTCGTATAAAAACTAGACAGAATGATTCTCAGAAACTCCTTTGTGATGTGTGTGTTCAACTCACAGAGTTTAACCTTTCTTTTCATAGAGCAGTTAGTAAACACTCTATTTATAAAGTCTGCAAGTGGATATTCAGACCCCTTTGAGGCCTTCGTTGGAAACGGGATTTCTTCATATTATGCTAGACAGAAGAATTCTCAGTAACTTCCTTGTGTTGTGTGTATTCAACTGACAGAGTTGAACTTTCATTTTGAGAGAGCAGATTTGAAATACTGTTTTTGTGGAATTTGCAAGTGGAGATTTCAAACGCTTTGGGGCCAAAGGCAGAAAAGGAAATATCTTCGTATAAAAACTAGACAGAATCATTCTCAGAAACTGCTGTGTGATGTGTGCGTTCAACTCTCAGAGTTTAACTTTTCTTTTCATTCAGCGGTTTGGAAACACTCTGTTTGTAAAGTCTGCACGTGGATATTTTGATCACTTAGAGGCCTTCGTTGGAAACGGGATTTTTTCATGTAAGGCTAGACAGAAGAATTCCCAGTAACTTCCTTGTGTTGTGTGCATTCAACTCACAGAGTTGAACGTTCCCTTAGACAGAGCAGATTTGAAACACTCTATTTGTGCAATTTGCAAGTGTAGATTTCAAGCGCTTTAATGTCAATGGCAGAAAAGGAAATATCTTCGTTTCAAAACTAGACAGAATGATTCTCAGAAACCCCTTTGTGATGTGTGCGTTCAACTCACAGAGTTTAACCTTTCTGTTCATAGAGCAGTTAGGAAACACTCTGTTTGTAAAGTCTGTAAGTGGATATTCTGACATGCTTGTGGCCTTCGTTGGAAACGGGATTTCTTCATATTCTGCTAGACAGAAGAATTCTCAGTAACTTCCTTGTGTTGTGTGTATTCAACTCACAGAATTGAACGATCCTTTACACAGAGCAGACTTGAAACACTCTTTTTGTGGAATTTGCAAGCGGAGATTTCAGCCGCTTTGGGGTCAATGGTAGAAAAGGAAATATCTTCGTATAAAGACTAGACAGAATGATTCTCAGAAACTCCTTTGTGATGTGTGCGTTCAACTCACAGAGTTTAACCTTTCTTTTCATAGAGCAGTTAGGAAACACTCTGTTTGTAAAGTCTGCATGTGGATATTCAGACCTCTTTGAGGCCTTCGTTGGAAACGGGTTTTTTTCATATAAGGCTAGACAGAAGAATTCTCAGTAACTTCCTTGTGTTGTGTGTATTCAACTGACATAGTTGAACTTTCATTTAGAGAGAGCAGATTTGAAACTCTGTTTTTGTGGAATTTGCAAGTGGAGATTTCAAGCGCTTTGGGGCCAAAGGCAGAAAAGGAAATATCTTCGTATAAAAACTAGACAGAATCATTCTCAGAAACTGCTCTGCGATGTGTGCCGTTCAACTCTCAGAGTTTAACTTTTCTTCTCATTCAGCAGTTTGGAAACACTCTGTTTGTAAAGTCTGCACGTGGATAATTTGACCACTTAGAGGCCTTCGTTGGAAACGGGTTTTTTTCATGTAAGGCTAGACAGAAGAATTCCCAGTAACTTCCCTTGTGTTGTGTGCATTCAACTCACAGAGTTGAACGTTCCCTTAGACAGAGCAGATTTGAAACACTCTATTTGTGCAATTTGCAAGTGTAGTTTTCAAGCTCTTTAAGGTCAACGGCAGAAAAGGAAATATCTTCGTTTCAAAACTAGACAGAATGATTCTCAGAAACTCCTTTGTGATGTGTGAGTTCAACTCACAGAGTTTATCCTTTCTTTTCATAGAGCAGTTAGGAAACACTCTGTTTGTAAAGTCTGCAAGTGGATATTCAGACCTCTTTGAGGCCTTCGTTGGAAACGGGATTTCTTCATATTCTGCTAGACAGAAGAATTCTCAGTAACTTCCTTGTGTTGTGTGCATTGAACTCACAGAGTTGAACGATCCTTTACACAGGGCAGACTTGAAACACTCTTTTTGTGGAGTTTGCAAGCGGAGATTTCAGCCTCTTTGAGGTTAATGGTAGAAAATGAAATATCTTCGTATAGAAACTAGACAGAATGATTCTCAGAAACTCCTTTGTGATGTGTGCGTTCAACTCACAGAGTTTAACCTTTCTTTTCACAGAGCAGTTAGGAAACACTCTGTTTGTAAAGTTTGCAAGTGGATATTCTGACATCCTTGAGGCCTTCGTTGGAAACGGGATTTCTTCATATTATGCTACACAGAAGAATTCTCAATAACTTCCTTGTGTTGTGTGTATTCCAATCACAGAGTTGAACGATCCTTTACACAGAGCAGACTTGAAACACTGTTTTTGTGGAATTTGCAAGTGGAGATTTCAGCCGCTTTGAGGTCAATGGTTGAAAAGGAAATATCTTCCAATAGAAATTTGACAGAATGATTCTCAGAAACTCCTTTGTGATGTGTGCGTTCAACTCACAGAGTTTAACCTTTCTTTTCATAGAGCAGTTAGGAAACACTCTGTTTGTAAAGTCTGCAAGTGGATATTCAGACATCTTTGAGGCCTTCGTTGGAAACGGGATTTCTTCATATTATGTTAGACAGAAGAATTCTCAGTAACTTTCTTGTGTTGTGTGTATTCAACTGACAGAGTTGAACTTTCATTTAGAGAGAGCAGATTTGAAACACTGTTTTTGTGGAATTTGCAAGTGGAGATTTCAAGCGCTTTGGGGCCAAAGGCAGAAAAGGAAATATCTTCGTATAAAAACTGGACAGAATCATTCTCAGAAACTGCTGCGTGATGTGTGCGTTCAACTCTCAGAGTTTAACTTTTCTTTTCATTCAGCGGTTTGGAAACACTCTGTTTGTAAAGTCTGCACGTGGATATTATGACCACTTAGAGGCCTTCGTTGGAAACGGGTTTTCTTCATGTAAGGCTAGACAGAAGAATTCCCAGTAACTTCCTTGTGTTGTGTGCATTCAACTCACAGAGTTGAACGTTCCCTTAGACAGAGCAGATTTGAAACACTCCATTTGTGCAATTTGCAAGTGTAGATTTCAAGCGCTTTAAGGTCAATGGCAGAAAAGGAAATATCTTCGTTTCAAAACTAGACAGAATCATTCCCACAAACTGCGTTGTGATGTGTTCGTTCAACTCACAGAGTTTAACCTTTCTTTTCATAGAGCAGTTAGGAAACACTCTGTTGGTAAATTCTGTAAGTGGATATTCTGACATCTTGTGGCCTTCAGTGGAAACGGGATTTTTTCATATTCTGCTAGACAGAATAATTCTCAGTAACTTCCTTGTGTTGTGTGTATTCAACTCCCAGAGTTGAACGATCCTTTACACAGAGCAGACTTGAAACATTCTTTTTGTGGAATTTGCAAGTGGAGATTTCAGCCGCTTTGAGGTCAATGGTAGAATAGGAAATATCTTCCTATAGAAACTAGACAGAATGATTCTGAGAAACTCCTTTGTGATGTGTGCGTTCAACTCACAGAGTTTAACCTTTCTTTTCATAGAGCAGTTAGGAAACACTCTGTTTGTAAAGTGTGCAAGTGGATATTCAGACCTCCTTGAGGCCTTCGTTGGAAACGGGATTTCTTCATATTATGCTAGACAGAAGAATTCCCAGTAACTTCCTTGTGTTGTGTGTGTTCAACTCACAGAGTTGAACTTTCATTTACACAGAGCAGATTTGAAACACTCTTTTTGTGGAATTTGCAAATGGAGATTTCAAGCGCTTTCAGGCCAAAGGCAGAAAAGGAAATATCTTCGTATAAAAACTAGACAGAATCATTCTCAGAAACTGCTGCGTGATGTGTGCGTTCAACTCTCAGAGTTTAACTTTTCTTTACATTCAGCGGTTTGGAAACACTCTGTTTGTAAAGTCTGCACGTGGAAATTTTGACCACTTAGAGGCCTTCGTTGGAAACGGGTTTTTTTCATGTAAGGCTAGACAGAAGAATTCCCAGTAACTTCCTTGCGTTGTGTACATTCCACTCACAGAGTTGAACGTTCCCTTAGACAGAGCAGATTTGAAACACTCTTTTTGTGCAATTGGCAAGTGGTGATTTCAGCCGCTTTGAGGTCAATGGTAGAAAAGGAAATATCTTCGTATAAAAACTAGACAGAATCATTCCCACAAACTGCGTTGTGATGTGTTCGTTCAACTCACAGAGTTTAACCTTTCTGTTCATAGAGCAGTTAGGAAACACTCTGATTGTAAAGTCTGTAAGTGGATATTCTGACATCTTGTGGCCTTCGTTGGAAACGGGATTTCTTCATATTCTGCTAGACAGAAGAATTCTCAGTAACTTCCTTGTGTTGTGTGCATTCAACTCACAGAGTTGAATGATCCTTTACACAGAGCACATTAGAAACACTCTTTTTGTGGAATTTGCAAGTGGAGATTTCAGCCGCTTTGAGGTCAATGGCAGAAAAGGAAATATCTTCGTATAAAAACTAGACAGAATGATTCTCAGAAACTCCTTTGTGATGTGTGCGTTCAACTCACAGAGTTTAACCTTTCTTTTCATAGAGCAGTTAGGAAACACTCTGTTTGTAAAGTCTGCAAGTGGATATTCAGACCTCTTTGAGGCTCTTCGTTGGAAACGGGTTTTTTTCATATAAGGCTAGACAGAGCAATTCTCAGTAACTTCCTTGTGTTGTGTGTATTCAACTGACAGAGTTGAACTTTCATTTAGAGAGAGCAGATTTGAAACACTGTTTTTGTGGAATTTGCAAGTGGAGATTTCAAGCGCTTTGGGGCCAAAGGCAGAAAAGGAAATATCTTCGTATAAAAACTAGACAGAATCATTCTCAGAAACTGCTGCGTGATGTGTGCGTTCAACTCTCAGAGTTTAACTTTTCTTTTCATTCAGCGGTTTGGAAACACTCTGTTTGTAAAGTCTGCACGTGGATATTTTGACCACTTAGAGGCCTTTGTTGGAAACGGGTTTTTTTCATGTAAGGCTAGACAGAAGAATTCCCAGTAACTTCCTTGTGTTGTGTGCATTCAACTCACAGAGTTGAACGTTCCCTTAGACAGAGCAGATTTGAAACACTCTATTTGTGCAATTTGCAAGTGTAGATTTCAAGCGCTTTAAGGTCAATGGCAGAAAAGGAAATTTCTTCGTTTCAAAACTAGACAGAATGATTCTCAGAAAATCTTTTGTGATGTGTGCGTTCAACTCACAGAGTTTAACTTTTCTTCTCATAGAGCAGTTAGGAAACATTCTGTTTGTAAAGTGTGCAAGTGGATATTCAGACTTCTTTGAGGCCTTCGTTGGAAACGGGATTTCTTCATATTATGCTAGACAGAATAATTCTCAGTAACTTCCTTGTGTTGTGTGTATTCAACTCACAGAGTTGAAGGATCCTTTACAGAGAGCAGGCTTGAAACACTCTTTTTGTGGAATTTGCAAGTGGAGATTTCAGCCGCTTTGAGGTCAATGGTAGAATAGGAAATACCTTCTTATAGAAACTAGACAGAATGATTCTCAGAAACTCCTTTGTGATGTGTGCGTTCAACTCACAGAGTTTAACCTTTCTGTTCATAGAGCAGTTAGGAAACACTCTGTTTGTAAAGTCTGCAAGTGGATATTCAGACCTCCTTGATTCCTTCGGTGGAAACGGGATTTCTTCATATTATGCTAGACAGAAGAATTCTCAGTAACTTCCTTGTGTTGTGTGTATTCAACTCACAGAGTTGAACGATCCTTTACAGAGAGCAGACTTGAAACACTCTTTTTGTGGAATTTGTAAGTGGAGATTTCAGCCGCTTTGAGGTCAATGGTTGAAAAGGAAACTATCTTCGTATAAAGACTAGACAGAATGATTCTCAGAAACTCCTTTGTGATGTGTGCGTTCAACTCACAGAGTTTAACCTTTCTTTTCATAGAGCAGTTAGGAAACACTCTGTTTGTAAAGTCTGCAAGTGGATATTCAGACCTCTTTGAGGCCTTCGTTGGAAACGGGTTTTTTTCATATAAGGCTCGACAGAAGAATTCTCAGTAACTTCCTTGTGTTGTGTGTATTCAACTGAAAGAGTTGAACTTTCATTTAGAGAGAGCAGATTTGAAACACTGTTTTTGTGGAAGTTGCAAGTGGAGATTTCAAGCGCTTTGGGGCCAAAGGCAGAAAAGGAAATATCTTCGTATAAAAACTAGACAGAATCATTCTCAGAAACTGCTGCGTGATGTGTGCGTTCAACTCTCAGAGTTTAACTTTTCTTTTCATTCAGCCGTTTGGAAACACTCTGTTTGTAAAGTCTGCACGTGGATATTTTGACCACTTAGGGGCCTTCGTTGGAAACGGGTTTTTTGCATGTAAGGCTAGACAGAAGAATTCCCAGTAACTTCCTTGTGTTGTGTGCATTCAACTCACAGAGTTGAACGTTCCCTTAGACAGAGCAGATTTGAAACACTCTATTTGTGCAATTTGCAAGTGTAGATTTCAAGCGCTTTAAGGTCAACGGCAGAAAAAGGAAATATCTTCGTTTCAAAACTAGACAGAATCATTCCCACAAACTGCGTTGTGATGTGTTCGTTCAACTCACAGAGTTTAACCTTTCTTTTCATAGAGCAGTTAGGAAACAGTCTGTTTGTCAATTCTGTAAGTGGATATTCTGACATCTTGTGGCCTTCGTTGGAAACGGGATTTCTTCACATTCTCCTAGACAGAAGAATTCTCAGTAACTTCCTTGTGTTGTGTGTATTCAACTCACAGAGTTGAACGATCCTTTACACAGAGCAGACTTGTAACACTCTTTTTGTGGAATTTGCAAGTGGAGATTTCAGCCGCTTTGAAGTCAAATGTAGAAAAGGAAATATCTTCCTATAAAAACTAGACAGAATGATTCTCAGAAACTTCTTTGTGATGTGTGTGTTCAACTCACAGAGTTTAACCTTTCTTTTCATAGAGCAGTTAGGAAACACTCTGTTTGTAAACTCTGCAAGTGGATATTCAGACCTCTTTGAGGACTTCGTTGGAAACGGGTTTTTTTCATATAAGGCTAGACAGAAGAATTCCCAGTAACTTTCCTTGTGTTGTGTGTGTTCAACTCACAGAGTTGAACTTTCAGTTACACAGAGCAGATTTGAAACACTCTTTTTGTGGACTTTGCAAATGGAGATTTCAAGCGCTTTGAGGCCAAAGGCAGAAATGGAAATATGCTTCGTATAAAAACTAGACAGAATCATTCTCAGAAACTGCTCTGCGATGTGTGCGTTCAAGTCTCAGAGTTTAACTTTTCTTTTCATTCAGCAGTTTGGAAACACTCTCTTTGTAAAGTCTGCAGGTGGATATTTTGACCACTTAGAGGCCTTCGTTGGAAACGGGTTTTTTTCCTGTAAGGCTAGACAGAAGAATTCCCAGTAACTTCCTTGTGTTGTGTGCATTCAACTCACAGAGTTGAACGTTCCCTTAGGCAGAGCAGATAGGAAACACTCTATTTGTGCAATTTGCAAGTGTAGATTTCAAGCGCTTTAAGGTCAACGGCAGAAAAGGAAATATCTTCGTTTCAAAACTAGACAGAAGAATTCTCAGTAACTTCCTTGTGTTGTGTGTATTCAACTCACAGAGATGAACGATCCTTTACACAGAGCAGACTTGAAACACTCTTTTTGTGGAATTTGCAACTGGAGATTTCAGCCGCTTTGAGGTCAATAGTAGAAAAGGAAATAACTTCGTAGAAAAACTAGACAGAATGATTCTCAGAAACTCCTTTGTCATGTGTGTGTTCAACTCACAGAGTTTAACCTTTCTTTTCATAGAGCAGTTAGTAAACACTCTGTTTATAAAGTCTGCAAGTGGATATTCAGACCCCTTTGAGGCCTTCGTTGGAAACGGGATTTCTTCATATTATGCTAGACAGAAGAATTCCCAGTAACTTCCTTGTGTTGTGTGTGTTCAACTCACACAGTTGAACTTTCGTTTACACAGAGCAGATTTGAAACACTCTTTTTGTGGAATTTGCAAATGGAGATTTCAAGCGCTTTGAGGCCAAAGGCAGAAAAGGAAATATCTTCGTATAAAAACTAGACAGAATCATTCTCAAAAACTGCTCTGCGATGTGTGCGTTCAACTCTCAGAGTTTAACTTTTCTTTTCATTCAGCAGTTTGGAAACACTCTGTTTGTAAAGTCTGCACGTGGATATTTTGACCACTTAGAGGCCTTCGTTGGAAACGGGTTTTTTTCCTGTAAGGCTAGACAGAAGAATTCCCAGTAACTTCCTTGTGTTGTGTACATTCAACTCACAGAGTTGAACGTTCCCTTAGACAGAGCAGATTTGAAACACTCTTTTTGTGCAATTGGCTAATGGAGATTTCAAGCGCTTTAAGGTCAATGGCAGAAAAGGAAATATCTTCGTTTCAAAACTAGACAGAATCATTCCCACAAACTGCGTTGTGATGTGTTCGTTCAACTCACAGAGTTGAACCTTTCTTTTCATAGAGCAGTTAGGAAACAGTCTGTTTGTCAATTCTGTAAGTGGATATTCTGACATCTTGTGGCCTTCGTTGGAAACGGGATTTCTTCATATTCTGCTAGACAGAAGAATTCTCAGAATCTTCCTTGTGTTGTGTGTATTCAACTCACAGAGTTGAACGATCCTTTACACAGAGCAGACTTGAAACACTCTTTTTGTGGAATTTGCAAGTGGAGATTTCAGCCGCTTTGAAGTCCATGGTAGAAAAGGAAATATCTTCGTATAAAAACTAGACAGAATGATTCTCAGAAACTCCTTTGTGATGTGTGCGTTCAACTCACAGAGTTTAACCTTTCTGTTCATAGAGGTGTTAGGAAACACTCTGTTTGTAAAGTCTGCAAGTGGATATTCAGACCTCCTTGAGGCCTTCGTTGGAAACGGGATTTCTTCATATTCTGCTAGACAGAAGAATTCTCAGTAACTTCCTTGTGTTGTGTGTATTCAACTGACAGAGTTGAACTTTCATTTAGAGAGAGCAGATTTGAAACACTGTTTTTGTGGAGTTTGCAAGTGGAGATTTCAAGCGCTTTGGGGCCAAAGGCAGAAAAGGAAATATCTTCGTATAAAAACTAGACAGAATCATTCTCAGAAACTGCTGCGTGATGTGTGCGTTCAACTCTCAGAGTTTAACTTTTCTTTTCATTCAGCGGTTTGGAAACACTCTGTTTGTAAGTCTGCACGTGGATATTTTGACCACTTAGAGGCTTTCGTTGGAAACGCGTTTTTTTCATGTAAGGCTAGACAGAAGAATTCCCAGTAACTTCCTTGTGTTGTGTGCATTCAACTCACAGTGTTGAACGTTCCCTTAGACAGAGCAGATTTGAAACACTCTATTTGTGAATTTGCAAGTGTAGATTTCAAGCGCTTTAAGGTCAATGGCAGAAAAGGAAATATCTTCGTTTCAAAACTAGACAGAATCATTCCCACAAACTGCGTTGTGATGTGTTCGTTCAACTCACAGAGTTTAACTTTTCTGTTCATAGAGCAGTTAGGAAACACTCTGTTTGTAAAGTCTGAAAGTGGATATTCTGACATCTTGTGGCCTTCGTTTGAAACGGGATTTCTTCATATTCTGCTAGACAGAAGAATTCTCAGTAACTTCCTTGTGTTGTGTGTATTCAACTCACAGAGTTGAACGATCCTTTACACAGAACAGACTTGTAACACTCTTTTTGTGGAATTTGCAAGTGGAGATTTCAGCCACTTTGAAGTCAAAGGTAGAAAAGGAAATAACTTCCTATAAAAACTAGACAGAATGATTCTCAGAAACTCCTTTGTGATGTGTGCGTTCACCTCACAGAGTTTAACTTTTCTTTTCATAGAGCAGTTAGGAAACACTCTGTTTGTAAAGTCTGCAAGTGTATATTCAGACCTCTTTGAGGCCTTCGTTGGAAACGGGATTTCTTCATATTATGCTAGACAGAAGAATTCCCAGTAACTTCCTTGTGTTGTGTGTGTTCAACTCACAGAGTTGAACTTTCATTTACACAGAGCAGATTTGAAACACTCTTTTTGTGGAATTTGCAAGTGGAGATTTCAAGCGCTTTGAGGCCAAAGGCAGAAAAGGAAATATCTTCGTTTGAAAACTACACAGAATCATTCTCAGAAACTGCTGCGTGATGTATGCGTTCAACTCTCAGAGTTTAACTTTTCTTTTCATTCAGCGGTTTGGAAACACTCTGTTTGTAAAGTCTGCACGTGGATATTTTGACCACTTAGAGGCCTTCGTTGGAAACGGGTTTTTTTCATGTAAGGCTAGACAGAAGAATTCCCAGTAACTTCCTTGTGTTGTGTGCATTCCACTCACAGAGTTGAACGTTCCCTTAGACAGAGCAGATTTGAAACACTCTATTTGTGCAATTTGCAAGTGTAGATTTCAAGCGCTTTAAGGTCAATGGCAGAAAAGGAAATATCTTCGTTTCAAAACTAGACAGAATCATTCCCACAAACTGCGTTGTGATGTGTTCGGTTCAACTCACAGAGTTTAACCTTTCTGTTCATAGAGCAGTTAGGAAACACTCTGTTTGTAAAGTCTGTAAGTGGATATTCTGACATCTTGTGGCCTTCGTTGGAAACGGGATTTCTTCATATTATGCTAGAAAGAAGAATTCTCAGAAACTTCCTTGTGTTGTGTGTTTTCAACTCACAGAGTTGAACGATGCTTTACACAGAGTAGACTTGAAACACTCTTTTTGTGTAATTTGCAAGTGGAGATTTCAGCCGCATTGAGGTCAATGGTAGAAAAGGAAATATCTTCGTTTAAAAACTAGACAGAATAATTCTCAGAAACTTCATTGTGATGTGTGCGTTCAACTCACAGAGTTTAACCTTTCTTTTCATAGAGCAGTTAGGAAACACTGTTTGTAAACTCTGCAAGTGGATATTCAGACCTCTTTGAGGCCTTCGTTGGAAACGGGATTTCTTCATACTGTGCTAGACAGAAGAATTCTCAGTAATTTCCTTGTGTTGTGTGTATTCAACTCACAGAGTTGAACGATCCTTTACACAGAGCAGACTTGAAACACTCTTCTTGCGGAATTTGCAAGTGGAGATTTCAGCCGCTTTGAGGTCAATGGTAGAATAGGAAATATCTTCCTATAGAAACTAGACAGAATGATTCTCAGAAACTCCTTTGTGATGTGTGCGTTCAACTCACAGAGTTTAACCTTTCTTTTCATAGAGCAGTTGGGAAACACTCTGTTTGTAAAGTCTGCAAGTGGATATTCAGACCTCTTTGAGGCCTTCGTTGGAAACGGGATTTCTTCATATTCTGCTAGACAGAAGAATTCCCAGTAACTTCCTTGTGCTGTGTGTGTTCAACTCACAGAGTTGAACTTTCATTTACACAGAGCAGATTTGAAACACTCTTTTTGTGGAATTTGCAAGTGGAGATTTCAAGCGCTTTGAGGCCAAAGGCAGAAAAGGAAATATCTTCGTATAAAAACTAGACAGAATCATGCTGAGAAACTGCTCTGCGATGTGTGCGTTCAACTCTCAGAGTTTAACTTTTCTTTTCATTCAGCAGTTTGGAAACACTCTGTTTGTAAAGTCTGCACGTGCATAATTTGACCGCTTAGAGGCCTTCGTTGGAAACGGGTTTTTTTCATGTAAGGCTAGACAGAAGAATTCCCAGTAACTTCCTTGTGTAGTGTGCATTCAACTCACAGAGTTGAACGTTCCCTTAGACAGAGCAGATTTGAAACACTATATTTGTGCAAATTGCAAGTGTAGATTTCAAGTGATTTAAGGTCAATGGCAGAAAAGGAAATATCTTCGTTTCAAAACTAGACAGAATCATTCCCACAAACTGCGTTGTGATGTATTCGTTCAACTCACAGAGTTTAACCTTTCTGTTCATAGAGCAGTTAGGAAACACTCTGTTTGTAAAGTCTGCAAGTGGATATTCAGACCTCTTTGAGGCCTTCGTTGGAAACGGGATTTCTTCATATTATGCTAGACAAAAGAATTCTCAGTAACTTCCTTGTGTTGTGTGTATTCAACTCACAGAGTTGAAGGATCCTTTACACAGAGCAGACTTGAAACACTCTTTTTGTGGAATTTGCAAGTGGAGATTTCAGCCGCTTTGAGGTCAATGGTAGAATAGGAAATATCTTCCTATAGAAACTAGACAGAATGATTCTGAGAAACTCCTTTGTGATGTGTGCGTTCAACTCACAGAGTTTAACCTTTCTTTTCATAGAGCAGTTAGGAAACACTCTGTTTGTAATGTGTGCAAGTGGATATTCAGACCTCCTTGAGGCCTTCGTTGGAAACGGGATTTCTTCATATTATGCTAGACACAAGAATTCTCAGTAACTTCATTGTGTTGTGTGTTTTCAACTGACAGAGTTGAACTTTCATTTAGAGAGAGCAGATTTGTAACACTGTTTTTGTGGAATTTGCAAGTGGAGATTTCAAGCGCTTTGGGGCCAAAGGCAGAAAAGGAAATATCTTCGTATAAAAACTAGACAGAATCATTCTCAGAAACTGCTCTGCGATGTGTGCGTTCAACTCTCAGAATTTAACTTTTCTTTTCATTCAGCAGTTTGGAAACACTCTGTTTGTAAAGTCTGCACGTGGATAATTTGACCACTTAGAGGCCTTCGTTGGAAACGGGTTTTTTTCATGTAAGGCTAGACAGAAGAATTCCCAGTAACTTCCTTGTGTTGTGTACATTCAACTCACAGAGTTGAACGTTTCCTTAGACAGAGCAGATTTGAAACACTCTTTTTGTGCAATTGGCAAGTGGAGATTTCAAGCGCTTTGAGGTCAATGGCAGAAAAGGAAATATCTTCGTTTCAAAACTAGACAAAATCATTCCCACAAACTGCGTTGTGATGTGTTCGTTCAACTCACAGAGTTTAACCTTTCTGTTCATAGAGCAGTTAGGAAAAACTCTGTTTGTAAAGTCTGTAAGTAGATATTCTGACATCTTGTGGCCTTCTTTGGAAAAGGGATTTCTTCATATTCTGCTAGACAGAAGAATTCTCAGTAACTTTCCTTGTGTTGTGTTTATTCAACTCACAGAGTTGAATGATCCTTTACACAGAGCAGACTTGAAACACTCTTTTTGTGGAATTTGCAAGTGGAGATTTCAGCCGCTTTGAGGTCAATGGTAGAAAAGTAAATATCTTCCTATAAAGACTAGACAGAATGATTCTCAGAAACTCCTTTGTGATGTGTGTGTTCAACTCACAGAGTTTAACCTTTCTTTTCCTAGAGCAGTTAGTAAACACTCTGTTTATAAAGTCTGCAAGTGGATATTCAGACCCCTTTCAGGCCTTCGTTGGAAACGGGATTTCTTCATATTATGCTAGACAGAAGAATTCCCAGTAACTTCCTTGTGTTGTGTGTGTTCAACTCACAGAGTTGAACTTTCATTTACACAGAGCAGATTTGAAACACTCTTTTTGTGGAATTTGCAAGTGGAGATTTCAAGCGCTTTGAGGCCAAAGCAGAAAAGGAAATATCTTCGTTTCGAAACTAGACAGAATCATTCTCAGAAAATGCTCTGTGATGTGTACGTTCAACTCTCAGAGTTTAACTTTTGTTTTCATTCAGCAGTTTGGAAACACTCTGTTTGTAAAGTCTGCACGTGGATATTTTGACCACTTAGAGGCCTTCGTTGGAAACGGGTTTTTTTCATGTAAGGGTAGACAGAAGAATTCTCAGTAACTTCCTTGTGTTGTGTGTATTCAACTCACAGAGTTGAACGATCCTTTACACAGAGCAGACTTGTAACACTCTTTTTGTGGAATTTGCAAGTGGAGACTTCAGCCGCTTTGAAGTCAAAGGTAGAAAAGGAAATATCTTCCTATAAAAACTAGACAGAATCATTCCCACAAACTGCGTTGTGATGCGTTCGTTCAACTCACATAGTTTAACCTTTCTGTTCATAGAGCAGTTAGGAAACACTCTGTTTGTAAAGTCTGCAAGTGGATATTCAGACCTCCTTGAGGCCTTCGTTGGAAACGGGATTTCTTCATATTCTGCTAGACAGAAGAATTCTCAGTAACTTCCTTGTGTTGTGTGTATTCAACTCACAGAGTTGAACGATCCTTTACACAGAGCAGACTTGAAACACTCGATTTGTGGAATTTGCAAGTGGAGATTTCAGCCGCTTTGAGGTCAATGGTAGAAAAGGAAATATCTTCGTATAAAAACTAGACAGAACGATTCTCAGAAACTCCTTTGTGATGTGTGTGTTCAACTCACAGAGTTTAACCTTTCTTTTCATAGAGCAGTTAGTAAACACTCTGTTTATAAAGTCTGCAAGTGGATATTCAGACCCCTTTGAGGCCTTCGTTGGAAACGGGATTTCTTCATATTATGCTAGACAGAAGAATTCTCAGTAACTTCCTTGTGTTGTGTGTATTCAACTCACAGAGTCGAACGATCCTTTACGCAGAGCAGACTTGAAACACTCTTTTTGTGGAATTTGCAAGTGGAGATTTCAGCCGCTTTGAGGTCAATGGTAGAAAAGGAAATATCTTCGTATAAAGACTAGACAGAATGATTCTCAGAAACTCCTTTGTGATGTGTGCGTTCAACTCACAGAGTTTAACCTTTCTTTTCATAGAGCAGTTAGGAAACACTCTGTTTGTAAAGTCTGCAAGTGGATATTCAGACCTCTTTGAGGCCTTCGTTGGAAACGGGATTTCTTCATATTCTGCTAGAGAGAAGAATTCTCAGTAACTTCCTTGTGTTGTGTGTATTCAACTGACAGAGTTGAACTTTCATTTAGAGAGAGCAGATTTGAAACACTGTTTTTGTGGAATTTGCAAATGGAGATTTCAAGCGCTTTGGGGCCAAAGGCAGAAAAGGAAATATCTTCCTATAAAAACTAGACAGAATCATTCTCAGAAACTGCTGCGTGATGTGTGCGTTCAACTCTCAGAGTTTAACTTTTCTTTTCATTCAACGGTTTGGAAACACTCTCTTTGTAAAGTCTGCACGTGGAAATTTTGACCACTTAGAGGCCTTCGTTGGAAACGGGTTTTTTTCATGTAAGGCTAGACAGAAGAATTCCCAGTAACTTCCTTGTGTTGTGTGCATTCAACTCACAGAGTTGAACGTTCCCTTAGACAGAGCAGATTTGAAACACTCTATTTCTGCAATTTGCAAGTGTAGTTTTCAAGCTCTTTAAGGTCAACGGCAGAAAAGGAAATATCATCGTTTCAAAACTAGACAGAATCATTCCCACAAACTGCGTTGTGATGTTTTCGTTCAACTCACAGAGTTTAACCTTTCTTTTCATAGAGCAGTTAGGAAACAGTCTGTTTGTCAATTCTGTAAGTGGATATTCTGACATCTTGTGGCCTTCGTTGGAAACGGGATTTCTTCATATTCTGCTAGACAGAAGAATTCTCAGAATCTTTCCTTGTGTTGTGTGTATTCAACTCACAGAGTTGAACGATCCTTTACACAGAGCAGACTTGAAACACTCTTTTTGTGGAATTTGCAAGTGGAGATTTCAGCCGCTTTGAAGTCCATGGTAGAAAAGGAAATATCTTCGTATAAAAACTAGACAGAATGATTCTCAGAAACTCCTTTGTGATGTGTGCGTTCAACTCACAGAGTTTAACCTTTCTTTTCATAGAGCAGTTAGGAAACCCTCTGTTTGTAAAGTCTGCAAGTGGATATTCAGACCTCTTTGAGGCCTTCGTTGGAAACGGGATTTCTTCATATTCTGCTAGACAGAAGAATTCTCAGAATCTTCCTTGTGTTGTGTGTATTCAACTCACAGAGTTGAACGATCCTTTACACAGAGCAGACTTGAAACACTCTTTTTGTGGAATTTGCAAGTGGAGATTTCAGCCGCTTTGAGGTCCTTGGTAGAAAAGGAAATATCTTCGTATAAAAACTAGACAGAATGATTCTCAGAAACTCCTTTGTGATGTGTGCGTTCAACTCACAGAGTTTAACCTTTCTTTTCATAGAGCAGTTAGGAAACACTCTGTTTGTAAAGTCTGCAAGTGGATATTCAGACCTCTTTGAGGCCTTCGTTGGAAACGGGTTTTTCTCATATAAGGCTAGACAGAAGAATTCTCAGTAACTTCCTTGTGTTGTGTGTATTCAACTGACAGAGTTGAACTTTCATTTAGAGACAGCAGATTTGAAACACTGTTTTTGTGGAATTTGCAAGTGGAGATTTCAAGCGCTTTGGGGCCAAAGGCAGAAAAAGAAATATCTTCGTATAAAAACTAGACAGAATCATTCTCAGAAACTGCTGCGTGATGTGTGCGTTCAACTCTCAGAGTTTAACTTTTCTTTTCATTCAGCGGTTTGGAAACACTCTGTTTGTAAAGACTGCACGTGGATATTTTGACCCCTTAGAGGCCTTCGTTGGAAACGGGTTTTTTTCATGTAAGGCTAGACAGAAGAATTCCCAGTAACTTCCTTGTGTTGTGTGCATTCAACTCACAGAGTTGAACGTACCCTTAGACAGAGCAGATTTGAAACACTCTATTTGTGCAATTTCCAAGTGTAGATTTCAAGCGCTTTAAGGTCAACGGCAGAAAAGGAAATATCTTCGTTTCAAAACTAGACAGAATCATTCCCACAAACTGCGTTGTGATGTGTTCGCTCAACTCACAGAGTTTAACCTTTCTGTTCATAGAGCAGTTAGGAAACACTCTGTTTGTAAAGTCTGTAAGTGGATATTCTGACATCCTTGTGGCCTTCGTTGGAAACGGGATTTCTTCATATTCTGCTAGACAGAAGAATTCTCAGTAACTTCCTTGTGTTGTGTGTATTCAACTCACAGAGTTGAACGATGATTTACACAGAGCAGACTTGAAACTCTCTTTTTGTGGAATTTGCAACTGGAGATTTCAGCCGCTTTGAGGTCAATGGTAGAATAGGAAATATCTTCCTATAGAAACTAGACAGAATGATTCTCAGAAACTCCTTTGTGATGTGTGCGTTCAACTCACAGAGTTCAACCTTTCTTTTCATAGAGCAGTTGGGAAACACTCTGTTTGTAAAGTCTGCAAGTGGATATTCAAACTTCTTTGAGGCCTTCGTTGGAAGCGGGATTTCTTCATATTCTGCTAGACGGAAGAATTCCCAGTAACTTCCTTGTGTTGTGTGTGTTCAACTCACAGAGTTGAACTTTCATTTAAACAGAGCAGATTTGAAACACTCTTTTTGTGGAATTTGCAAATGGAGATTTCAAGCGCTTTGAGGCCAAAGGCAGAAAAGGAAATATCTTCGTTTCAAAACTAGACAGAATCATTCTCAGAAACTGCTCTGTGATGTGTGCGTTCAACTCTCAGAGTTTAACTTTTCTTTTCATTCAGCAGTTTGGAAACACTCTGTTTGTAAAGTCTGCACGTGGATAATTTGACCACTTAGAGGCCTTCGTTGGAAACGGTTTTTTTTCATGTAAGGCTAGACAGAAGAATTCCCAGTAACTTCCTGGTGTTGTGTACATTCAACTCACAGAGTTGAACGTTCCCTTAGACAGAGCAGATTTGAAACACTCTTTTTGTGCAATTGGCAAATGGAGATTTCAAGCGCTTTAAGGTCAATGGCAGAAAAGGAAATATCTTCGTTTCAAAACTAGACAGAATCATTCCCACAAACTGCGTTGTGATGTGTTCGTTCAACTCACAGAGTTTAACCTTTCTGTTCATAGAGCAGTTAGGAAAAACTCTGTTTGTAAAGTCTGTAAGTGGATATTCTGACATCTTGTGGCCTTCGTTGGAAACGGGATTTCTTCATATTCTGCTAGACAGAAGAATTCTCAGTAACTTCCTTGTGTTGTGTGTATTCAACTCACAGAGTTGAACGATCCTTTACACAGAGCAGACTTGAAACACTCTATTTGTAGAATTTGCAAGTGGAGATTTCAGCCGCTTTGAGGTCAGTAGTAGAAAAGGAAATATCTTCGTGGAAAAACTAGACAGAATGATTCTCAGAAACTCCTTTGTGATGTGTGCGTTGAACTCACAGAGTTTAACTTTTCTTTTCATAGAGCAGTTAGGAAACACTATGTTTGTAAAGTCTGCAAGTGGATATTCAGACCTCTTTGAGGCCTTCGTTGGAAACGGGATTTCTTCACATTCTGCTAGACAGAAGAATTCTCAGTAACTTCCTTGTGTTGTGTGTATTCAACTCACAGAGTTGAACGATCCTTTACACAGAGCAGACTTGAATCACTCTTTTTGTGGAATTTGCAAATGGAGATTTCAGCCGCTTTGAGGTCAATAGTAGAAAAGGAAATATCTTCGTAGAAAAACTAGACAGAATCATTCTCAGAAACTGCTCTGCGATGTGTGCGTTCAACTCTCAGAGTTTAACTTTTCTTTTCATTCAGCAGTTTGGAAACACTCTGTTTTTAAAGTCTGCACGTGGATATTTTGACCACTTAGAGGCCTTCGTTGGAAACGGGTTTTTTTCCTGTAAGGCTAGACAGAAGAATTCCCAGTAACTTCCTTGTGTTGTGTGCATTCAACTCACAGCAGTTGAACGTTCCCTTAGACAGAGCAGATTTGAAACACTCTATTTGTGCAATTTGCAAGTGTAGATTTCAAGCGCTTTAAGGTCAATGGCAGAAAAGGAAATATTTTCGTTTCAAAACTAGACAGAATCATTCCCACAAACTGCGTTGTGATGTGTTCGTTCAACTCACAGAGTTTAACCTTTCTGTTCATAGAGCAGTTAGGAAACACTCTGTTTGTAAACTCTGTAAGTGGATATTCTGACATCTTGTGGCCTTCGTTGGAAACGGGATTTCTTCACATTCTGCTAGACAGAAGAATTCTCAGAAACTTCCCTTGTGTTGTGTGTTTTCAACTCACAGAGTTGAACGATCCTTTACACAGAGCAGACTTGAAACACTCCTTTTGTGGAATTTGCAAGTGGAGATTTCAGCCGCTTTGAGGTCAATGGTAGAATAGGAAATATCTTCCTATAGAAAGTAGACAGAATGATTCTCAGAAACTTCATTGTGATGTGTGCGTTCAACTCACAGAGTTTAACCTTTCTTTTCATACAGCAGTTAGGAAACACTCTGTTTGTAAACTCTGCAAGTCGATATTCACACCTCTTTGAGGCCTTCGTTGGAAACGGGATTTCTTCATACTGTGCTAGACAGAAGAATTCTCAGTAACTTCCTTGTGTTGTGTGTATTCAACTCACAGAGTTGAACGATCCTTTACACAGAGAGGACTTGAAACACTCTTTTTGTGGAATTTGCAAGTGGAGATTTCAGCCGCGTTGAGGTCAATGGTAGAAAAGGAAATATCTTCGTATAAAAACTAGACAGAATCATTCTCAGAAAGTGCTCTGCGATGTGTGCGTTCAACTCTCAGAGTTTAACTTTGCTTTTCATTCAGCAGTTTGGAAACACTCTGTTTGTAAAGTCTGCACGTGGATAATTTGACCACTTAGAGGCCTTCGTTGGAAACGGGTTTTTTTCATGTAAGGCTAGACAGAAGAATTCCCAGTAACTTCCTTGTGTTGTGTACATTCAACTCACAGAGTTGAACGTTCCCTTAGACAGAGCAGATTTGAAACACTCTTTTTGTGCAATTGGAAAGTGGAGATTTCAAGCGCTTTAAGGTCAATGGCAGAAAAGGAAATATCTTCGTTTCAAAACTAGACAGAATCATTCCCACAAACTGCGTTGTGATGTGTTCGTTCAACACACAGAGTTTAACCTTTCTTTTCATAGAGCAGTTAGGAAACAGTCTGTTTGTCAATTCTGTAAGTGGATATTCTGACATCTTGTGGCCTTCGTTGGAAACGAGATTTCTTCATATTCTGCTAGACAGAAGAATTCTCAGTAACTACCTTGTGTTGTGTGTATTCAACTCACAGAGTTGAACGATCCTTTACACAGAGCGGACTTGAAACACTCGTTTTGTGGAATTTGCAAGTGGAGATTTCAGCCGCGTTGAGGTCAATGGTAGAAAAGGAAATATCTTCGTATAAAAACTAGACAGAATGATTCTCAGAAACTCCTTTGTGATGTGTGCGTTCAACTCACAGAGTTCAACCTTTCTTTTCATAGAGCAGTTAGGAAACACTCTGTTTGTAAAGTCTGCAAGTGGATATTCAGACTTCTTTGAGTCCTTCGTTGGAAGCGGGATTTCTTCATGTTCTGCTAGACAGAAGAATTCTCAGTAACTTCCTTGTATTGTGTGTATTCAACTCACAGAGTTGAACGATCCTTTACACAGAGCAGACTTGAAACAATCTTTTTGTGGAATTTGCAAGTGGAGATTTCAGCCGCTTTGAGGTCAATGGTAGAATAGGAAATATCTTCCTATAGAAACTAGACAGAGTGATTCTCAGAAACTCCTTTGTGATGTCTGCGTTCAACTCACAGAGTTTAACCTTCCTTTTCATAGAGCAGTTAGGAAACACTCTGTTTGTAAATTCTGCAAGTGGATATTCAGACCTCCTTGAGGCCTTCGTTGGAAACGGGATTTCTTCATATTCTGCTATACAGAAGAATTCTCAGAAACTTCCTTGTGTTGTGTGTTTTCAACTCACAGAGTTCAACGATCCATTACACAGAGTATACTTGAAACACTCTTTTTGTGGAATTGGCAAGTGGAGATTTCAGCCGCTTTGAGGTCAATGGTAGAAAAGGAAATATCTTCGTATAAAAACTAGACAGAATCATTCTCAGAAACTGCTCTGTGATGTGTGCGTTCAACTCTCAGAGTTTAACTTTTCTTTTCATTCAGCAGTTTGGAAACACTCTGTTTGTAAAGTCTGCACGTGGATATTTTGACCACTTAGAGGCCTTCGTTGGAAAAGGGATTTCTTCATATGATGCTAGACAGAAGAATTCCCAGTAACTTCCTTGTGTTGTGTGCATTCAACTCACAGAGTTCAACGTTCCCTTAGACAGAGCAGATTTGAAACACTCTATTTGTGCAATTTGCAAGTGTAGATTTCAAGCGCTTTAAGGTCAATGGCAGAAAAGGAAATATCTTCGTTTCAAAACTAGACAGAATCATTCCCACAAACTGCGTTGTGATGTGTTCGTTCAACTCACAGAGTTTAACCTTTCTGTTCATAGAGCAGTTAGGAAACACTCTGTAAAGTCTGTAAGTGGATATTCTGACATCTTGTGGCCTTCGTTGGAAACGGGATTTCTTCATATTCTGCTAGACAGAAGAATTCTCAGTAACTTCCTTGTGTTGTGTGTATTCAACTCACAGAGTTGAACGATCCTTTACACAGAGCAGACTTGTAACCCTCTTTTTGTGGAATTTGCAAGTGGAGATTTCAGCCGCTTTGAAGTCAAAGGTAGAAAAGGAAATATCTTCCTATAAAAACTAGACAGAATGATTCTCAGAAAATCTTTTGTGATGTGTGCGTTCAACTCAAAGAGTTTAACTTTTCTTCTCATAGAGCAGTTAGGAAACACTCTGTTTGTAAAGTCTGCAAGTGGATATTCAGACCTCTTTGAGGCCTTCGTTGGAAAAGGGATTTCTTCATATTATGCTAGACAGAAGAATTCTCAGTAACTTCCTTGTGTTGTGTGTGTTCAACACACAGAGTTGAACTTTCATTTACACAGAGCAGATTTGAAACACTCTTTTTGTGGAATTTGCAAGTGGAGATTTCAAGCGCTTTGAGGCCAAAGGCAGAAAAGGAAATATCTTCGTTTCAAAACTAGACAGAATCATTCTCAGAAACTGCTGCGTGATGTGTGCGTTCAACTCTCAGAGTTTAACTTTTCTTTTCATTCAGCGGTTTGGAAACAGTCTGTTTGTAAAGTCTGCACGTGGATATTTTGACCACTTAGAGGCCTTCGTTGGAAACGGGTTTTTTGCATGTAAGGCTAGACAGAAGAATTCCCAGTAACTTCCTTGTGTTGTGTACATTCAACTCACAGAGTTGAACATTCCCTTAGACAGAGCAGATTTGAAACACTCTTTTTGTGCAATTGGCAAATGGAGATTTCAAGCGCTTTAAGGTCAATGGCAGGAAAGGAAATATCTTCGTTTCAAAACTAGACAGAATGATTCTCAGAAACTCCTTTGTGATGTGTGCGTTCAACTCACAGAGTTTAACCTTTCTTTTCATAGAGCAGTTAGGAAACACTCTGTTTGTAAAGTCTGCAAGTGGATATTCACACCTCTTTGAGGCCTTCGTTGGAAACGGGATTTCTTCATATTATGCTAGACAGAAGAATTCTCAGTAACTTCCTTGTGTTGTCTGTATTCAACTCACAGAGTTGAACGATCCTTTACACAGAGCAGACTTGAAACACTCTTTTTGTGGAATTTGCAAGTGGAGATTTCAGCCGCTTTGAGGTCAATGGTAGAATAGGAAATATCTTCCTATAGAAACTAGACAGAATGATTCTCAGAAACTCCTTTGTGATGTGTGCGTTCAAGTCACAGAGTTTAACCTTTCTTTTCATAGAGCAGTTAGGAAACACTCTGTTTGTAAAGTCTGCAAGTGGATATTCAGACCTCCTTGAGGCTTTCGTTGGAAACGGGATTTCTTCATATTCTGCTAGACAGAAGAATTCTCAGTAACTTCCTTTTGTTGTGTGTATTCAACTGACAGAGTTGAACTTTCATTTACACAGAGCAGATTTGAAACACTCTTTTTGTGGTATTTGCAAGTGGAGATTTCAGCCGCTTTGATGTCAATGATAGAAAAGGAAATATCTTCATATAAAAATTAGACAGAATGATTCTCAGAAACTTCTTTGTGATGTGTGCGTTCAACTCACAGAGTTTTACCTTTCTTTTCATAGAGCAGTTAGGAAACACTCTGTTTGTAAAGTCTGCAAGTGGATATTCAGACCTCTTTGAGGCCTTCGTTGGAAACGGGATTTCTTCATACTATGCTAGACAGAAGATTTCCCAGTAACTTCCTTGTGTTGTGTGTGTTCAACTCACAGAGTTGAACTTTCATTTACACAGAGCAGATTTGAAACACTCTTTTTGTGGAATTTGCAAATGGAGATTTCAAGCGCTTTGAGGCCAAAGGCAGAAAAGGAAATGCCTTCGTTTCAAAACTAGACAGAATCATTCTCAGAAACTGCTCTGCGATGTGTGCGTTCAACTCTCAGAGTTTAACTTTTCTTTCCATTCAGCAGTTTGGAAACACTCTGGTTGTAAAGTCTGCACGTGGATAACTTGACCACTTAGAGGCCTTCGTTGGAAACGGGTTTTTTTCCTGTAAGGCTAGACAGAAGAATTCCCAGTAACTTCCTTGTGTTGTGTGCATTCAACTCACAGAGATGAACGTTCCCTTAGACAGAGCAGATTTGAAACATTCTATTTGTGCAATTTGCAAGTGTAGATTTCAAGCGCTTTAAGGTCAATGGCAGAAAAGGAAAAATCTTCGTTTCAAAACTAGACAGAATGATTCTCAGAAAATCTTTTGTGATGTGTGCGTTCAACTCACAGAGTTTAACTTTTCTTCTCATAGAGCAGTTAGGAATCACTCTGTTTGTAAACTCTGCAAGTGGATATTCAGACCTCTTTGAGGCCTTCGTTGGAAACGGGATTTCTTCACATTCTGCTAGACAGAAGAATTCTCAGTAACTTCCTTGTGTTGTGTGTATTCAACTCACAGAGTTGAACAATCCTTTACACAGAGCAGACTTGAAACACTCTTTTTGTGGAATTTGCAAGTGGAGATTTCAGGCGCTTTGAGGTCAATGGTAGAAAAGGAAACATCTCCGTATAAAGACTAGACAGAATGATTCTCAGAAACTCCTTTGTGTTGTGTGCGTTCAACTCACAGAGTTTAACCTTTCTTTTCATAGAGCAGTTAGGAAACACTCTGTTTGTAAAGTCTGCAAGTGGATATTCAGACATCTTTGAGGCTTTCGTTGGAAACGGGATTTCTTCATATTCTGCTAGACAGAAGAATTCTCAGTAACTTCCTTGTGTTGTGTGTATTCAACTCACAGAGTTGAACGATCCTTTACATAGAGCAGTCTTGAAACGCTCTTTTTGTGGAATTTGCAAGTGGAGATTTCAGCCGCTTTGAGGTCAATAGTAGAAAAGGAAATATCTTCGTAGAAAAACTAGACAGAATGATTCTCAGAAACTCCTTTGTGATGTGTGCGTTCAACACACAGAGTTTAACCTTTCTTTTCATAGAGCAGTTCGGAAACACTCTGTTTGTAAAGTCTGCAAGTGGATATTCAGACTTCTTTGAGGCCTTCGTTGGAAACGGGATTTCTTCTTATTCTGCTAGACAGAAGAATTCTCAGTAACTTCCTTGTGTTGTGTGTATTCAACTCACAGAGTTGAATGATCCTTTACACAGAGCAGACTTGAAACTCTCTTTTTCTGGAATTTGCAAGTGGAGATTTCAGCCGCTTTGAGGTCAATGGTAGAAAAGTAAATATCTTCGTATAAAGACTAGACAGAATGATTCTCAGAAACTCCTTTGTGATGTGTGCGTTCAACTCACAGAGTTTAACTTTTCTTTTCATAGAGCAGTTAGGAAACACTCTGTTTGTAAAGTCTGCAAGTGGATATTCAGACCTCTTTGAAGCCTTCGTTGGAAACGGGATTTCTTCATATTATGCTAGACAGAAGAATTCTCAGTAACTTCCTTGTGTTGTGTGTATTCAACTGACAGAGTTGAACTTTCATTTTGAGAGAGCAGATTTGAAACACTGTTTTTGTGGAATTTGCAAGTGGAGATTTCAAGCGCTTTTGGGCCAAAGGCAGAAAAGGAAATATCTTCGTATAAAAACTAGACAGAATCATTCTCAGAAACTGCTGCGTGATGTGTGCGTTCAACTCTCAGAGTTTAACTTTTCTTTTCATTCAGCGGTTTGGAAACACTCTGTTTGTAAAGTCTGCAAGTGGATATTTTGACCACTTAGAGGCCTTCGTTGGAAACGGGATTTTTTCATGTAAGGCTAGACAGAAGAATTCCCAGTAACTTCCTTGTGTTGTGTGCATTCAACTCACAGAGTTGAACGTTCCCTTAGACAGAGCAGATTTGAAACACTCTATTTGTGCAATTTGCAAGTGTAGATTTCAAGCGCATTAAGGTCAATGGCAGAAAAGGAAATATCTTCGTTTCAAAATTAGACAGAATCATTCCCACAAACTGCGTTGTGATGTGTTCGTTCAACTCACAGAGTTTAACCTTTCCGTTCATAGAGCAGTTAGGAAACACTCTGTTTGTAAAGTCTGTAAGAGGATATTCTGACATCTTGTGGCCTTCGTTGGAAACGGGATTTCTTCATATTCTGCTAGACAGAAGAATTCTCAGTAACTTCCTTCTGTTGTGTGTATTCAACTCACAGAGTTCAACGATCCTTTACACAGAGCAGACTTGAAACACTCTTTTTGTGGAATTTGCAAGTGGAGATTTCAGCCGCTTTGAGGTCAATGGTAGAAAAGGAAATATCTTCGTATAAAAACTAGACAGAATGATTCTCAGAAACTTCTTTGTGATGTGTGTGTTCAACTCACAGAGTTTAACCTTTCTTTTCATAGAGCAGTTAGGAAACACTGTGTTTTTAAACTCTGCAAGTGGATATTCAGACCTATTTGAGGCCTTCGTTGGAAACGGGATTTCTTCATACTGTGCTAGACAGAAGAATTCTCAGTAACTTCCTTGTGTTGTGTGTATTCAACTCACAGAGTTGAACGATCCTTTACACAGAGCAGACTTGAAACACTCTTTTTGTGGAATTTGCAAGTGGAGATTTCAAGCGCTTTGAGGCCAAAGGCAGAAAAGGAAATATCTTCGTTTAAAAACTAGACAGAATCATTCTCAGAAACTGCTCTGCGATGTGTGCGTTCAACTCTCAGAGTTTAACTTTTCTTTTCATTCAGCAGTTTGGAAACACTCTGTTTGTAAAGTCTGCACGTGGATATTTTGACCACTTAGAGGCCTTCGTTGGAAACGGGTGTTTTTCCTGTAAGGCTAGACAGAAGAATTCCCAGTAACTTCCTTGTTTTGTGTACATTCAACTCACAGAGTTGAACGTTCCCTTAGATAGAGCAGATTTGAAACACTCTTTTTGTGCAATTGGCAAGTGGTGATTTCAACCGCTTTGAGGTCAATGGTAGAAAAGGAAATATCTTCGTATAAAAACTAGACAGAATGATTCCCACAAACTGCGTTGTGATGTGTTCGTACAACTCACAGAGTTTAACCTTTCTGTTCATAGAGCAGTTAGGAAACACTCTGTTTGTAAAGTCTGTAAGTGGATATTCAGAACTCTTTGAGGTCTTCGTTGGAAACGGGATTTCTTCATATTCTGCTAGACAGAAGAATTCTCAGTAACTTCCTTGTGTTGTGTGTATTCTACTCACAGAGTTGAACGATCCTTTACACAGAGCAGTCTTGAAACACTCTTTTTGTGGAATTTGCAAGTGGAGATTTCAGCCGCTTTGAGGTCAATAGTAGAAAAGGAAATATCTTCGTAGAAAAACTAGACAGAATGATTCTCAGAAACTCCTTTGTGACGTGTGCGTTCAACTCACAGAGTTTAACCTTTCTTTTCATAGAGCAGTTAGGAAACACTCTGTTTGTAAAGTCTGCAAGTGGATATTCAGACCTCCTTGAGGCCTTCGTTGGAAACGGGATTTCTTCATATTCTGCTAGACAGAAGAATTCCCAGTAACTTCTTTGTGTTGTGTGTGTTCAACTCACAGAGTTGAACTTTCATTTACACAGAGCAGATTTGAAACACTCTTTTTGTGGAATTTGCAAGTGGAGATTTCAAGCGCTTTGAGGCCAAAGGCAGAAAAGGAAATATCTTCGTATAAAAACTAGACAGAATCATTCTCAGAAACTGCTCTGCGATGTGTGCGTTCAACTCTCAGAGTTTAACTTTTCTTTTCATTCAGCAGTTTGGAAACACTCTGTTTGTAAAGTCTGCACGTGGATATTTTGAACACTTAGAGGCCTTCGTTGGAAACGGGTTTTTTTCCTGTAAGGCTAGACAGAAGAATTCCCAGTAACTTCCTTGTGTTGTGTGCATTCAACTCACAGAGTTGAACGTTCCCTTAGACAGAGCAGATTTGAAACACTCTATTTGTTCAATTTGCAAGTGTAGATTTCAAGCGCTTTAAGGTCAATGGCAGAAAAGGAAATATCTTCGTTTCAAAACTAGACAGAATCATTCCCACAAACAGCGTTGTGATGTGTTCGTTCAACTCACAGAGTTTAACCTTTCTGTTCAGAGAGCAGTTAGGAAACACTCTGTTTGTAAAGTCTGAAAGTGGATATTCAGACATCTTGTGGCCTTCGTTGGAAACGGGATTTCTTCATATTCTGCTAGACAGAAGAATTCTCACTAACTTCCTTGTGTTGTGTGTATTCAACTCACAGAGTTGAACGATCCTTTACACAGAGCAGACTTGAAACACTCTTTTTGTGGAATTTGCAAGTGGAGATTTCAGCCGCTTTGAGGTCAATAGTAGAAAAGGAAATATCTTCGTAGAAAAACTAGACAGAATGATTCTCAGAAACTCCTTTGTGATGTGTGTGTTCAACTCACAGAGTTTAACCTTTCTTTTCATAGAGCAGTTAGGAAACACTCTGTTTGTAAAGTCTGCAAGTGGATATTCAGACCTCGTTTGAGGCCTTCGTTGGAAACTGGATTTCTTCATATTCTGCTAGACAGAAGAATTCTCAGTAACTTCCTTGTGTTGTGTGTATTCAACTGACAGAGTTGAACTTTCATTTAGAGAGAGCTGATTTGAAACACTGTTTTTGTGGAATTTGCAAGTGGAGATTTCAAGCGCTTTGGGGCCAAAGGCAGAAAAGGAAATACCTTCGTATAAAAACTAGACAGAATCATTCTCAGAAACTGCTCTGCGATGTGTGTGTTCAACTCTCAGAGTTTAACTTTTCTTTTCATTCAGCAGTTTGGAAACACTCTGTTTGTAAAGTCTGCACGTGGATATTTTGACCACTTAGAGGCCTTCGTTGGAAACGGGTTTTTTTCATGTAAGGCTATACAGAAGAATTCCCAGTAACTTCCTTGTGTTGTGTACATTCAACTCACAGAGTTGAACGTTCCCTTAGACAGAGCAGATTTGAAATACTCTTTTTGTGCAATTGGCAAGTGGAGATTTCAAGCGCTTTAAGGTCAATGGCAGAAAAGGAAATATCTTCGTTTCAAAACTAGACAGAATCATTCCCACAAACTGCGTTGTGATGTGTTCGTTCAACTCACAGAGTTTAACCTTTCTGTTCATGGAGCAGTTAGGAAACACTCTGTTTGTAAAGTCTGTAAGTGGATATTCTGACATCTTGTGGCCTTCGTTGGAAACGGGATTTCTTCATATTCTGCTAGACGGAAGAATTCTCAGTAACTTCCTTGTGTTGTGTGTATTCAACTCACAGAGTTGAACGATCCTTTACACAGAGCAGACTTGAAACACCCTTTTTGTGGAATTTGCAAGTGGAGATTTCAGCCGCTTTGAGGTCAATAGTAGAAAAGGAAATATCTTCGTAGAAAAACTAGACAGAATGATTCTCAGAAACTCCTTAGTGATGTGTGCGTTCAACTCACAGAGTTTAACTTTTCTTTTCATAGAGCAGTTAGGAAACACTCTGTTTGTAAAGTCTGCAAGTGGATATTCAGACCTCTTTGAGGCCTTCGTTGGAAACGGGATTTCTTCATATTCTGCTAGACAGAAGAATTCTCAGTAACTTCCTTGTGTTGTGTGTATTCAACTCACAGAGTTGAACGATCCTTTACACAGAGCAATCTTGAAACATTCTTTTTGTGGAATTTGCAAGTGGAGATTTCAGCCGCTTTGAGGTCAATGGTAGAATAGGAAATATCTTCCTATAGAAACTAGACAGAATCATTCTCAGAAACTGCTCTGCGATGTGTGCGTTCAACTCTCAGAGTTTAACTTTTCTTTTCATTCAGCAGTTTGGAAACACTCTGTTTGTAAAGTCTGCACGTGGATATTTTGACCACTTAGAGGCCTTCGTTGGAAACGGGTTTTCTTCCTGTAAGGCTAGACAGAAGAATTCCCAGTAACTTCCTTGTGTTGTGTACATTCAACTCACAGAGTTGAACGTTCCCTTAGACAGAGCAGATTTGAAACACTCTTTTTGTGCAATTGGCAAGTGGTGATTTCAGCTGCTTTGGGGTCAATGGTAGAAAAGGGAATATCTTCGTATAAAAACTAGACAGAATGATTCTCAGAAACTCCTTTGTGATGTGTGCGTTCAACTCACAGAGTTTAACCTTTCTTTTCATAGAGCAGTTAGGAAACACTCTGTTTGTAAAGTCTGCAAGTGGATATTCAGACCTCTTTGAGGCCTTCGTTGGAAACGGGATTTCTTCATATTCTACTAGACAGAAGAATTCTCAGTAACTTCCTTGTGTTGTGTGTATTCAACTCACAGAGTTGAACGATCCTTTACACAGAGCAAACTTGAAACACTCTTCTTGTGGAATTTGCAAGTGGAGATTTCAGCCGCTTTGAGGTCAATTGTAGAATAGGAAATATCTTCCTATAGAAACTAGACAGAATGATTCTCAGAAACTCCCTTGTGATGTGTGCGTTCAACTCACAGAGTTTTAGCTTTCTTTTCATAGAGCAGTTAGGAAACACTCTGTTTGTAATGTCTGCAAGTGGATATTCAGACCTCTTTGAGGCCTTCATTGGAAACGGGATTTCTTCATATTATGCTAGACACAAGAATTCTCAGTAACTTGCCTTGTGTTGTGTGTATTCAACTCACAGAGTTGAACGATCCTTTACACAGAGCAGACTTGAAACACTCTTTTTGTGGAATTTGCAAGTGGAGATTTCAGCCGCTTTGAGGTCAATGGTAGAATAGGAAATATCTTCCTATTGAAACTAGACAGAATGATTCTCAGAAACGCCTTTGTGATGTGTGTGTTCAACTCACAGAGTTTAACCTTTCTTTTCATAGAGCAGTTAGGAAACACTCTGTTGGTAAAGTCTGCAAGTGGATATTCAGACCTCTTTGAGGCCTTCGTTGGAAACGGGATTTCTTCATACTGTGCTAGACAGAAGAATTCTCAGTAACTTCCTTGTGTTGTGTGTATTCAACTCACAGAGTTGAACGATCCTTTACACAGAGCGGAATTGAAACACTCTTTTTGTGTAATTTGCAAGTGGAGATTTCAGCCGCGTTGAGGTCAATGGTAGAAAAGGAAATCTCTTCGTATAAAAACTAGACAGAATCACTCTCAGAAACTGCTCTGCGATGTGTGCGTTCAACTCTCAGAGTTTAACTTTTCTTTTCATTCAGCAGTTTGGAAACACTCTGTTTGTAAAGTCTGCACGTGGATATTTTGACCTCTCAGAGGTCTTCGTTGGAAACGGGTTTTTTTCCTGTAAGGCTAGACAGAAGAATTCCCAGTAACTTCCTTGTGTTGTGTACATTCAACTCACAGAGTTGAACGTTCCCTTAGACAGAGCAGATTTGAAACACTCTTTTTGTGCAATTGGCAAATGGAGATTTCAAGCGCTTTAAGGTCAATGGCAGGAAAGGAAATATCTTCGTTTCAAAACTAGACAGAATGATTCTCATAAACTCCTTTGTGATGTGTGCATTCAACTCACGGAGTTTCACCTTTCTTTTCATAGAGCAGTTAGGAAACACTCTGTTTGTAAAGTCTGTAAGTGGATATTCTGACATCTTGTGGCCTTCGTTGGAAACGGGATTTCTTCATATTCTGCTAGACAGAAGAATTCTCAGTAACTTCCTTGTGTTGTGTGTATTCAACTCACAGAGTTGAACGATCCTTTACACAGAGCATACTTGAAACACTCTTCTTGTGGAATTTGCAAATGGAGATTTCAGCCGCTTTGAGGTCCATGGTAGAATAGGAAATATCTTCCTATAGAAACTAGACAGAATGATTCTCAGAAACTCCTTTGTGATGTCTGCGTTCAACTCACAGAGTTTAACCTTTCTTTTCATAGAGCAGTTAGGAAACACTCTGTTTGTAAAGTCTGGAAGTGGATATTCAGACCTCCTTGAGGCCTTCGTTGGAAACGGGATTTCTTCATATTATGCTAGATAGAAGAATTCTCAGTAACTTCCTTGTGTTGTGTGTATTCAACTGACAGAGTTGAACTTTCATTTAGAGAGAGCAGATTTGAAACACTGTTTTTGTGGAATTTGCAAGTGGAGATTTCAAGCGCTTTGGGGCCAAAGGCAGAAAAAGAAATATCTTCGTATAAAAACTAGACAGAATCATTCTCAGAAACTGCTCTGTGATGTGTGCGTTCAACTCTCAGAGTTTAACTTTTCTTTTCATTCAGCAGTTTGGAAACAATCTGTTTGTAAAGTCTGCACGTGGATATTTTGACCACTTAGAGGCCTTCGTTGAAAACGGGTTTCTTTCATGTAAGGGGAGACAGAAGAATTCCCAGTAACTTCCTTGTGTTGTGTGCATTCAACTCACAGAGTTGAACGTTCCCTTAGACAGAGCAGATTTGAAACACTCTATTTGTGCATTTTGCAAGTGTAGATTTCAAGCGCTTTAAGGTCAATGGCAGAAAAGGAAATATCTTCGTTTCAAAACTAGACAGAATCATTCCCACAAACTGCGTTGTGATGTGTTCGTTCAACTCACAGAGTTTAACCTTTCTTTTCATAGAGCAGTTAGGAAAAATTCTGTTTGTAAATTCTGTAAGTGGATATTCTGTAATCTTGTGGCCTTCGTTGGAAACGGGCTTTCTTCATATTCTGCTAGACAGAAGAATTCTCAGTAACTTCCTTGTGTTGTGTGTATTCAACTCACAGAGTTGAACGATCCTTTACACAGAGCAGACTTGAAACACTCTTTTTGTGGAATTTGCAAGTGGAGATTTCAGCCGCGTTGAGGTCAATGGTATAAAAGGAAATATCTTCGTATAAAAACTAGACAGAATGATTCTCAGAAACTCCTTTGTGATGTGTGCGTTCAACTCACAGAGTTTAACCTTTCTTTTCATAGAGCAGTTAGGCAACACTCTGTTTGTAAACTCTGCAAGTGGATATTCAGACCTCTTTGAGGCCTTCGATGGAAACGGGATTTCTTCATACTATGCTGGAGAGAAGAATTCTCAGTAACTTCCTTGTGTTGTGTGTATTCAACTCACAGAGTTGAACGATCCTTTACACAGAGCAGACTTGAAACACTCTTTTTGTGGAATTTGCAAGTGGAGATTTCAGCCGCTTTGAGGTCAATGGAAGAAAAGGAAATATCTTCGTATAAAAACTAGACAGAATCATTCTCAGAAACTGCTCTGCGATGTGTGCGTTCAACTCTCAGAGTTTAACTTTTCTTTTCATTCAGCAGTGTGGAAACACTCTGTTTGTAAAGTCTGCACGTGGATATTTTGACCACTTAGAGGCCTTCGTTGGAAAAGGGTTTTTTTCCTGTAAGGCTAGACAGAAGAATTCCCAGTAACTTCCCTTGTGTTGTGTACATTCAACTCACAGAGTTGAACGTTCCCTTAGACAGAGCAGATTTGAAACACTCTTTTTGTGCAATTGGCAAGTGGAGATTACAAGCGCTTTAAGGTCAATGGCAGAAAAGGAAATATCTTCGTTTCAAAACTAGACAGAATCATTCCCACAAACTGCGTTGTGATGTGTTCGTTCAACTCACAGAGTTTAACCTTTCTATTCATAGAGCAGTTAGGAAACACTCTGTTTGTAAAGTCTGTAAGTGGATATTCTGACATCTTGTGGCATTTGTTGGAAACGGGATTTCTTCATATTCTGCTAGACAGAATAATTCTCAGTAACTTCCTTGTGTTGCGTGTATTCAACTCACAGAGTTGAACGATCCTTTACAGAGAGCAGACTTGAAACACTCTTTTTGTGGAATTTGCAAGTGGAGATTTCAGCCGCTTTGAGGTCAATGATAGAATAGGAAATATCTTCCTATAGAAACTAGACAGAATGATTCTCAGAAACTCCTTTGTGTTGTGAGCGTTCAACTCACAGAGTTTAACCTTTCTTTTCATAGAGCAGTTAGGAAACACTCTGTTTATAAAGTCTGCAAGTGGATATTCAGACCCCTTTGAGGCCTTCGTTGGAAACGGGATTTCTTCATATTATGCTAGACAGAAGAATTCTCAGTAACTTCCTTGTGTTGTGTGTATTCAACTGACAGAGTTGAACTTTCATGTAGAGAGAGCAGATTTGAAACACTGTTTTTGTGGAATTTGCAAGTGGAGATTTCAAGCGCTTTGGGGCCAAAGGCAGAAAAGGAAATATCTTCGTATAAAACTAGACAGAATCATTCTCAGAAACTGCTCTGTGATGTGTGCGTTCAACTCTCAGAGTTTAACTTTTCTTTTCATTCAGCAGTTTGGAAACACTCTGTTTGTAAAGTCTGCACGTGGATAATTTGACCACTTAGAGGCCTTCGTTGGAAACGGGTTTTTTTCATGTAAGGCTAGACAGAAGAATTCCCAGTAACTTCCTTGTGTTGTGTGCATTCAACTCACAGAGTTGAACGTTCCCTTAGACAGAGCAGATTTGAAACACTCTATTTGTGCAATTTCCAAGTGTAGTTTTCAAGCTCTTTGAGGTCAACGGCAGAAAAGGAAATATCTTCGTTTCAAAACTAGACAGAATCATTCCCACAAACTGCGTTGTGATGTGTTCGTTCAACTCACAGAGATTAACCTTTCTTTTCATAGAGCAGTTAGGAAACACTCTGTTTGTAAATTCTGTAAGTGGATATTCTGACATCTTGTGGCCTTTGTTGGAAACGGGATTTCTTCATATTCTGCTAGACACAAGAATTCTCAGTAACTTCCTTGTGTTGTGTGTATTCAACTCACAGAGTTGAACGATCCTTTACAGAGGGCAGACTTGAAACACTCTTTTTGTGGAATTTGCAAGTGGAGATTTCAGCCGTTTTGAGGTCAATGGTAGAAAAGGAAATATCTTCGTATAAAGACTAGACAGAATGATTCTCAGAAACTCCTTTGTGATGTGTGCGTTCAACTCACAGAGTTTAACTTTTCTTTTCATAGAGCAGTTAGGAAACACTCTGTTTGTAAAGTCTGCAAGTGGATATTCAGACCTCTTTGAGGCCTTCGATAGAAACGGGATTTCTTCATATTCTGCTAGACAGAGGAATTCTCAGTAACTTCTTTGTGTTGTGTGTATTCAACTCACAGAGTTGAACGATCCTTTACACAGAGCAGACTTGAAACACTCTTTTTGTGGAATTTGCAATTGGAGATTTCAGCCGCTTTGAGTTCAAGGGTAGAATAGGAAATATCTTCCTATAGAAACTAGACAGAATGATTCTCAGAAACTCCTTTGTGATGTGTGCGTTCAACTCACAGAGTTCAACCTTTCTTTTCATAGAGCAGTTGGGAAACACTCTGTTTGTAAAGTCTGCAAGTGGATATTCAGACTTCTTTGAGACCTTCGTTGGAAGCGGGATTTCTTCATATTCTGCTAGACAGAATAATTCTCAGTAACTTCCTTGTGTTGTGTGTATTCAACTCACAGAGTTGAACGATCCTTTACACAGAGCAGACTTGAAACATTCTTTCTGTGGAATTTGCAAGTGGAGATTTCAGCCGCTTTGAGGTCAATGGTAGAATAGGAAATATTTTCCTATAGAAACTAGACAGAATGATTCTCAGAAACTCCTTTGTGATGTGTGCGTTCAACTCACAGAGTTTAACTTTTCTTTTCATAGAGCAGTTAGGAAACACTCTGTTTGTAAAGTCTGCAAGTGGATATTCAGACCTCTTTGAGGCCTTCGTTGGAAACGGGATTTCCTCATATTATGCTAGACAGAAGAATTCTCAGTAACTTCCTTGTGTTGTGTGTATTCAACTGACAGAGTTGAACTTTCATTTAGAGAGAGCAGATTTGAAACACTGTTTTTGTGGAATTTGCAAGTGGAGATTTCATGCGCTTTGGGGCCAAAGGCAGAAAAGGAAATATCTTCGTATAAAAACTAGACAGAATCATTCTCAGAAAGTGCTCTGCGATGTGTGCGTTCAACTCTCAGAGTTTAACTTTGCTTTTCATTCAGCAGTTTGGAAACACTCTGTTTGTAAAGTCTGCACGTGGATAATTTGACCACTTAGAGGCCTTCGTTGGAAACGGGTTTTTTTCATGTAAGGCTAGACAGAAGAATTCCCAGTAACTTCCTTGTGTTGTGTACATTCAACTCACAGAGTTGAACGTTCCCTTAGACAGAGCAGATTTGAAACACTCTTTTTGTGCAATTGGCAAATGGAGATTTCAAGCGCTTTAAGGTCAATGGCAGAAAAGGAAATATATTCGTTTCAAAACTAGACAGAATCATTCCCACAAACTGCGTTGTGATGTGTTCGTTCAACTCACAGAGTTTAACGTTTCCGTTCATAGAGCAGTTAGGAAACACACTGTTTGTAAAGTCTGTAAGTGGATATTCTGACATCTTGTGGCCTTCGTTGGAAACGGGATTTCTTCATATTCTGCTAGACAGAAGAATTCTCAGTAACTTCCTTGTGTTGTGTGTATTCAACTCACAGAGTTGAACGATCCTTTACACAGAGCAGACTTGAAACACTCTTTCTGTGGAATTTGCAAGTGGAGATTTCAGCCGCTTTGAGGTCAATAGTAGAAAAGGAAATGTCTTCGTAGAAAAACTAGACAGAGTGATTCTCAGAAACTCCTTTGTGATGTCTGCGTTTAACTCACAGAGTTTAACCTTTCTTTTCATAGAGCAGTTAGGAAACACTCTGTTTGTAAAGTCTGCAAGTGGATATTCAGACCTCCTTGAGGCCTTCGTTGGAAACGGGATTTCTCCATATTATGCTGGACAGAAGAATTCTCAGTAACTTTCTTGTGTTGTGTGTATTCAACTGACAGAGTTGAACTTTCATTTAGAGAGACCAGATTTGAAACACTGTTTTTGTGGAATTTGCAAGTGGAGATTTCAAGCGCTTTGGGGCCAAAGGCAGAAAAGGAAATATCTTCGTATAAAAACTAGACAGAATCATTCTCAGAAACTGCTGCGTGATGTGTGCGTTCACCTCTCAGAGTTTAACTTTTCTTTTCATTCAGCGGTTTGGAAACACTCTGTTTGTAAAGTCTGCACGTGGAAATTTTGACCACTTAGAGGCCTTCGTTGGAAACGGGTTTTTTTCATGTAAGGCTAGACAGAAGCAATTCCCAGGAACTTCCTTGTGTTGTGTACATTCAACTCACAGCAGTTGAACGTTCCCTTAGACAGAGCAGATTTGAAACACTCTTTTTGTGCAATTGGCAAGTGGTGATTTCAGCCGCTTTGAGGTCAATGGTAGAAAAGGAAATATCTTCGTATAAAAACTAGACAGAATCATTCCCACAAACTGCGTTGTGATGTGTTCGTTCAACTCACAGAGTTTAACCTTTCTGTTCATAGAGCAGTTAGGAAACACTCTGTTTGTAAAGTCTGCCAGTGGATATTCAGACCTCCTTGAGGCCTTCGTTGGAAACGGGATTTCTTCATATTCTGCTAGACAGAAGAATTCTCAGAATCTTCCTTGTGTTGTGTGTATTCAACTCACACAGTTGAACGATGGTTTACACAGAGCAGATTTGAAACACTCTTTTTGTGGAATTTGCAAGTGGAGATTTCAGCCGCTTTGAGGTCAATGGTAGAAAAGGAAATATCTTCGTATAACAACTAGACAGAATGATTCTCATAAACTCCTTTGGGATGTGTGCGTTCAACTCACAGAGTTTAACCTTTCTTTTCATAGAGCAGTTAGGAAACACTCTGTTTGTAAAGTCTGCAAGTGGATATTCAGACCTCTTTGAGGCCTTCGTTGGAAACGGGATTTCTTCATATTCTGCTAGACAGAAGAATTCCCAGTAACTTCCATGTGTTGTGTGTGTTCAACTCACAGAGTTGAACTTTCATTTACACAGAGCAGATTTGAAACACTCTTTTTGTGGAATTTGCAAATGGAGATTTCAAGCGCTTTGAGGCCAGAGGCAGAAAAGGAAATATCTTCGTATAAAAACTAGACAGAATCACTCTCAGAAACTGCTCTGTGATGTGTGCGTTCAACTCTCAGAGTTTAACTTTTCTTTTCATTCAGCAGTTTGGAAACACTCTGTTTGTAAAGTCTGCACGTGGATATTTTGACCACTTAGAGGCCTTCTTTGGAAACGGGTTTTTTTCATGTAAGGATAGACAGAAGAATTCCCAGTAACTTCCTTGTGTTGTGTGCATTCAACTCACAGAGATGAACGTTCCCTTAGACAGAGCAGATTTGAAACACTCTATTTGTGCAATTTGCAAGTGTAGATTTCAAGGGCTTTAAGGTCGATGGCAGAAAAGGAAATATCTTCGTTTCAAAACTAGACAGAATGATTCTCAGAAACTCCTTTGTGATGTGTGCGTTCAACTCACAGAGTTTAACCTTTCTTTTCATAGAGCAGTTAGGAAACACTCTGTTTGTAAAGTCTGCAAGTGGATATTCAGACATCTTTGAGGCCTTCTTTGGAAACGGGATTTCTTCATGTTCTGCTAGACAGAAGAATTCTCAGAAACTTCCTTGTGTTGTGTGTTTTCAACTCACAGAGTTGAACGATGCTTTACACAGAGTAGACTTGAAACACTCTTTTTGTGTAATTTGCAAGTGGAGATTTCAGCCGCTTTGAGAGTCAATGGTAGAAAAGGAAATATCTTCGTATAAAAACTAGGCAGAATGATTCTAAGAAACTTCTTTGTGATGTGTGCGTTCAACTCACAGAGTTTAACCTTTCTTTTCATAGAGCAGTTAGGAAACACTCTGTTTGTAAACTCTGCAAGTGGATATTCAGACCTCTTTGAGGCCTTCGTTGGAAACGGGATTTCTCCATACTGTGCGAGACAGAAGAATTCTCGGTAACTTCCTTGTGTTGTGTGTATTCAACTGACAGAGTTGAAATTTCATTTAGAGAGAGCAGATTTGAAACACTGTTTTTGTGGAATATGCAAGTGGAGATTTCAAGCGCTTTGGGGCCAAGGGCAGAAAAGGAAATATCTTCGTATAAAAACTAGACAGAATCATTCTCAGAAACTGCTGCGTGATGTGTGCGTTCAACTCTCAGAGTTTAACTTTTCTTTTCATTCAGCGGTTTGGAAACACTCTGTTTGTAAAGTCTGCACGTGGATATTTTGACCACTTAGAGGCCTTCGTTGGAAACGGGTTTTTTTTCATGTAAGGCTAGACAGAAGAATTCCCAGTAACTTCCTTGTGTTGTGTACATTCAACTCACAGAGTTGAACGTTCCCTTAGACAGAGCAGATTTGAAACACTCTTTTTGTGCAATTGGCAAGTGGAGATTTCAAGCGCTTTGAGGTCAATGGCAGAAAAGGAAATATCTTCGTTTCAAAACTAGACAGAATCATTCCCACAAACTGCATTGTGATGTGTTCGTTCAACTCACAGAGTTTAACCTTTCTTTTCATAGAGCAGTTAGGAAACAGTCTGTTTGTAAATTCTGTAAGTGGATATTCTGACATCTTGTGGCCTTCGTTGGAAACGGGATTTCTTCATATTCTGCTAGACAGAAGAATTCTCAGTAACTTCCTTGTGTTGTGTGTATTCAACTCACGGAGTTGAACGATCCTTTACACAGAGCAGACTTGAAACACTCTTTTTGTGGAATTTGCAAGTGGAGATTTCAGCCGCTTTGAGGTCTATAGTAGAAAAGGAAATATCTTCATAGAAAAACTAGACAGAATGATTCTCAGAAACTCCTTTGTGATCTGTGCGTTCAACTCACAGAGTTTAACCTTTCTTTTCATAGAGCAGTTAGGAAACACTCTGCTTGTAAAGTCTGCAAGTGGATATTCAGCCCTCTTTGAGGCCTTCGTTGGAAACGGGTTTTTTTCATATAAGGCTAGACAGAAGAATTCTCAGTAACTTCCTTGTGTTGTGTGTATTCAACTCACAGAGTTGAACGATCCTTTACACATAGCAGACTTGAAACACTCTTTTTGTGGAATTTGCAAGTGGAGATTTCAGCCGCTATGGGGTCAATGGTAGAATAGGAAATATCTTCCTATAGAAACTAGACAGAATGATTCTCAGAAACTCCTTTGTGATGTGTGCGTTCAACTCACAGAATTTAACATTTCCTTTCATAGAGCAGTTAGGAAACACTCTGTTTGTAAAGTCTGCAAGTGGATATTCAGACCTCTTTGAGGCCTTCGTTGGAAACGGGATTTCTTCATATTCTGCTAGACAGAAGAATTCCCAGTAACTTCCTTGTGTTGTGTGTGTTCAACTCACAGAGTTGAACTTTCATTTACACAGAGCAGATTTGAAACACTCTTTTTGTGGAATTTGCAAGTGGAGATTTCATGCGCTTTGAGGCCAAAGGCAGAAAAGGAAATATCTTCGTATAAAAACTAGACAGAATCATTCTCAGAAACTGCTCTGCGATGTGTGCGTTCAACTCTCACAGTTTAACTTTTCTTTTCATTCAGCAGTTTGGAAACACTCTGTTTGTAAAGTCTGCACGTGGATAATTTGACCACTTAGAGGCCTTCGTTGGAAACGGGTTTTTTTCATGTAAGGCTAGACAGAAGAATTCCCAGTAACTTCCTTGTGTTGTGTGCATTCAACTCACAGAGTTCAACGTTCCCTTAGACAGAGCAGATTTGAAACACTCTATTTGTGCAATTTGCAAGTGTAGATTTCAAGCGCTTTAAGGTCAACGGCAGAAAAGGAAATATCTTCGTTTCAAAACTAGACAGAATCATTCCCACAAACTGCGTTGTGATGTGTTAGTTCAACTCACAGAGTTTAACCTTTCTTTTCATAGAGCAGTTAGGAAACAGTCTGTTTGTCAATTCTGTAAGTGGATATTCTGACATCTTGTGGCCTTCGTTGGAAACGGGATTTCTTCATATTCTGCTAGACAGAAGAATTCTCAGTAACTTCCTTGTGTTGTGTGTATTCAACTCACAGAGTTGAACGATCCTTTACACAGAGCAGACTTGAAACACTCTTTTTGTGGATTTGCAAGTGGAGATTTCAGCCGCTTTGAGGTCAATGGTAGAATAGTAAATATCTTCCTGTAGAAACAAGAGAGAATGATTCTCAGAAACTCCTTTGTGATGTGTGCGTTCAACTCACAGAGTTTAACCTTTCTTTTCATAGAGCAGTTAGGAAACACTCTGTTTGTAAAGTCTGCAAGTGGATATTCAGACCTCTTTGAGGCCTTCGTTGGAAACGGGAATTCTTCATATTATGCTAGACAGAAGAATTCCCAGTAACTTCCTTGTGTTGTGTGTGTTCAACTCACAGAGTTGAACTTTCATGTACACAGAGCAGATTTGAAACACTCTTTTTGTGGAATTTGCAAGTGGAGATTTCAAGCGCTTTGAGGCCAAAGGCAGAAAAGGAAATATCTTCGTATAAAAACTAGACAGAATCATTCTCAGAAACTGCTCTGCGATGTGTGCGTTCAACTCTAAGAGTTTAACTTTTCTTTTCATTCAGCAGTTTGGAAACACTCTGTTTGTAAAGTCTGTACGTGGATAATTTGACCACTTAGAGGCCTTCGTTGGAAAAGGGTTTTTTTCATGTAAGGATAGACAGAAGAATTCCCAGTAACTTCCTTGTGTTGTGTACATTCAACTCACAGAGTTGAACGTTCCCTTAGACAGAGCAGATTTGAAACACTCTTTTTGTGTAATTGGCAAGTGGAGATTTCAAGCGCTTTAAGGTCAATGGCAGAAAAGGAAATATCTTCGTTTCAAAACTAGACAGAATCATTCCCACAAACTGCGTTGTGATGTGTTCGTTCAACTCACAGAGTTTAACCTTTCTTTTCATAGAGCAGTTAGGAGACACTCTGTTTGTAATGTCTGCAAGTGGATATTCAGACCTCTTTGAGGCCTTCGTTGGAAACGGGATTTCTTCATATTATGCTACACAGAAGAATTCTCAGTAACTTCCTTGTGTTTTGTGAATTCAACTCACAGAGTTGAACGATCCTATACACAGAGCAGACTTGAAACACTCTTTTTGTGGAATTTGCAAGTGGAGATTTCAGCCGCTTTGTGGTCAATAGTAGAATAGGAAATATCTTCCTATAGAAACTAGACAGAATGATTCTCAGAAACTCCTTTGTGATGTGTGCGTTCAACTCACAGAGTTTAACCTTTCTGTTCATAGAGCAGTTAGGAAACACTCTATTTGTAAAGTCTGCAAGTGGATATTCAGACCTCTTTGAGGCCTTCGTTGGAAACGGGATTTCTTCATATTCTGCTAGACAGAAGAATTCTCAGTAACTTCCTTGTGTTGTGTGTATTCAACTGACAAGAGTTGAACTTTCATTTGGAGAGAGCAGATTTGAAACACTGTTTTTGTGGAATTTGCAAGTGGAGATTTCAAGCGCTTTGGGGCCAAAGGCAGAAAAGGAAATATCTTCGTATAAAAACTAGACAGAATCATTCTCAGAAACTGCTCTGCGATGTGTGCGTTCAACTCTCAGAGTTTAACTTTGCTTTTCATTCAGCAGTTTGGAAACACTCTGTTTGTAAAGTCTGCACGTGGATAATTTGACCACTTAGAGGCCTTCGTTGGAAACGGGTTTTTTTCATGTAAGGCTGGACAGAAGAATTCCCAGTAACTTCCTTGTGTTGTGTACATTCAACTCACAGAGTTGAACGTTCCGTTAGACAGAGCAGACTTGTAACACTCTTTTTGTGGAATTTGCAAGTGGAGTTTTCAGCCGCTTTTAAGTCAATGGTAGAAAAGGTAATATCTTCCTATAAAAACTAGACAGAATGATTCTCAGAAACTCCTTTGTGATGTGTGCGTTCAACTCACAGAGTTTAACCTTTCTTTTCATAGAGCAGTTAGGAAACACTCTGTTTGTTAAGTCTGCAAGTGGATATTCAGTCCTCTTTGAGGCCTTCGTTGGAAACGGGATTTCTTCATATTATGCTAGACAGAAGAATTCTCAGTAACTTCATTGTGTTGTGTGTATTCAACTCACAGATTTCAACGATCCTTTACACAGAGCAGACTTGAAACACTCTTTTTGTGGAATTTGCAAGTGGAGATTTCAGCCGCTTTGAGGTCAATGGTAGAATAGGAAATATCTTCCTATAGAAACTAGACAGAATGATTCTCATAAACTCCTTTGTGATGTGTGCGTTCAACTCACAGAGTTTAACCTTTCCTTTCATAGAGCAGTTAGGAAACACTCTGTTTGTAAAGTCTGCAAGTGGATATTCAGACCTCCTTGAGGCCTTCGTTGGAAACGGGATTTCTTCATATTCTGCTAGACAGAAGAATTCCCAGTAACTTCCTTGTGTTGTGTGTGTTCTACTCACAGAGTTGAACTTTGATTTACACAGAGCAGATTTGAAACACTCTTTTTGTGGAATTTGGAAGTGGAGATTTCAAGCGCTTTGAGGCCAAAGGCAGAAAAGGAAATATCTTCGTATAAAAACTAGACAGAATCATTCTCAGAAACTGCTCTGCGATGTGTGCGTTGAACTCTCAGAGTTTAACTTTTCTTTTCATTCAGCAGTTTGGAAACACTCTGTTTGTAAAGTCTGTACGTGGATATTTTGACCACTTAGAGGCCTTCGTTGGAAACGGGTTTTTTTCCTGTAAGGCTAGACAGAAGAATTCCCAGTAACTTCCTTGTGTTGTGTGCATTCAACTCACAGAGTTGAACGTTCCCTTAGACAGAGCAGATTTGAAACACTCTATTTGTGCAATTTGCAAGTGTAGTTTTCAAGCTCTTTAAGGTCAACGGCAGAAAAGCAAATATCTTCGTTTCAAAACTAGACAGAATGATTCTCAGAAACTCCTTTGTGATTTGTGCGTTCAACTCACAGAGTTTAACTTTTCTTTTCATAGATCAGTTAGGAAACACTCTGTTTGTAAAGTCTGCAAGTGGATATTCAGACCTCTTTGATGCCTTCGTTGGAAACGGGATTTCTTCATATTATGCTAGACAGAATAATTCTCAGTAACTTCCTTGTGTTGTGTGTATTCAACTCACAGAGTTGAACGATCCTTTAGAGAGAGCAGACTTGAAACACTCTTTTTGTGGTATTTGCAAGTGGAGATTTCAGCCGCTTTGTGGTCAATGGTAGAAAAGGAAACTATCATCGTATAAAGACTAGACAGAATGATTCTCAGAAACTCCTTTGTGATGTGTGTGTTCAACTCACAGAGTTTAACCTTTCTTTTCATAGAGCAGTTAGGAAACACTCTGTTTGTAAAGTCTGCAAGTGGATATTCAGACCTCTTTGAGGCCTTCGTTGGAAACGGGTTTTTTTCATATAAGGCTAGACAAAAGAATTCCCAGTAACTTCCTTGTGTTGTGTGTGTTCAACTCACAGAGTTGAACTTTCATTTACACAGAGCAGATTTGAAACACTCTTTTTGTGGAATTTGCAAATGGAGATTTCAAGCGCTTTGAGGCCAAAGGCAGAAAAGGAAATATCCTCGTATAAAAACTAGACAGAATCATTCTCAGAAACTGCTCTGCGACGTGTGCGTTCAACTCTCAGAGTTTAACTTTTCTTTTCATTCAGCAGTTTGGAAACACTCTGTTTGTAAAGTCTGCACGTGGATAATTTGACCACTTAGAGGCCTTCGTTGGAAACGGGTTTTTTTCATGTAAGGCTAGACAGAAGAATTCCTAGTAACTTCCTTGTGTTGTGTACATTCAACTCACAGAGTTGAACGTTCCCTTAGACAGAGCAGATTTGAAACACTATTTTTGTGCAATTGGCAAGTGGTGATTTCAGCCGCTTTGAGGTCAATGGTATAAAAGGAAATATCTTCGTATTAAAACTAGACAGAATCATTCCCACAAACTGCGTTGTGATGTGTTCGTTCATCTCACAGAGTTTAACCTTTCTTTTCATAGAGCAGTTAGGAAACAGTCTGTTTGTAAATTCCGTAAGTGGATATTCTGACATCTTGTGGCCTTCGTTGGAAACGGGATTTCTTCATATTCTGCTAGACAGAAGAATTCTCAGAAACTTCCTTTTGTTGTGTGTATTCAACTCACAGAGTTGAACGATCCTTTACACAGAGCAGATTAGAAAAACTCTTTTTGTGGAATTTGCAAGTGGAGATTTCAGCCGCTTTGAGGTCAATGGTAGAAAAGGGAATATCTTCGTATAAAAACTAGACAGAATGATTCTCAGAAACTCCTTTGAGATGTGTGCGTTCAACTCACAGAGTTTAACCTTTCTTTTCATAGAGCAGTTAGGAAACACTCTGTTTGTAAAGTCTGCAAGTGGATATTCAGACCTCTTTGAGGCCTTCGTTGGAAACGGGTTTTTTCATATAAGGCTAGACAGAAGAATTCTCAGTAACTTCCTTGTGTTGTGTGTATTCAACTCACAGAGTTGAACTATCCTTTACACAGAGCAGACTTGAAACACTCTTTTTGTGGAATTTGCAAGTGGAGATTTCAAGCGCTTTGAGGCCAAAAGCAGAAAAGGAAATATCTTCGTATAAAAACTAGACAGAATCATTCTCAGAAACTGCTGCGTGATGTGTGCGTTCAACTCTCAGAGTTTAACTTTTCTTTTCATTCAGCGGTTTGGAAACACTCTGTTTGTAAAGTCTGCACGTGGATATTTTGACCACTTAGAGGCCTTCGTTGGGAAACGGGTTTTTTTCATGTAAGGCTAGACAGAAGAATTCCCAGTAACTTCCTTGTGTTGTGTGTGTTCAACTCACAGAGTTGAACTTTCATTTACACAGAGCAGATTTGAAACACTCTTTTTGTGGAATTTGCAAATGGAGATTTCAAGCGCTTTGAGGCCAAAGGCAGAAAAGGAAATATCTTCGTTTCAAAACTAGACAGAATCATTCCCACAAACTGCGTTGTGATGTGTTCGTTCAACTCACAGAGTTTAACCTTTCTGTTCATAGAGCAGTTAGGAAACACTCTGTTTCTAAAGTCTGTAAGTGGATATTCTGACATCTTGTGGCCTTCGTTGGAAACGGGATTTCTTCATATTCTGCTAGACAGAAGAATTCTCAATAACTTCCTTGTGTTGTGTGTATTCAACTCACAGAGTTGAACGATCCTTTACACAGAGCAGACTTGAAACACTCTTGTTGTGGAATTTGCAAGTGGAGATTTCAGCCGCTTTGAGGTCAATGGTAGAATAGGAAATATCTTCCTATAAAAACTAGACAGAATGATTCTCAGAAACTCCTTTGTGATGTGTGCGTTCAACTCACAGAGTTTAACCTTTCTTTTCATAGAGCAGTTAGGAAACACTCTGCTTCTAAAGTATGCAAGTGGATATTTAGCCCTCTTTGAGGCCTTCGTTGGAAACGGGTTTTTTTCATATAAGGCTAGACAGAAGAATTCCCAGTAACTTCCTTGTGTTGTGTGTGTTCAACTCACAGAGTTGAACTTTCATTTACACAGAGCAGATTTGAAACACTCTTTTTGTGGAATTTGCAAGTGGAGATATCAAGCGCTTTGAGGCCAAAGGCAGAAAAGGAAATATCTTCGTATAAAAACTAGACAGAATCATTCTCAGAAACTGCTCTGCGATGTGTGCGTTGAACTCTCAGAGTTTAACTTTTCTTTTCATTCAGCAGTTTGGAAACACTCTGTTTGTAAAGTCTGCACGTGGATAATTTGACCACTTAGAGGCCTTCGTTGGAAACGGGTTTTTTTCATGTAAGGCTAGACAGAAGAATTCCCAGTAACTTCCTTGTGTTGTGTGCATTCAACTCACAGAGTTGAACGTTCCCTTAGACAGAGCAGATTTGAAACACTCTATTTGTGCAATTTGCAAGTGTAGATTTCAAGCGCTTTAAGGTCAACGGCAGAAAAAGGAAATATCTTCGTTTCAAAACTAGACAGAATCATTCCCACAAACTGCGTTGTGATGTGTTCGTTCAACTCACAGAGTTTAACCTTTCTTTTCATAGAGCAGTTAGGAAACACTCTGTTGGTAAATTCTGTAAGTGGATATTCTGACATCTTGTGGCCTCCGTTGGAAACGGGATTTCTTCATATTCTGCTAGACAGAAGAATTCTCAGTAACTTCCTTGTGTTGTGTGTATTCAACTCACACAGTTGAACGATCCTTTACACAGAGCGGACTTGAAACACTCGTTTTGTGGAATTTGCAAGTGGAGATTTCAGCCGCGTTGAGGTCAATGGTAGAAAAGGAAATATCTTCGTATAAAAACTAGACAGAATGATTCTCAGAAACTCCTTTGTGATGTGTGTGTTCAACTCACAGAGTTTAACCTTTCTTTTCATAGAGCAGTTAGTAAACACTCTGTTTATAAAGTCTGCAAGTGGATATTCAGACCCCTTTGAGGCCTTCGTTGGAAACGGGATTTCTTCATATTCTCCTAGACAGAAGAATTCTCAGTAACTTCCTTGTGTTGTGTGTATTCAACTGACAGAGTTGAACTTTCATTTGGAGAGAGCAGATTTGAAACACTGTTTTTGTGGAATTTGCAAGTGGAGATTTCAAGCGCTTTGGGGCCAAAGGCAGAAAAGGAAATATCTTCGTATAAACACTAGACAGAATCATTCTCAGAAACTGCTCTGCGATGTGTGCGTTCAACTCTCAGAGTTTAACTTTTCTTTTCATTCAGCAGTTTGGAAACACTCTGTTTGTAAAGTCTGCACGTGGATAACTTGACCACTTAGAGGCCTTCGTTGGAAACGGGTTTTTTTCATGTAAGGCTAGACAGAAGAATTCCCAGTAACTTCCTTGTGTTGTGTACATTCAACTCACAGAGTTGAACGTTCCCTTAGACAGAGCAGATTTGAAACACTCTTTTTCTGCAATTGGCAAATGGAGATTTCAAGCGCTTTAAGGTCAATGGCAGAAAAGGAAATATCTTCGTTTCAAAACTAGACAGAATGATTCTCAGAAACTCCTTTGTGATGTGTGCGTTCAACTCACAGAGTTCAACCTTTCTTTTCATAGAGCAGTTGGGATACACTCTGTTTGTAAAGTCTGCAAGTGGATATTCAGACTTCTTTGAGGCCTTCGTTGGAAGCGGGATTTCTTCATATTCTGCTAGACAGAAGAATTCTCAGTAACTTCCTCGTGTTGTGTGTATTCAACTCACAGAGTTGAACGAACCTTTACACAGAGCAGACTTGAAACACTCTTTTTGTGGAATTTGCAAATGGAGATTTCAGCCACTTTGAGGTCAATGGTTGAAAAGGAAATATCTTCATATAAAAATTAGACAGAATGATTCTCAGAAACTCCTTTGTGATGTGTGCGTTCAACTCACAGAGTTCAACCTTTCTTTTCATAGAGCAGTTGGGAAACACTCTGTTTGTAAAGTCTGCAAGTGGATATTCAGACTTCTTTGAGGCCTTCGTTGGAAGCAGGATTTCTTCATGTTCTGCTAGACAGAAGAATTCTCAGTAACTTCCTTGTGTTGTGTGTATTCAACTCACAGAGTTGAACGATCCTTTACACAGAGCAGTCTTGAAACACTCTTTTTGTGGAATTTGCAAGTGGAGATTTCTGACGCTTTGAGGTCAATGGTAGAATAGGAAATATCTTCCTATAGAAACTAGACAGAATGATTCTCAGAAACTTCTTTGTGATGTGTGCGCTCAACTCACAGAGTTTAACCTTTCTTTTCATAGAGCAGTTAGGAAACACTCTGTTTGTAAAGTCAGCAAGTGGATATTCAGACCTCTTTGAGGCCTTCGTAGGAAACGGGATTTCTGCATATTATGCTAGACAGAAGAATTCCCAGTAACTTCCTTGTGTTGTGTGTGTTCAACTCACAGAGTTGAACTTTCATTTACCCAGAGCAGATATGAAACACTCTTTTTGTGGAATTTGCAAGTGGAGATTTCAAGCGCTTTGAGGCCAAAGGCAGAAAAGGAAATATCTTCGTATAAAAACTAGACAGAATCATTCTCAGAAACTGCTCTGTGATGTGTGCGTTCATCTCTCAGAGTTTAACTTTTCTTTTCATTCAGCAGTTTGGAAACACTCTGTTTGTAAAGTCTGCACGTGGATAATTTGATCACTTAGAGGCCTTCGTTGGAAACGGGTTTTTTTCATGTAAGGCTAGACAGAAGAATTCTCAGTAACTTCCTTCTGTTGTGTGTATTCAACTCACAGAGTTGAACGATCCTTTACACAGAGCAGACTTGTAACACTCTTTTTGTGGAATTTGCAAGTGGAGATTTCAGCCGCTTTGAAGTCAAAGGTAGAAAAGGAAATATCTTCCTATAAAAAATAGACAGAATGATTCTCAGAAACTTCTTTGTGATGTGTGCGTTCAACTCACAGAGTTTAACCTTTCTTTTCATAGAGCAGTTAGGAAACACTCTGTTTGTAAACTCTGCAAATGGATGTTCAGACCTCTTTGAGGCCTTCGTTGGAAACGGGATTTCTTCATACTATGCTAGACAGAAGAATTCTCAGTAACTTCCTTGTGTTGTGTGTATTCAACTCACAGAGTTGAACCGATCCTTTACACAGAGCAGACTTGAAACACTCTTTTTGTGGAATTTGCAAGTGGAGATTTCAGCCGCTTTGAGGTCAATGGTAGAAAAGGAAATATCTTCCTATAAAAACTAGACAGAATGATTCTGAGAAACTCCTTTGTGATGTGTGCGTTCAACTCACAGAGTTTAACCTTTCTTTTCATAGAGCAGTTAGGAAACACTCTGTTTGTAAAGTCTGCAAGTGGATATTCAGACCTCCTTGAGGCCTTCGTTGGAAACGGGTTTTCTTCATATTATGCTAGACAGAAGAATTCCCAGTAACTTCCTTGTGTTGTGTGTGTTCAACTCACAGAGTTGAACTTTCATTTACACAGAGCAGATTTGAAACTCTCTTTTTGTGGAATTTACAAATGGAGATTTCAAGCGCTTTGAGGCCAAAGGCAGAAAAGGAAATATCTTCGTATAAAAACTAGACAGAATCATTCTCAGAAACTGCTCTGCGATGTGTGCGTTCAACTCTCAGAGTTCAACTTTTCTTTTCATTCAGCAGTTTGGAAACACTCTGTTTGTAAAGTCTGCACGTGGATAATTTGACTACTTAGAGGCCTTCGTTGGAAACGGGTTTTTTTCATGTAAGGCTAGACAGAAGAATTCCCAGTAACTTCCTTGTGTTGTGTGCGTTCAACTCACAGAGTTGAACTTTCATTTACACAGAGCAGATTTGAAACACTCTTTTTGTGGAATTTGCAAATGGAGATTTCAAGCGCTTTGAGGCCAAAGGCAGAAAAGGAAATGTCTTCGTTTCAAAACTAGACAGAATGATTCTCAGAAAATCTTTTGTGATGTGTGCGTTCAACTCACAGAGTTTAACCTTTCTTTTCATAGAGCAGTTAGGAAACACTCTGTTTGTAAAGTCTGCAAGTGGATATTCAGACCTCCTTGAGGCCTTCGTTGGAAACGGGATTTCTTCATATTCTGCTAGACAGAAGAATTCTCAGTAACTTACCTTGTGTTGTGTGTATTCAACTCACAGGGTTGAACGATCCTTTACACAGAGCAGACTTGAAACACTCTTTTTGTGGAATTTGCAAGTGGCGATTTCAGCCTCTTTGAGGTCAATGGTAGAATAGGAAATATCTTCCTATAGAAACTAGACAGAATGATTTTCATAAACTCCTTAGTGATGTGTGCGTTCAACTCACAGAGTTTAACCTTTCTGTTCATAGAGCAATTAGGAAACACTCTGTTTGTAAAGTCTGCAAGTGGATATTCAGACCCCTTTGAGGCCTTCGTTGGAAACGGGATTTCTTCATATTATGCTAGACAGAAAAATTCTCAGTAACTTCCTTGTGTTGTGTGTATTCAACTGACAGAGTTGAACTTTCATTTAGAGAGAGCAGATTTGAAACACTGTTTTTGTGGAATTTGCAAGTGGAGATTTCAAGCGCTTTGGGGCCAAAGGCAGAAAAGGAAATATCTTCGTATAAAAACTAGACAGAATCATTCTCAGAAACTGCTGCGTGATGTGTGCGTTCAACTCTCAGAGTTCAACTTTTCTTTTCATTCAGCGGTTTGGAAACACTCTGTTTGTAAAGTCTGCACGTGGATATTTTGACCACTTAGAGGCCTTCGTTGGAAACGGGTTTTTTCATGTAAGGCTAGACAGAAGAATTCCCAGTAACTTCCTTGTGTTGTGTGCATTCAACTCACAGAGTTGAACGTTCCCTTAGACAGAGCAGATTTGAAACACTCTATTTGTGCAATTTGCAAGTATAGATTTCAAGCGCTTTAAGGTCAATGGCAGAAAAGGAAATATCTTCGTTTCAAAACTAGACAGAATCATTCCCACAAACTGCGTTGTGATGTGTTCGTTCAACTCACAGAGTTTAACCTTTCTGTTCATAGAGCAGTTAGGAAACACTCTGTTGTAAAGTCTGTAAGTGGATATTCTGACATCTTGTGGCCTTCGTTGGAAACGGGATTTCTTCATATTCTGCTAGACAGAAGAATTCTCAGTAACTTCCTTGTGTTGTGTGAATTCAACTCACAGAGTTGAACGATCCTTTACACAGAGCAGACTTGAAACACTCTTTTTGTGGAATTTGCAGGTGGAGATTTCAGCCGCTTTTTGTTCAATGGTAGAATAGGAAATATCTTCCTATAGAAACTAGACAGAATGATTCTGAGAAACTCCTTTGTGATGTGTGTGTTCAACTCACAGAGTTTAACCTTTGCTTTCATAGAGCAGTTAGTAAACACTCTGTTTATAAAGTCTGCAAGTGAATATTCAGACCCCTTTGAGGCCTTCGTTGGAAACGGGATTTCTTCATATTATGCTGGACAGAAGAATTATCAGTAACTTCCTTGTGTTGTGTGTATTCAACTCACAGAGTTGAACGATCCTTTACACAGAGCAGACTTGAAACACTCTTTTTGTGGAAATTGCAAGTGGAGATTTCAGCCGCTTTGAGGTCAATGGTAGAATAGGAAATATCTTCCTATAGAAACTAGACAGAATGATTCTCAGAAACTCCTTTGTGATGTATGTGTTCAACTCACAGAGTTTAACCTTTCTTTTCATTGAGCAGTTAGGAAACACTCTGTTTGTTAAGTCTGCAAGTGGATATTCAGACCTCTTTGAGGCCTTCGATGGAAACGGGTTTTTTTCATATAAGGCTAGACAGAAGAATTCCCAGTAACTTCCTTGTGTTGTGTGTGTTCAACTCACAGAGTTGAACTCTCATTTACACAGAGCAGATTTGAAACACTCTTTTTGTGGAATTTCCAAGTGGAGATTTCAAGTGCTTTGAGGCCAAAGGCAGAAAAGGAAATATCTTCGTATAAAAACTAGACAGAATCATTCTCAGAAACTGCTCTGCGATGTGTGCGTTCAACTCTCAGAGTTTAACTTTTCTTTTCATTCAGCAGTTTGGAAACACTCTGTTTGTAAAGTCTGCACGTGGATAACTTGACCACTTAGAGGCCTTCGTTGGAAACGGGTTTTTTTCATATAAGGCTAGACAGAAGAATTCCCAGTAACTTCCTTGTGTTGTGTGCATTCAACTCACAGAGTTGAACGTTCCCTTAGACAGAGCAGATTTGAAACACTCTATTTGTGCAATTTGCAAGTGTAGATTTCAAGCGCTTTAAGGTCAATGGCAGAAAAGGAAATATCTTGGTTTCAAAACTAGACAGAATCATTCCCACAAACTGCGTTGTGATGTGTTCGTTCAACTCACAGAGTTTAACCTTTCTTTTCATAGAGCAGTTAGGAAACACTCTGTTTGTAAACTCTGCAAGTGGATATTCAGACCTCTTTGAGGCCTTCGTTGGAAACGGGATTTCTTCATACTATGCTAGACAGAATAATTCTCAGTAACTTCCTTGTTTTGTGTGTATTCAACTCACAGAGTTGAACGATCCTTTACAGAGAGCAGACTTAAAACACTCTTTTTGTGGAATTTGCAAGTGGAGATTTCAGCCGCTTTGAGGTCAATGGTAGAATAGGAAATATCTTCCTATAGAAACTAGACAGAATGATTCTCAGAAACTCCTTTGTGATGTGTGCGTTCAACTCACAGAGTTTACCCTTTCTTTTCATAGAGCAGTTAGGAAACACTCTGTTTGTAAAGTCTGCAAGTGGATATTCAGACATCCTTGAGGCTTTCGTTGGAAACGGGATTTCTTCATATTCTGCTAGAAAGAAGAATTCCCAGTGACTTCCTTGTGTTGTGTGTGTTCAACTCACAGAGTTGAACGTTCCCTTAGACAGAGCAGATTTGAAACACTCTTTTTGTGGAATTTGCAAGTGGAGATTTCAAGCGCTTTGAGGCCAAAGGCAGAAAAGGAAATATCTTCGTATAAAAACTAGACAGAATCATTCTCAGAAACTGCTGCGTGATGTGTGCGTTCAACTCTCAGAGTTTAACTTTTCATTTCATTCAGCGGTTTGGAAACCCTCTGTTTGTAAAGTCTGCACGTGGATATTTTGACCACTTAGAGGCCTTCGTTGGAAACGGGTTTTTTGCATGTAAGGCTAGACAGAAGAATTCCCAGTAACTTCCTTGTGTTGTGTGCATTCAACTCACAGAGTTGAACGTTCCCTTAGACAGAGCAGATTTGAAGCACTCTATTTGTGCAATTTGCAAGTGTAGATTTCAAGCGCTTTAAGGTCAATGGCAGAAAAGGAAATATCTTCATTTCAAAACTAGACAGAATGATTCTCAGAAACTCCTTTGTGATGTGTGCGTTCTACTCACAGAGTTCAACCTTTCTTTTCATAGAGCAGTTGGGAAACACTCTGTTTGTAAAGTCTGCAAGTGGATATTCAGACTTCTTTGAGGCCTTCGTTGGAAGCGGGATTTCTTCATATTCTGCTAGACAGAAGAATTCTCAGAAACTTCCTTGTGTTGTGTGTTTTCAACTCACAGAGTTGAACGATCCTTTACACAGAGCAGACTTGAAACACTCCTTTTGTGGAATTTGCAAGTGGAGATTTCAGCCGCTTTGAGGCCAATGGTAGAATAGGAAATATCTTCCTATAGAAACTAGACAGAATGATTCTCAGAAACTTCTTTGTGATGTGTGCGTTCAACTCACAGAGTTTAACCTTTCTTTTCATAGAGCAGTTAGGAAACACTCTGTTTGTAAAGTCTGCAAGTGGATATTCAGACCTCTTTGAGGCCTTCGTTGGAAACGGGATTTCTTCATACTGTGCTAGACAGAAGAATTCTCAGTAACTTCCTTGTGTTGTGTGTATTCAACTCACAGAGTTGAACGATCCTTTACACAGAGCGGACTTGAAACACACTTTTTGTGGAATTTGCAAGGGGAGATTTCAGCCGCATTGAGGTCAATGGTAGAAAAGGAAATATCTTCGTATAAAAACTAGACAGAATCATTCTCAGAAACTGCTCTGCGATGTGTGCGTTCAACTCTCAGAGTTTAACTTTTCTTTTCATTCAGCAGTTTGGAAACACTCTGTTTGTAAAGTCTGCACGTGGATAAATTGACCACTTAGAGGCCTTCGTTGGAAACGGGTTTTTTTCACGTAAGGCTAGACAGAAGAATTCTCAGTAACTTCCTTGTGTTGTGTGTATTCAACTCACACAGTTGAACGATCCTTTACACAGAGCAGACTTGTAACACTCTTTTTGTGGAATTTGCAATTGGAGATTTCAGCCGCTTTGAAGTCAAATGTAGAAAAGGAAATATCTTCCTATAAAAACTAGACAGAATGATTCTCATAAACTCCTTTGTGATGTGTGCGTTCAACTCACAGAGTTTAACCTTTCTGTTCATAGAGCAGTTAGGAAACACTCTGTTTGTAAAGTCTGCAAGTGGATATTCAGACCTCCTTGAGGCCTTCTTTGGAAACGGGATTTCTTCATATTCTGATAGACAGAAGAATTCTCAGTAACTTCCTTGTGTTGTGTGTATTCAACTCACAGAGTTGAACGATCCTTTACACAGAGCAGACTTGAAACACTCTTTTTGTGGAATTTGCAAGAGGAGATTTCAGCAGCTTTGAGGTCAATGGTAGAAAAGGAAACTATCTTCGTATAAAGACTAGACAGAATGATTCTCAGAAAATCCTTTGTGATGTGTGCGTTCAACTCACAGAGTTTAACTTTTCTTTTCATAGAGCAGTTAGGAAACACTCTGTTTGTAAAGTCTGCAAGTGGATATTCAGACCTCTTTGAGGCCTTCGTTGGAAACGGGATTTCTTCATATTATGCTAGACCGAAGAATTCTCAGTAACTGCCTTGTGTTGTGTGTATTCAACTCACAGAGTTGAACGATCCTTTACACAGAGCAGACTTGAAACACTCTTTTGGTGGAATTTGCAAGTGGAGATTTCAGCCGCTTTGAGGTCAATGGTAGAATAGGAAATATCTTCCTATAGAAACTAGACAGAATGATTCTCAGAAACTCCTTTGTGATGTGTGCATTCAACTCACAGAGTTTAACCTTTCTTTTCATAGAGCAGTTAGGAAACACTCTGTTTGTAAAGTCTGCAAGTGGATATTCAGACCTCTTTGAGGCCTTCGTTGGAAACGGGATTTCTTCATATTATGCTAGACAGAAGAATTCTCAGTAACTTCCTTGTGTTGTGTGTATTCAACTCACAGAGTTGAACGATCCTTTACACAGAGTAGACTTGAAACACTCTTTTTGTGGAATTTGCAAGTGGAGATTTCAACCGCTTTGAGGTCAATGGTAGAAAAGGAAATATCTTCGTATAAAAACTAGACAGAATCATTCTCAGAAACTGCTGCGTGATGTGTGCGTTCAACTCTCAGAGTTTAACTTTTCTTTTCATTCAGCGGTGTGGAAACACTCTGTTTGTAAAGTCTGCACGTGGATATTTTGACCACTTAGAGGCCTTCGTTGGAAACGGGTTTTTTTCATGTAAGGCTAGAGAAAAGAATTCCCAGTAACTTCCTTGTGTTGTGTGCATTCAACTCACAGAGTTGAACGTTCCCTTAGACAGAGCAGATTTCAAACACTCTATTTGTGCAATTTGCAAGTGTAGATTTCAAGCGCTTTAAGGTCAGTGGCAGAAAAGGAAATATCTTCGTTTCAAAACTAGACAGAATGATTCTCATAAACTCCTTTGTGATGTGTGCGTTCAACTCACAAAGTTTAACTTTTCTTTTCATAGAGCAGTTAGGAAACACTCTGTTTGTAAAGTCTGCAAGTGGATATTCAGACCTCTTTGAGACCTTCGTTGGAAACGGGATTTCTTCATATTATGCTAGACAGAATAATTCTCAGTAACTTCCTTGTGTTGTGTGTATTCAACTCACAGAGTTGAACGATGCTTTACACAGAGCAGACTTGAAACATTCTTTTTGTGGAATTTGCAACTGGAGATTTCAGCCGCTTTGAGGTCAATGGTAGAATAGGAAATATCTTCCTATAGAAACTAGACAGAATGATTCTCAGAAACTCCTTTGTGATGTGTGTGTTCAACTCACAGAGTTTAACATTTCTTTTCATAGAGCAGTTAGGAAACACTCTGTTTGTAAAGTCTGCAAGTGGATATTCAGACCTCTTTGAGGCCTTCGTTGGAAACGGGTTTTTTTAATATAAGGCTAGACAGAACAATTCTCAGTAACTTCCTTGTGTTGTGTGTATTCAACTCACAGAGTTGAACGATCCTTTACACAGAGCAGACTTGAAACACTATTTTTGTGGAATTTGCAAGTGGAGATTTCATCCGCTTTGAGGTCAATGGTAGAATAGGAAATATCTTCCTATAGAAAGTAGACAGAATGATTCTCAGAAACTTCTTTGTGATGTGTGCGTTCAACTCACAGAGTTTAACCTTTCTTTTCATAGAGCAGTTAAGAAACACTCTGTTTGTAAAGTCTGCAAGTGGATATTCAGACATCTTTGAGACTCTCGTTGGAAACGGGATTTCTTCATATTCTGCTAGACAGAAGAATTCTCAGTAACTTCCTTGTGTTGTGTGTATTCAACTGACAGAGTTGAACTTTCATTTAGAGAGAGCAGATTTGAAACACTGTTTTTGTGGAATTTGCAAGTGGAGATTTCAAGCGCTTTGGGGCCAAAGGCAGAAAAGGAAATATCTTCCTATAAAAACTAGACAGAATCATTCTCTGAAACTGCTCTGTGATGTGTGCGTTCAACTCTCAGAGTTTAACTTTTCTTTTCATTCAGCAATTTGGAAACACTCTGTTTGTAAAGTCTGCACGTGGATATTTTGACCACTTAGAGGCCTTCGTTGGAAACGGGTTTTTTTCATGTAAGGCTAGACAGAAGAATTCCCAGTAACTTCCTTGTGTTGTGTGCATTCAACTCACAGAGTTGAACGTTCCCTTAGACAGAGCAGATTTGAAACACTCTATTTGTGCAATTTGCAAGTGTAGATTTCAAGCGCTTTAAGGTAATGGCAGAAAAGGAAATATCTTCGTTTCAAAACTAGACAGAATCATTCCCACAAACTGCGTTGTGATGGGTTCGTTCAACTCACAGAGTTTAACCTTTCTGTTCATAGAGCAGTTAGGAAACACTCTGTAAAGTCTGTAAGTGGATATTCTGACATCTTGTGGCCTTCGTTGGAAACGGGATTTCTTCATATTCTGCTAGACAGAAGAATTCTCAGAAACTTCCTTGTGTTGTGTGTTTTCAACTCACAGAGTTGAACGATCCTTTACACAGAGTAGACTTGAAACACTCTTTTTGTGGAATTTGCAAGTGGAGATTTCAGCTGCTTTGAGGTCAATGGTAGAAAAGGAAATATCTTCCTATAGAAACTAGACAGAATGATTCTCAGAAACTCCTTTGTGATGTGTGCGTTCAACTCACAGAGTTTAAACCTTTCTTTTCATAGAGCAGTTAGGAAACACTCTGGTTGTAAAGTCTGCAAGTGGATATTCAGACCTCTTTGAGGCCTTCGTTGGAAACGGGATTTCTTCATATTCTGCTAGACAGAAGAATTCCCAGTAACTTCCTTGTGTTGTGTGTGTTCAACTCACAGAATTGAACTTTCATTTACACAGAGCAGATTTGAAACACTCTTTTTGTGGAATTTGCAAGTGGAGATTTCAAGCGCTTTGAGGCCAAAGGCAGAAAAGGAAATATCTTCGTATAAAAACTAGACAGAATCATTCTCAGAAACTGCTCTGCGATGTGTGCGTTCAACTCTCAGAGTTTAACTTTTCTTTTCATTCAGCAGTTTGGAAACACTCTGTTTGTAAAGTCTGCACGTGGATATTTTGACCACTTAAAGGCCTTCGTTGGAAACGGGTTTTTTTCCTGTAAGGCTAGACAGAAGAATTCCCAGTAACTTCCTTGTGTTGTGTACATTCAACTCACAGAGTTGAACGTTCCCTTAGACAGAGCAGATTTGAAACACTCTTTTTGTGCAATTGGCAAGTGGTGATTTCAGCCGCTTTGTGGTCAATGGTATAAAAGGAAATATCTTCGTATAAAAACTAGACAGAATGATTCTCAGAAACTTCATTGTGACGTGTGCGTTCAACTCACAGAGTTTAACCTTTCTTTTCATAGAGCAGTTAGGAAACACTCTGTTTGTAAACTCTGCAAGTGGATATTCAGACCTCTTTGAGGCCTTCGTTGGAAACGGGATTTCTTCATACTGTGCTAGACAGAAGAATTCTCAGTAACTTCCTTGTGCTGTGTGTATTCAACTCACAGAGTTGAACGATCCTTTACACAGAGCAGACTTGAAACACTCTTTTTGTGGAATTTGCAAGTGGAGATTTCAGCCGCTTTGAGGTCAATAGTAGAAAAGGAAATATCTTCGTAGAAAAACTAGACAGAATGATTCTCAGAAACTCCTTGGTGATGTGTGCGTTCAACTCACAGAGTTTAACTTTTCTTTTCATAGAGCAGTTAGGAAACACTCTGTTTGTAAAGTCTGCAAGTGGATATTCAGACCTCTTTGAGGCCTTCGTTGGAAACGGGATTTCTTCATATTATGCTAGACAGAAGAATTCCCAGTAACTTCCATGTGTTGTGTGTGTTCAACTCACAGAGTTGAACTGTCATTTACACAGAGCAGATTTGAAACACTGTTTTTGTGGAATTTGCAAATGGAGATTTCAAGCGGTTTGAGGCCAAAGGCAGAAAAGGAAATATCTTCGTATAAAAACTAGACAGAAATCATTCTCAGAAACTGCTCTGCGATGTGTGCGTTCAACTCTCAGAGTTTAACTTTTCTTTTCATTCAGAAGTTTGGAAACACTCTGTTTGTAAAGTCTGCACGTGGATAACTTGACCACTTAGAGGCCTTCGTTGGAAACGGGTTTTTTTCCTGTAAGGCTAGACAGAAGAATTCTCAGTAACTTCCCTGTGTTGTGTGTATTCAACTCACAGAGTTGAACGATCCGTTACACAGAGCATACTTGAAACACTCTTCTTGTGGAATTTGCAAGTGGAGATTTCAGCCGCTTTGAGGTCAATGGTAGAATAGGAAATATCTTCCTATAGAAACTAGACAGAATGATTCTCAGAAACTCCTTTCTGATGTGTGCGTTCAACTCAAAGAGTTTAACCTTTCTTTTCGTAGAGCAGCTAGGAAACACTCTGTTTGTAAAGTCTGCAAGTGGATATTCAGACCTCTTTGAGGCCTACGTTGGAAACGGGATTTCTTCATATTATGATAGACAGAAGAATTCTCAGTAACTTCCTTGTGTTGTGTGTATTCAACTGACGGATTTGAACTTTCATTTAGAGAGAGCAGATTTGTAACACTGTTTTTGTGGAATTTGCAAGTGGAGATTTCATGCGCTTTGGGGCCAAAGGCAGAAAAGGAAATATCTTCGTATAAAAACTAGACAGAATCATTCCCAGAAACTGTGTAGTGATGTGTATGTTTAACTCACAGAGTTTAACATTTCTTTTCATAGAGCAGTTGGGAAACGCTCTGTTTGAAAAGTCTGCCTGTGGATATTTGGACCGCCATGAGGCGTTCTTTGGAAATGGTATTTCTTCATTTAAGGCTACACAGAAGAATTCTCAGAATCTTCCCTTGTGTTGTGTGTATTCAACTCACAGAGTTGAACGATCCTTTACACAGAGCAGATTTGAAACACTCTTTTTGTGGAATTTGCAAGTGGAGATTTCAGCCGCTTTGAGGTCAATGGTAGAAAATGAAATATCTTCGTATAAAAACTAGACAGAATGATTCTCAGAAACTCCTTTGTGATGTGTGCGTTGAACTCACAGAGTTTAAGCTTTCTTTTCATAGAGTAGTTAGGAAACACTCTGTTTGTAAAATCTGCAAGTGGATATTCAGACCTCTTTGAGGCCTTCGTTGGAAACGGGATTTCTTCATATTATGCTAGACAGAAGAATTCTCAGAAACTTCGTTGTGTTGTGTGTTTTCAAATCACAGAGTTCAACGATCCTTTACAGAGAGTAGACTTGAAACACTCTTTTTGTGGAATTGGCAGGGTGGAGATTTCAGCCGCTTTGAGGTCAATGGTAGAAAAGGAAATATCTTCGTATAAAAACTAGACAGAATGATTCTCAGAAACTCCTTTGTGATGTGTGTGTTCAACTCACAGAGTTTAACCTTTCTTTTCATAGAGCAGTTAGGAAACACTCTGTTTGTAAAGACTGCAAGTGGATATTCAGGCCTCTTTGAGGCCTTCTTTGGAAACGGGTTTTTTTCATATAAGGCTAGACAGAAGAATTCCCAGTAACTTCCTTGTGTTGTGTGTATTCAACTCACAGAGTTGAACTTTCATTTACACAGAGCAGATTTGAAACACTCTTTTTGTGGAATTTGCAAATGGAGATTTCAAGCCCTTTCAGGCCAAAGGCAGAAAAGGAAATATCTTCGTATAAAAACTAGACAGAATCATTCTCAGAAACTGCTCTGCGATGTGTGCGTTCAACTCTCAGAGTTTAACTTTTCTTTTCATTCAGCAGTTTGGAAACACTCTGTTTGTAAAGTCTGCACGTGGATAACTTGACCACTTAGAGGCCTTCGTTGGAAACGGGTTTTTTTCCTGTAAGGCTAGACAGAAGAATTCCCAGTAACTTCCTTGTGTTGTGTACAATCAACTCACAGAGTTGAACGTTCCCTTAGACAGAGCAGATTTGAAACACTCTTTTTGTGCAATTGGCAAATGGAGATTTCAAGCGCTTTAAGGTCAATGGCAGAAAAGGAAATATCTTCGTTTCAAAACTAGACAGAATCATTCCCACAAACTGCGTTGTGATGTGTTCGTTCAACCTACAGAGTTTAACCTTTCTTTTCATAGAGCAGTTAGGAAACAGTCTGTTTGTAAATTCTGTAAGTGGATATTCTGACATCTTGTGGCCTTGGTTGGAAACGGGATTTCTTCATATTCTGCTAGACAGAAGAATTCTCAGAAACTTCCTTGTGTTGTGTGTTTTCAACTCACAGAGTTGAACGATGCTTTACAGAGAGTAGACTTGAAACACTCTTTTTGTGGAATTTGCAAGTGGAGATTTCAGCCGCTTTGAGGTCAATGGTAGAATAGGAAATATCTTCCTATAGAAACTAGACAGAATGATTCTCAGAAACTCCTTTGTGATGTGTGCGTTCAACTCACAGAGTTTAACCTTTCTTTTCATAGAGCAGTTGGGAAACACTCTGTTTGTAAAGTCTGCAAGTAGATATTCAGACATCCTTGAGGCTTTCGTTGGAAACGGGATTTCTTCATATTCTGCTAGAAAGAAGAATTCTCAGTAACTTCCTTGTGTTGTGGGTATTCAACTCACAGAGTTGAACGATCCTTTACACAGAGCAGACTTGAAACACTCTTTTTGTGGAATTTGCAAGTGGAGATTTCAGCCGCTTTGAGGTCAATGGTAGAATAGGAAATATCTTCCTATAGAAACTAGACAGAATCATTCTCAGAAACTGCTCTGCGATGTGTGCGTTCAACTCTCAGAGTTTAACTTTTCTTTTCATTCAGCAGTTTGGAAACACTCTGTTTGTGAAGTCTGCACGTGGATATTTTGTCCACTTAGAGGCCTTCGTTGGAAACGGGTTTTTTTCCTGTAAGGCTAGACAGAAGAATTCCCAGTAACTTCCTTGTGTTGTGTGCATTCAACTCACAGAGTTGAACGTTCCCTTAGACAGAGCAGATTTGAAACACTCTATTTGTGCAATTTGCGAGTGTAGATTTCAAGCGCTTTAAGGTCAACGGCAGAAAAGGAAATATCTTCGTTTCAAAACTAGACAGAATCATTCCCACAAACTGCGTTGTGATGTGTTCGTTCAACTCACAGAGTTTAACCTTTCTGTTCATAGAGCAGTTAGGAAACACTCTGTTTGTAAAGTCTGCAAGTGGATATTCAGACCTCCTAGAGGCCTTCGTTGGAAACGGGATTTCTTCGTATTCTGCTAGACAGAAGAATTCTCAGTAACTTCCTTGTGTTGTGTGTATGCAACTCACAGAGTTGAACAATCCTTTACACAGAGCAGACTTGAAACACTCCTTTTGTGGAATTTGCAAGTGGAGATTTCAGCCGCTTTGAGGTCAATGGTAGAAAAGGAAACTATCTTCTTATAAAGACTAGACAGAATGATTCTCAGAAACTTCTTTGTGATGTGTGCGTTCAACTCACAGAGTTTAACCTTTCTTTTCATAGAGCAGTTAGGAAACACTTTGTTTGTAAAGTCTGCAAGTGGATATACAGACCTCTTTGAGGCCTTCGTTGGAAACGGGATTTCTTCATACTATGCTAGACAGAAGAATTCCCAGTAACTTCCTTTTGTTGTGTGTGTTCAACTCACAGAGTTGAACTTTCATTTACACAGAGCAGATTGGAAACACTCTTTTTGTGGAATTTGCCAGTGGAGATTTCAAGCGCATTGAGGCCAAAGGCAGAAAAGGAAATATCTTCGTATAAAAACTAGACAGAATCATTCTCAGAAACTGCTGCGTGATGTGTGGGTTCAACTCTCAGAGTTTAACTTTTCTTTTCATTCAGCGGTTTGGAAACACTCTGTTTGTAAAGTCTGCACGTGGATATTTTGACCACTTAGAGGCCTTCGTTGGAAAAGGGTTTTTTTCATGTAAGGCTAGACAGAAGAATTCCCAGTAACTTCCTTGTGTTGTGTACATTCAACTCACACAGTTGAACGTTCCCTTAGACAGAGCAGATTTGAAACACTCTTTTTGTGCAATTGGCAAATGGAGATTTCAAGCGCTTTAAGGTCAATGGCAGGAAAGGAAATATCTTCGTTTCAAAACTAGACAGAATCATTCTCAGAAACTGCTCTGCGATGTGTGCGTTCAACTCTCAGAGTTTAAATTTTCTTTTCATTCAGCAGTTTGGAAACACTCTGTTTGTAAAGTCTGCACGTGGATAACTTGACCACTTAGAGGCCTTCGTTGGAAACGGGTTTTTTTCATGTAAGGCTAGACAGAAGAATTCTCAGTAA